>NC_000017.11:20817295-21143480 GCF_000001405.40 Homo sapiens | reverse complement strand
ATTTTTATTTCTAATATAATTAACATTTTGCCCATCCTGTGGCTATTTCTCACATGACAGCTTTGAGTGAAACAATATTACACAGATGTCCAAATCATACTTTAAAAGCAAGTAATTTTGGATAGACACAGTGGCTCACGCCTGTAATCCCAGCATTTTGGGAGGCCAAGGCTGCAGATCACTTGAGATCAGGAGTTCAAGACCAGCTTGGCCAACAGGGTGAAACCCCATCTCTACTAAAAATACAAAAATTAGGCTGGGTGCGGTGGCTCACACCTGTAATCCCAGCACTTTGGGAAGCCGAGGTGGGCGGATCACCTGAGGTCGAGTTCGAGACTAGCCTGGCCAACATGGTGAAACCCTGTCTCTACTAAAAATACAAAAATTAGCTGGGCGTGGTGGCAGGTGCCTGTAATCCTAGCTGCTCAGGAGGCTGAGGCAAGAGAATCACTTGAACCCAGGAGGTGGAGGTTGTGATGAGCCAAGATTGTGCCACGGCACTCCAGTCTGGGCAACATAGCAAGACGCCACCTCAAAACAAACATACAAACAAAACCCCAAGTAATTTTTAGCCTATTACTGTGAAAGGAAAATATCTTGGGCTCCTTCAAGCTAGGAACTGCTCAAGACAAATCTACCTATTCTATTCATAGCCATCCCTTTGCTCACAGAGATAGATGCATATTCTGATTGCCTCCTTTGGAAAGACTTCAGAAACTCAAAAGAATGTTATCAATTGTCTCTCACCTACCTGTGACCTGGAAGCCCCCAGGGTAACGGCGGGGCGGGGGAGGGGGGTGAGGGGGTGGGAGAGCTTGCTTGCTTTGAGTTGTCCCTGCATTTCTGGATGGAACTAATGTACTTCTTACATATACTGATTGATGTCTCATGTCTTCCTAAAATATATAAAACTAAGCTGTTCCCCAACCACCTTGGGCACATGTCTTCAGGACTTTCTGAGGCTGTGTCATGGGCACATCCTCTGAAGGAAGAGAGAGACCCTCTCATATTGTTTTATATTGTTTTATACTCAGAAAAGGAAAGAGAAGCGAAACTAAAGACAGGTAGCCCGGTGCCTAGGAACCAGACCGGAAACCAGGCCTGGGCCTGCCTGACCTAAGCCTGGTAGTTAAAATTCGACCCCTGACCTAGCAACTGATGTTATCTATAGATTCCAGACACGGTATGGAAAGACACTGTGAAACCTCCCGTTCTGTTCTGTTTCACTCTGACCACCGGTGCTTGCAGCCCCTGTCACGTACCCTCTGGCTTGCTCAATCGATCATGACCCTCTCACGTGGACCCCCTTAGAGTTGTGAGTCCTTAAAAGGGACAGAAGTTGAGCACCTGAAGAGCTCGGATTTTAAGACACTAGCCTGCCGATGCTCCCAGCTGATGAAAGCCACTCCCTTCACTATCTTGGTGTCTGAGGGGTTTTGTCCGCAGCTTGTCCTGCTACACCTCAACCTTGGCAAAATAAACTTTCTAAATTAACTGAGACCTGTCTCAGATTTTCTGGGTTCACATTTTGGTAACCATGGGGGTATTCTGAGTGGAGATGCCCTTGACCTTTGACAAATTTCCTATTGGTGCTTGGTACCAGCATCAGCTACCTTTATGGCACAAACCAATAGGACGATTTGCTGGGATCTGAGAGCACTCCTTCCAGAGAATCCCTGATCTCCCAAAATTTGATCGAGATCTAAAGTTTATTTTGCTGTATAACTCCTCTTTTTTTTTTTGGAGTTTTACCTGCTTCCAGCACAAGGCAAGTGATTTTCCTGCTTCCATAATGATGGAAGGCAGTAGTAACTCCTTTGTGGAGTTTGAGATGAGGTTGTTTTTTTTTTTTTTTTTTTTTGCTTTCTTGCTGGTAGAAACCAGTCTTCAGCCTGAGACTCATCCCTAGGTAAGTAACTGAACTGGGGTTTGTCTTGGTTAAAGTTAATATTAACAACTAACTGGTCGTAATTCCTCCTTACCATTGGAGCGCTCAGTGATCCTATTGCTGTTTTGTGTGTGTGTTTGTTTTTGCTATTTGTTCCTGTCTGAAGTTGTTAAGGAACCTAATTCTAGTTCAGAGATGCATTCTAAAGGCTCTTCCCTATTGCTTTTTCTCTCAAATTTAATGTTAATTCAGTTTTTCTGTGTGCATTTGTGTGAGAAATTGAACTGCTGTTTTCATATGTTAATGAGAGACTGAGTTTTGTCAGTTGAGAAGAAAAAGGGTGTTTTGCTCCTCCCAGCCAGAAGGCACCCCTGGGTGACCGGTGGCCTCCTGGGGGTGTCTGGGGGTTAAGTTCCGCCCCCGACAATGACATGCAGCAGGCTTGCAGGGAAATCCCCAACAGAAATTAATTTTTAAAATGGCTCGTCCAGGAATCGCATATAAGGACTGATCACCCAGTGTTCTGAGCCCTCTCTGAGGTCACAGACCTCTGGAGAGAGAAACTGAGACATGTAAAAGGGTGGAAGCGACTCAGTGCTGACATACTGTGTAGTCCTGCCCACAAGGAGCACATATTGATCCACCACACAAAAACCCTAGGCTACAAGCTCAGTTCCCCCTTTTAAGAAAAAAAAGAAAAAGGGCAGGAAGCAAATAATCGAAGAATGAGGAGAAAAGGAGAATGACCCCTTTTGAGCATTCCATAGGTTTTATGGCACCTCTACTTGCCAAAGTTTATGTAAAATGGAAATAATATGGTCTCTGTGCACATTCACATTAAGGAAAAGGAGGCCTAAGGTTGACCTGCAAACTACAGAGTTCCTAAGTACTCTTTTTCTCTATTTTTTCTTTTCTGCCTGCTCTCAATCTGCTGTTATTTTTCTATTAAGATAAAAACCACTGTTTAGATCCAACAAGATATTTTTGCAAGCCAGTAAATTTCTATTTATCTAGTGGCAAAAAGTTCTGAAGTAAAAGCTATAGGGTGTCAGGGTGTGTGTGTGTGTGTGTGTGTGTGTGTGTGTGTGTGTGTGTGTGTGTGTGTGTGTGTGTATTTAAAAGGCCTTTAAAATTTCTATAACCCAAACTTTTTCTCTCCGCACCTTATAATGTAAACTTTGCTATTTGACTTTCACCTGAGTTGGTTCCTTTAACATGCAAATTTAAGGCTACGTAGCTGACAGCTGCCCAGGGTTGTAAAACAAGTTATCAAGAATCTGAGGCCGGGTGCAGCTGTAATTCCAGCACTTTGGGAGGCCAAGGCGGGTGGATCACGAAGTCAGGAGATCGAGACCATCCTGGCTAACATGGTGAAACCCCATCTTACTAAATATACAAAAAATTAGCTGGGTGTAGTGGTGGGCGCCTGTAGTCCCAGCTAGGGGGAGGCTGAGGCAAGAGAATGGCGTGAACCCAGGGGGCGGAGCTTGCAGTGAGCAGAGATCACGCCACCGCACTCCAGCCTGGGCGACAGAGTGAGACTCTGTCTCAAAAAAAAAAAAAAAAAAAAGAATCTGAAAGTCTGATAGGAAAAAAAAGGTTTCTATGAATCTACAAAATGTACTTCTATTGGCATGCCTATATGTCTGTGTATGTGTTGTGTACACAATGTTTCACTACTAAAAATACATATAAAAGAGCTCTAGGTAATTGGCTTTAAAAAAGCACTTAAATCAGATACTAAAAAAGACTACTCAAATGCTTTTTCAAGTTCATGTAACTTAAGTAGACTCTTTAATAAAAAGCAAGTTTTAAAATTATTGGGAAACATTAGAAATGTCTTAACAATTGCCAGCATTCATTTTTGCTTGCATTTATTAATCAAGCAATTTCTTTTATTTATTTATTTTTTTTTTTTGAGATGGAGTCTCGCTCTGTCACCCAGGGCTGAAGTGCAGTGGCGCGATCTTGGCTCACTGCAACTTCTGCCTCCCAGGTTCAAGTGATTCTCCTGCCTTAGCCTCCTGAGTAGCTGGGATTACAGGCACGTGCCACCACGCCCAGCTAATTTTTGTATTTTTAGTAGAGACAGGGTTTCACCACATTGGTCAGGCTGGTCTCAAACTCCTGACCTTGTGATCTGCCTGCCTCAGCCTCCCAAAGTGCTGGGATTACAGGCGTGAGCCACCATGCGTGGCCTAATCAAGCAGTTTCATAGTTCTCTGCCAGATACATTAAGGTGTCAAAATATGGCACGGGGGTTACAAAACATTAAACCCAGCCCAAAACAGAATGATCTTCGCTTGTGTAATTTTTAATAAATAAGACATTAATACTGGTTTAATGAAAATAGCTGCATCTTAAATATGGTAAAATTACCATAACTTCTAACCTCATGGCTTTAGGCAGTCTAGTCCACAGGCAATAAGGAGGTTTCTTTTGGGAAAGGACTGTTATCATCTTTGTTTCAAAGCTAAACTATAAGTTCCTCCCAAAGTTAGTTCAGCCTATGCCCAGGAATGAACAAGGACAGATTGGAGGTTAAGAGCAAGATGAAGTTTAGTTAGGTCAAATCATTTTTCACTGTTACAATTTTGCAATGGTGGTTTCATAACTTTAAATTATGACTATCATAGTTTTCATAAATAATGTACGTAAACAAATAAAATAATTAGGTAAATGTAATGGGATAAATACCTGTAGATAAACTGGTCATAATTTAGAATATAAAGTTATATTAAATTAAATAATAGGTATTTAATTATTTGGGTATTTTCCAATAAATATATATTGTAGGAAAACATTCTTGCTAAAAAAACAGAAGGATGTGTCCTTTTTAAAAAAGGGTGAACAAGTTTTGTCTAATTCACAGCTTACTTAAAGGTTACATATAAAACAAGGTAAAAGGAACCAGAAAATAAAAAGAGATGTAAAGAAAGTTTTAAAAATAAATAGGATTTTTGTATGTGTGGTAAGAAAGCTTAAAGAAAAATAATTTTACGAGAAAGAATATTGTATGGTAAATTTAGTCCTAAAATAAAATGACTGGTTGTTTAAGAAGGAGGGATGTTGCCAGGCGCGGTGGCTCACACCTGTAATCCCAGCACTTTGGGAGGCAGAGGCAGGTGGATCACAAGGTCAGGAGATCAAGACCATCCTGGCTAACATGGCGAAACCCCATCTCTACTAAAAATAGAAAAAATTAGTGGGGCATGGTGGTGGCAGCCTGCAGTCCCAGCTACTCAGGAGGCTGAGGCAGGAGAATGGTGTGAACCCGGGAGGCGGAGCTTGGAGCTTGCAGTGAGCCAAGATCGCGCCACTGCACTCCAGTGTAGGCAACAGAGAGAGACTCCATCTCAAAAAAAAAAAAAAAAAAAAAAAGAAGGAGGGATGGATGTTCAAGACAAATGAGAAAGTCCAAGCATGTCACGAATGGTCAGTATAAGTCGCAATAAATATATGTGTGTGTGTGTGTGTGTGTGTGTGTGTGTATATATATATATATATATATATATATTTTTTTTTTAAAAGAGGCCGGGCACCTGTAATCCCAGAACTATGGGAGGCCTGTAATCCCAGAAATATGTAATCCCAGAACTATGGGAGGCTGAGGCAAGCAGATCACGAGGTCGGGAGATCGAGACCACCCTGGCTAACATGGTGAAATGCCATCTCTACTAAAAATACAAAAAATTAGCCAGAGGCTGGGTGCGGTGGCTGTAATCCCAGAACTATGGGAGGCCGAGGCAAGCAGATCACGAGGTTGGGAGATTGAGACCATCCTGGCTAACATGGTGAAATGCCGTCTCTACTAAAAATACAAAAAATTAGCCAGAGGCCGGGTGCGGTGGCTCACATCTGTAATCCCAGCACTTTGGGAGGCCGAGGCAGTCGGATCACCTGAGGTTGGGAGTTCGAGACCAGCCTGACCAACATGGAGAAACCCCGTCTCTACTAAAAATATAAAACTAGCCTGGCGTGGTGGCACATGCCTCTAATCCCAGCTACTTGGGAGGCTCAGGCAGGAGAATCACTTGAACCCAGGAGGCGGAGGTTGCAGTGAGCCAATATTATGCCATTACACTCCAGCCTGGGCAACAAGAGCAAAACTTCATCTCAAAAAAAAAAAAAATTAGCCAGGCGTGGTGGCAGGTGCCTGTCCCAGCTACTCCGGAGGCTGAGGCAGGAGGATGGTGTGAACCCGGTAAGTGGAGCTTGCAGTGAGCTGAGATTGTGCCACTGCACTCCAGCCTGGGTGACAGAGCAAGACTCTGTCTCAAAAAAAAAAAAAAAAAAAGACAAAAAAGAAAAATGGGCAGGCCCAGTGGCTCACGCCTATAATTCCTATAATTCCAGCAGTTTAGGAGGCCAAGGCAGGTGGATCACCTGAGGTCAGGAGTTCAAGACCAGCCTGGCCAGAATAGTGAAACCCTGTCTCTACTAAAAATACACAAATTACTCAGGCATGATGGCAGGCGCCTGTAATCCCAGCTACACAGGAGACTGAGACAGGAGAACTGCATGAACCCTGGGGGCAGAGGTTGCAGTGAGCTGAGATTACACCACCGCACTCCAGCCTGGGTGACAGAGTGAGACTCTGTCTCACAAAAAAAAAAAAGAAATAAAAATAAAAAAAATTTTAAAAGCCAAAAAACTTTAATATGACCAAGTTGCCATATTATTATTAAGTTTTGGTTTGCTTAGAAATAAAAAAACTGAGATTAAAAAACTTTTTTTGACTGGGTGCGGTGGCTCACACCTGTAATCCCAGCACTTTGGGAGGCTGAAACGGGCAGATCACCTGAGGTAGGGAGTTCAAGACCAGTCTGGCTAACATGGTGAAACCCTGTCTCTACTAAAAATACAAAAATTAGCTGGGCATAGTGGCACACACCTGTAATCCCAGCTACTCAGGAGTCTGAGGCAGGAGAATGAATCGCTTGAACCTGGGAGGCGGAGGTTGCAGTGAGCCAAGGTCGGGCCACTGCACTTCAGTCTGGGCAACAGAGCAAGGCTCCATCTCAAAACAAACAAACAAACAAACAAAAAAACCCACAAAACCTTTTCTTTTTTTTTTCTTTTGAGACGGAGTTTCATTCATTGCCCAGGCTGGAGTGCAAAGGTGTGATCTCGGCTCACCACAACCTCCACCTCCCAGGTTCAAGTGATTCAGCCTCCATGTATCTTCCTGTATGTGCTTTTAAAGTCCTTGTGACATTGAGTTACAGGGCTTTGAGTCCTGGATCTAAAACAGGACACCAAGTCTTGCTAAATCTTTTTCTTTTTTTTTTTAATGGAGTTTTGCTCTTGTTGCCCAGGCTGGAGTGCAATGGTGTGATCTCGGCTCACTGCAACCTCCACCTCCTGGGTTCAAGTGATTTTCCTGCCTCAGCCTCTCGAGTAGCTGAGATTACAGGTGTGCACCACCACACCCAGCTAATTTTTTTGGTATTATTAGTAGAGACGGGGTTTCACCATGTTGGCCAGGCTAGTCTCGAACTCCTGACCTCAGGTGATCCACCCACCTCGGCCTCCCAAAGTGCTGGGATTATAGGCATGAGTCACCATCCCCGGCCAGTCTTGCTAAATCTTAAACACTGACTGCAATTAAAGCCTTGTCTTCAGGCCCCATAGAAGATGCCCATCAAAATAAACTGCATTCCTGACACACAAGGCAAAAAGTTAAAGCTATTCAACTCCTCAAAGCCCAGGGACTATTGTGGAAGAGGTGGGCACGTAAGATTGTAACGGCCAATTTTGAAAGATAAAATAAGTTCAGTTTCTCTATAAATTAATTATTAATGTCAAAGGCACACTGATGCAAGACCAGCATATGGGCCCCTGTGTCAGATTAGTTAGGTTTTCTTGAAGCATTAACCAACTCCTTAATAAAGGTTATAAAAGGCTTATGGAAGCTATATCTTACGGTCAAGATTAAAATCTTATAGATTATTTATAAAATTTTAAAAAACAAATTTAATTGGCTTCATGCTGGTTTTATTAAGGCTTATTGTTTGCAAAATTAATTCTTCTCTCTCAACAAATAAAGGTTTTCACCTTTTTGTTTTTGAAATCCTTATCATTTTGGTTAAATGGATGACTTATTTTACAAAGACCTGTGATCCTATTTTGTGATATCAAGTGTTTAAAACCTTTGATATTTGACAAACTTTCCCAAATCAAATAATAAATTATGTCTTTTTCTGACCTAATTAATCCTTTAAGACATTAGAGGTTCCCTAAAGTCCAAAAAATAACATAATTTGGCTTATCTGGTCCAAAAATTATACAGGAGGCATTGTCAAATATGAAATGGTGTTTGGTTTCCTTTGGGCTGTATTTGTATAAATATGTTATTGGTATGTGTTCCAAAATTATGTGAAACTCCTATAATTCTGATATAACTTAGTATACATTATCAGTAATAATCATAAAATTATTGTGTGTCACAGAGGTAACAAATTTCCTTGTCAATTGTCTTTGACTATGGCTGCCCTAAAACTTTTTGTCATCCACAGACAATTGTTGTCTTGTTTTGGTCCTCTTTAGAAGGTGATTTTATAATCAGCTACAAAACTCTAACAGGTGCTCTTGAATGCAGGTTTCTCATAACTTTAGAGATTGTGATATCAGAATAGAGGAAAAACTTCCAGGACTCACGGAGAGCTAAAATGTTCATGAGTATCAAGCAGAACAGGAATTAACTGCATGGACTGAATTTTTGCTTAAAATGTTTGCTGATCCTTTGTTTTGTTTTTCAGAGTCTCAAAACTTTTCTTTTGAGCTACTGACAGCTTTTAACAATTCAGCATACTCCTATGAACAAAATTTGGAACATATTTGTTTCTCTCTACCTGATTACTCCAGAATCTGGAAACTATTTATGAGTATTCTTATGGCAATACAGTTATTTGCATCAGTGCTGTAAGACTGTGTTTTCATTTGTAGCAGGACACAATTGGAGAAACTGGTTATTTTACCAAGGCTTTGACTGGAATGGAGTGCTTTCCTTTAAGGAATCAAACGTGACATATAGAGCCAGTAAAGCCCCTGGAAAATCTGGCCTCATATTTTGTGTATACAGTCCATGTACAGGGTTTCTGACCTGTGGTAAGTAAAGAATGTCACTTTCTGACAGTCCCAGAAGCCCCAGGTTTATCTTGGAACCTAAAGAGGTGAGGAAATTCACCCAGCTCATAGGTATTTGATGACACAAATCATGGCTCAGCTTTAGAAAGTCTTATCTGAGATTCCTCCTATGGAACAAGTTCCATCAAAGCAATTTAAAAGTGTATGTAAAAAAAAATTATTCTTGCTGCACTGTATACAAATAATTAGGTCAAGTATAATAAAGCAAACCAGTCCTAGCGTGACTTGTCTTTGGCAAAATTGGGAAACCAGAGAGAGAAAAATTATGTTTCAAAACTATAGTAAACCTGTTGTTGGAGTCTAGTCTTGCCTAATGTTTTTCCAATTTTTATTATTTTCTACAGTTTGAACTGAATTCTAATTTTTCTTGGCTATAAGTCTTCAAAATAATGTTTTCAGTTTTTTTCCTTTTTTTTTTCCATTTTTCCTAATTTGGAGTCACTGAAAACTAAGCTGTGCTTTCTTAAAGCCCTGCAAACTGAAGCCAGACAACTTACACTTCAGAAGAAAATAATAGCAACCTATTTACATACATAAGCCACTTTCATACCTGCCTACTAATGTGTGGACTTCAGAGTAATGTGGCCAATATCGATTTTTCCAGGATTGTTCTTTTGTTTGTTGTTGTTTTTCTCCCTTCCTCCCCCCATTTTCTCTTCACAGGACATGAGACTTCACAACCTGCTAAGAATGAGCTTTCAGGACCTAACTAACTAGGAATAAACCATCCTAACCATGAGAGATCAGATGAAACTTGAGACCAGAGATTCATTTTCTTCTAAAATGCTTTCTCCAAATGATTTTAAAAAAGAAAAGTGGGGAAATGTGAAAGGAAAATATCTTGGGCTCCTTCTAGCTGGGAACTGTTCAGGGCAAACCTGCCTCCCATTCTATTCAAAGTCATCCCTCTGCTCACAGAGATAGATGCATATTCCGATTGCCTCCTTTGGAAGTCTCATCAGAAACTCAAAAGAATGCAACCATTTGTCTCTCACCTATCTGTGACCTGGAAGCCCCTGAAGGGGGGCCCCACTTTGAGTGGTCCTGCCTTTCTAGATGGAATTAAAGTACTTCTTACATATATTGATTGATGTCTCATGTCTCCCTAAAATGTATAAAATCAAGTTGTGCCCTGACCACCCTGGGCACATGTCATCAGGACCTCCTGAGGCTGTGTCATGGGCACATCCTCAACCTTGGCAAAATAAACTCTCTGAATTAACTAAGACCTGTCTCAGATTTTCTGGGTTCACAGTACCATACATGGCTATTGAAAAGGAAAAATATTAATAACAATTACTAACTTTTTTAAGTATTTGCAATGTGCCAGACACTGAAATACACATTCTCCATACCCATGATCTCATTTCATCCTCACAGCAATCCGGAGGTAGGTATGACAGTTATTTTCATTTGCTAAATAAGAAAAGTACGTGAAGTCACATGGCTAGCAAATGGTGGAAAAGAGATTTCAACCAACGTACTCAGACTCTGAAGCCCACATTCTTAACTCTTAAGTGCATCAAATAGGGGGTCATGTAAAAAAAAAAATCCTTTAGCTGGAACTTTAAACAGGAAGGATTCTAATACTGTCTAAGAGATGAAGAGATCCCTAAGCTTAGCTCTAATCACCTTGTTATAAGAAGTTTAGCCTAAAGCTGCCTCCTTACATATTTTAAGTTTAGCCTAAATGTTCCTCCATAGCTAGTGACCTGTAACCTAACTGGATGTGCAAACAAACTTTAACCTACTCTTGTAACAAGTAGCCCAGTCTCAGCCAATCACAGCAGCCCAGTTTCAGCCAGTCATAGGCAGCCAACTGCTCAAATAAGGCAAACACTAGGCTGCAACCAATCTAGCTCTTTCTACACCTCACTTCCCTGTTTTTTTTTTGTTTTTTTTTTTTTTTTTTTGAGACAAGGTCTCCCTCTGCCACCTAGGCTGGGGTGCAGTGGTGTGATCATAGCTCACTGCAGCCTCAACCTCCCAGGTTCAAGCGATCCTCCCACCTCAGTCTCCTGAGTAGCTAGGACCACAGGCATGAGTGGTACACCTGCATATCTCTATCTATCTATCTATCTATATATATATATATTTTTTTTTTTTTAAGAGATGGGGTCTCCCTATGTTGCCCAGGGTGGTCTCAAACTCCTGGGCTCAAGCAATCCTCCTGCCTTGGCCTCCTAAAGTGCTGGGATTATAGGTGTAAGCCACTGGGCCTGGCCTGTACCTCACTTCCATTTTCTGTATGTCACTTTGCTGTTTCTGTCCACAAATACTATCCAACCATGTAGCTACCCCAGAGTCACTCTGAACCTATTCTAGTTCCAGAGGCTGCTGATCTGCAAATCATTCTTTGTTCAGTTAAACTCTGTTGAATTTAGTTTGTCTGAAGTTTTAACAACTCAAACAGAATACAAAGGCTTCTAAGCAACAATTGAACATAAACAAGTTAGCTGCTTAATAGGAACTCAGTACAGTTTCTTTGATTCAGTTTAGCTAACATTTTAAACCAATCTGGATTATAATGCCATACTCATAGAGAATTCTGCAATGGTAGTTTCTTAATGTAGTAGTATCCAATTTAATGACCACTAAGTGCTGCTCATATAAACTGGAAAAATTTATATCCCCTTCAGAAATTAGTGTTCCTAGTACAAACATAGCCTTACTTAATAAAACACTAGCTAAGTACAGCAAGGAAGCTCAAACCACTGGTAAGCAATATTCAATCAATTTATCAGTCATCTGAACCAGAGCAACTCTATTTTGAATAGAGGCTGGGTAAAATAAGGCTGAGACCTACTGGGCTGCATTCGCAGGTTAGGCATTCTAAATCACAAGATGAGATAGGAGGTCACATAAGATACAGGTCAGAAAGACCTTGCTGATAAAGCAGGCTGAGGTAAAGAAGCCGGCCAAAACCCACCAAATGGAAAATGGCAATGAAAGTGACCTCTGGTCATCCTCACTGCTCATTATATGCTAATTATAAGGCATTAGCTCGCTAAAAGACACTCCTACCAGCACCATAACAGTTTACAAATGCCATGGCAATGTCAAGAAGTTACCCTATATAGTCTACGAAGGGGAGGAACTCTCAGTTCCGGGAATTACCCACCCCTTTCCTAGAAAATTCATGAATAATCCACCCCTTCTTTAGCATATAATCAGGAAATGACCATAAAAGTGGCCAGCCAGCAGCCCTCAGGGCTGCTTTGCCTATGGAGTAGCCATTCTCTTGTTTCTTTACTTTTCTAATAAACTTGCTTTCACTTTTCTCTATGGATTGGCCTCAAATTATTTCTTACACAAGATCCAAGAACCCTCTCTTGAGGTCTGGATCAAGACTCTTCTCCAGTAGCAAATTCAGTGGCCATCACAGACCTCTCCCTCCACTAAGCAGTTTAAATGGCCAAGCCTCATGTTACTGGGAACTTTAGAAGATAGGAGGGAGAGCTCAGGTAAAATCCTAAGGAATTTGTTGTATTTCCTATCTGGGTGGGTGGCAAGAAGCTTTCAAACTGAATTTACACACCATTCAATCCCAATTTTCACCCTCATGCTTATGGCCTTCCAGAATAGAGAGTTCATTTTTGCATTAAAATAACATTGGCTACCAAAGAAAGGTTTCTTATGTGTATAATGGGGTGGGAATGAATAATTCCTACACCATCCAACATTATGGATGTTGCTCTAGTCCAACATTTTACTGTACTGTAAGTAAATTTTTTTTTTAGTTGTCATGCAAACATATAGTAAAAATTTTAAAACTGAATTTTCACTGTTTCCAAAGGGAAAGAGATCTTCTCTCCTTCCTTTTCCTCACAGCATTTCTTTGAAAAACCCAGTATTTATAAATTATTCCTCTGTCCCTTTGATATGTATGCAAATCTTTTTAAAGGCTAAATAAACTACCCCTAGCTTAGCTTGTTTAAACCCAGTAAATACAGTAAAACCCAGGACTGTTTTTCTGAAGGGCCTGGAACCCCCCCTTTACAAACGTACGTACATACATACGTAAGTTTATTTATTTATTTATTTATTTATTTTTTGAGGTGGAGTCTCACTCTGTAGCCCAGGCTGGAGTACAGTGACACAATCTCGACTCATTGCAACCTCTGCTTCCCAGTTCAAGCGATTCTCCTGCCTCAGCCTCCTGAGTAGCTGGGATTACAGGCACACGCCACCACACATTTTTGTATTTTTAATAGAGACGGGGTTCGCCATGTTGGCCAGGCTGGTCTCGAACTCCTGACCTCAGGTGATCTGCCCTCCTCAGCCTCCCAAAGTACTGGGATTACAGGCGTGAGCCACCGTGCTCAGCCAAACCCCCTATTTTAAATGGAAATATCCAGGAAGACAATGCCCCAGCCCTATCCCTATCACTGTGGAAGTTTAGCCTAGGCACCTCAACTACTTGTTTTATCATAGAGCTGTTTCATGTTTTCCTTTGGAAAAAAGTAACTAGGTAGCACAGATGACCAACCCAATTACCAGGTGAATTTAGAATGAACTATGAAAACATGTACAGCAAATGGTGCTGTCAAGTCTTCTTATAAGAGGACAAATTACCATTAATCTTGAGACTACATAATGGGTTGTATCTGCTCAGCTGCATACAAATAAGTGGTGGGATTTCTTTTCTGAAAGAAACTGCATTAGCATATTATCCATAATACATTCCAGTCTGGTTTAATGCTTATTTTTTTCTTTTTCTTTTTTTTTTTTTTTTTTTTGAGTCAGGGTCTTACTCTGCTGCCCAGGCTGGAGTGCCGTAGTATTATCACAGTTTACTGTAGCCGCAAACTCCTGGGCTCAAGTGATCCTCCTGACTCAGCCTTCTGAGTAACTGGGACAACAGGTACACACCAGCACGCCTAGATAATTTTTTATTTTTTGTAGAAATGGGGTCTCCCTATGTTGCCCAGGCTAGTCTCAAACTCCTGGCCTCACATGATCCTCCCACCTCAGCCTCCCAAAGCGCTCGGATTATAGGTGTGAGCCACCACCTACAGCCTCACAGGGGTCTTTAAGTAACAAGATACAAGCTCCTCCTAGTCTCAAGACCTCACACATGCCCTTCCCTCCTCCTGTTAGCTCTTTGTCCAATTTAACTCCAACTCAGTCCTTTAAGTCTCAGCTAAATATTATTTTCTTGGGAAAGCCTTCCCTGTCTCTCCTCATTTCCCCCTCCGCATGCCGGTGACTCCATTATGTATCCTCACAGCACCCTCTACTGTCCTCCACAGCATGCATCACAATCGTAATTAATATTTAGTTTTATTTATATATTTACTATCTCCCTTGCTAGATTTATAAGCAATTTAAAGACAGGGGCTTTATCTGTTTTGATCATCATTGTATCCACAACACCCAGCACAATGCTGGTACACTGTAAACGTTCAATAAGTATCTGAAGGAATGAATGAAATTTGTAGCTAAGCGCTAGGTTCTGGAGTGACATGGCATTGGATCGGCCTTTACTAGCTCTATGCCTTTGTTGTTGTTTGTTGTTGTTGTTGTTGTTGTTTGAGACAGGGTGTCACTTTTTTTTTTTTTTTTTTTTTAAGACGGAGTCTCCTCGCTCTTGTCGCCCAGGCTGGAATGCAGTGGCGGCATCTCGGCTCACTGCAACCTCTGCCTCCCAGGTTCAAGCGATTCTCCTGCCAAAGCCTCCCGAGTAGCTGGGATTACAGGCGCCCACCACCACGCCCGGCTAATTTTTGTTTGTTTGTTTGTTTTGAGACAGAGTCTCACTATGTCGCCCAGGCTGGAGTGCAGCGGCGGGATCTCGGCTCACTGCAAGCTCCGCCATCCGGAGCACGCCATTCTCCTGCCTCAGCCTCCCTAGTAGCTGGGACTACAGACGCCCGCCACCAAGCCCAGCCAATTTTTTTGAATTTTTTTAGTAGAGACGGGGTTTCACCGTGTTAGCCAGGATGGTCTCGAGGTCCTGACCTCGTGATCCGCCCGCCTTGGCCTCCCAAAGTGCTGGAAATACAGGCGTGAGCCACCGCGCCCAGCCAATTTTTGTATTTTTTAGTAGAGACGGGGTTTCACCACGTTGGCCAGGCTGGTCTCGAACTCCTGACCTCAGGTGATCCGCCCGCCTCAGCCTCCTAAAGTGCTGGGATTACATGTGTGAGCCACTGCGCCCAGCCAAGACAGGGTCTCACTTTGTCACCCAGACTTGAATGCAATGGCGTGATCTCGGCTCACTGCAGCCTGTCTCCCAGGTTCAAGCAATCCACTTGCCTCAGCCCCAACAAATAGCTGGGACTACAGGCGTGTGCTACCTTGCCTGGCTAATAGCTCTATGCCTTTGGATAAACTTCTTAACATCTCTAAGCCCATTTCTCCCTCCATAAATAAAAATTATAGTTCCTATGATTAGGGTTATTACAGGATTGAATAATTCAGTAAAGGGATTAGTACAGTGCCTGTAACATAGCAAACACTCAAAAAATATCAACTATTATTAAGGAATGGAGAAAAGGGGACATGTACATGGTAGGGAAGGCATATTCCACACCCTTGGCAAAGGCACAAACATAGCTTCCATTATGCAAACACACCGTTGCAATCGGCAACAGTGTAAGCAAGAATTCTGCTTACTAAATGTATGAGTGTGTGAAACCCAAACGTTACTTCAAAAGTAACTTCACGATTCTCCAATCACTACATGGAAGGTTTGGAAACTGAAAAAAAGAGCATTATGTGGCTACCATTTGTTGAATACCTACTATGTGCCAGACACCAGCTGAGCACCTTGCACGCGCAGTCTCATTTACGCTTCACAACAACCTTATGAGTGGGCTTGTTACTCCCAAAGTTACAGCTGAAGAAACACTCAGAGTTTAAAACATTTGCCCAAAGCCGCACAGCCAGGAAGCCGCAGAGTAAGTATTGGAAGAGCAAGATATCTCAACCAGCCATTCCCGTGGACGCTCGAGTCAGCACCCTCCTCCTGCCTTCTGAAAAACCGGACTTCCTTTGCTAGTCCTAACTCGCCGTCACTGGCTAAGGTGCCACTGGCCCCCAGCGCTCAACCCTCGGTCCTGCCACTCGCAGACGCTGCGGAGCCTCCCCTACGTCGCGCAGAAATGTGGGAATAAACAGGTTGAAGCCAGGAGCCCTGTGGGCGCGAGGCCTTTCACACACAGCGCCCGGCGCGACACCCATTCCCAGCAGCGGAAACTGGACTCAAGACACCTCGGCGACAGGCGGGTTTCCCCGCCACGCACTCGCCGGAGCCAGGGCTCTGGTCCCAGCGCCTGGGCTGAGTCTTCCTTCAGAGTTCGGCGTCGCGGGGATCCGGAAGCCGCCCAGGGCCCGCGGCCTTAGCTCGACCACTACACCGCTTCCCCTCACCCAAGCCGGGGCGTCGCCTCAGCTCAAGGCCAGACCCTATCGCCTCATCTCGGAGGTTCCTTCTTCCCCAGCCCCTACCTGGTAGCCGGAGAGACCATAGTCAATCAACTTCATCCTCCCGCCTCGGAAGTGACGTGTACGCAGCCGGCGAGGCTCCGTCCAATCCCAGCATTGAGGCTGCGCATGCGCGTTGGGTGGGCGTCCCTCAAGGTGTACACAGGACCCGATGGACCCGAGATCTGATAGGGTCCACCCGCATAACTACAGTGCCTTCATCTTCCGGAGGGAAATTCCGAAGGTCGTGGTTGGTGTTCCGTGGACTTCCGGCGAAGAACACAGTTGGAGAATTCACGATACAGTTATCAAGATGATTATAATGCCACAGTAATCAGAACAGTGTGATAACTGGCACAAAGGTAAAAACAATGAATGAAAAAGAGAGAGACCAGAAACAGACCTGCAGCTATGTAGTCACTTTTTCCTCCTACAAGTAGCCACTGTAATGCAATAAGAAGAGTTTTTTCAATATATAGTGCTAGGTCAATTGAAGGTCGATTGGGGGGAAATGAACCTTGACTCCTATCTCAAGTAAAATAATTCTAGACGGATGGTAGACCTGAATGTGAACAATACAACTCTAGACAATAAAATCGCAGAATATTATGACCATAAGAGAGGAAAATAACGTGTTAGCAGAACACAAAAAGTGCCAGTCCTAAAGGAAAAAGCTGATAAATTGGGTGTCTGTAACTATAAGACACCGAAAAGACCCCATTGAGAAAAGGGAAAGACAATAGAACAGACAAGATATTTGTAATACATATATCTGAAAATGAATTTTATTCAGAATATGTACGTACTTCTTGCAAGTAAATTTTTTAAAGGACCCGAAGTGATTTAAAAAAAAAAAAAAAGCATGAAAAGAGGATATTGAGAGAGTAAAGGGCAGAGGAAGGAAGGGGCAGGGCAGAGGAAGGAAGGGGCGGGGGGACTCTTATCGTTCAAAATCATAAGATGGCAAATGTGTGTAAGGTGGAAAATCTCCCTTTCTGTTCTCCAGGACCCACTTCACCTCCCCCTAGGTAACGATGCTATTAGCTATGTGTGTCCTTCCAGAGCCAGTTTATTCATAACCAAGCAATTATGTATGTATTCAGCACCCCCTTGTTACACAAACAATAGCATTCTGAAACGTCCTTCTGTTTCTTGCTTTTATTAACTTTAGCGAATTAATATATCCTGGAAATTCTTACAGATATTCACAAAATCTGAAAATGGGAAATTTTATTTTTAACTAAATATTTATTTTTGACGTTTTCACAAAAGTTTTTATACCTTTCTGGCCCCTCTCCATTGTTCTGGAAACTCTAGATTCCTGCTTGCCAATTCACAAAGTTTGAATATCCTTGTAGCAAACCCAATATGAACCGTAAGGCAGAAAAATAGGGTCTGGAGACAGGGAACCTAAGGCCAATTCACGCTGACTTCCTAGAACTAAATCAAAAGGAAAACCCGAACTTTCCATGCCCAGGTAACAAAAGGAACAGAAGCTAGTCCCTTTGCAACCTGCCCCGCTTTTCTGCCTGGCAGATGAAAAATTGAAGGTACCTCTGATTGGTCCCCTCTTGCAACCAATCAGGCTGATCACAGGCCACTACTTCTTTTACATAGAGTGTACACCAAGTAACCAACGGGAACCCTCTAGAGGGTATTTAAACTCCAGAAAATTCTGTAACCGGGCTCTTGAGCCACCTGCTAGGCAGGCTCCCAACCTGTGGAGTGTGCTTTTGTTTTCAATAAATCTCTGCTTTTGTTGCATCATTCTTTCCTTGCTTTGTTTGTGCGTTTTGTCCAATTGTTTGTTCAAAACGCCAAGAACCTGGACACTCTCCACTGGTAACACCTGAGTCTTTATTGCATGACTAAGTCAGTTTCCTGGGGTTCATTTCCCAGGCCTGCTACCCTCTTAGCCTACCCACTCTTCAATCCTGCATGGAATTTGTTTTAGAAGCAACTCAATATATTTCAAAGTTTTGGTAACCAATTTGAATTGCATCTGCCAAATGCAAGTGTAAAAACTCTAACTTCGCAGCCAGGATATTATACAAAAAGGATTCCAGTGGGCCGGGTGCAGTGGCTCACACCTGTAATCCAGCATTTTGGAAGGCTGAGGCAGGCGGATCACCTGAGGTCGGGAGTTTGAGATCAGCCTGGCCAACATGGGGAAACCCCATCTACTAAAAATACAAAAAAATCAGCCAGGCATGGTGTCGTTTACCTGTAGTCCCAGCTACTCAGGAGGCTGAGGAAGGAGAATCACTTGAAACCAGGAGGTGGAGGTTGCAGTGAGCAGAGATCATGCCACTGCACTCCAGCCTGGGCAACACAGCGAGACTCCATCTCAAACAAACAAACAAAACAAATAGATTCCAGTGGTTAGCACAGTTCCATGGCCTTCTATGAAAACAAGATGGAAGATTTTTGTTTCCAGGAAGATGAACTAGACACAATTTTCCCTATTCCTTTTACTAAGTACAACTAAAAATTGTGGGCATTATATATAAAACAATCTAAGACTCCAAAAGTTGGAGAGAAGGCAAACCAGCTAGCCACCCTGGGACGCAAGGAACAACATGGTGGGTGTTGCCTTATATATCCCAGACTGGGTGCTAGGAAGCAAGCAACCTGGAAATGCCGACAGGCAAAGACAATGCCCTAAGAAAAGCCTTCTCTCTCTAGCCACAGGACCAGGAAATGGGCAGCCTCAGAGGACAGAAAACGTTTACACAATAATGGCTCTAATCCAGCCCAAACCACAGAAAAAGCCCCATCCCCATGCTTGCCTCTTGGAAAGCCTAGACTGCCACGCATGCTAGGCTGTAAAGAGGCACCACTGTCCCCTCTCCCTGGCATGGTGTCAGAGAAGGCCAAGTGGAGGGCTGGATTTTCTTTTTATTTTTATTTTTTATTTTTTCTTTTTTTTTTGAGACGGAGTCTGGTTCTCTCACCCAAGCTGGAGTGCAGTGGCACAATCTCGGCTCACTGCAACCTCTGCCTCCTGGGTTCAAGCAATTCTCCTGCCTCAGCCTCCTGAGTAGCTGGGATTACAGGCTCACGCCACCACGCCTGGCTAATTTTTGTATTTTTAGTAGAGACGGGGTTTCACCATATTGGCCAGGATGGTCTTGATCTCTTGAGCCTGTGATCCACCCACCTCGGCCTCCTGAAGTGCTGGGATTATAGGCGTGAGCCACCGCGCCCGGCCGAGGGCTGGATTTTCATTCCCACTGAGAGGTGAGGAGACTCTCCCCCAGCATGGTATCAGTGGAAACCATATGGAGAACCTGGACTTCTACCCCACTTAATTGTAAGAAAGCACTCATCCTCTTCCCTGGGGTGATGTCAGAGAGAGTGTTCCATCAAAGCCACCCCCAAAGCCACCCCCAAATGCCCAAGGAGCTGAGAAAACGTAGGAAGCAGACAAATCCAGTTTGTCCATATAGGATAATTATTAGAGGGAGCTTACAGACAGAAGCATGGTCTTGGGTGTCCACAAGGCAGGTGGATCTCCACACAGTAGCCCCGTAGAACCAGGGCTTATATCTTGGGGAAAAAATATACTTACTCTTGGAGGAATGTGTAGATGGTTGAGAGAATGCTGTGGGTGTCACAACCTATGATTTCTGCAACAGCATCAAGGGTTGTTTCTGTAAAAAGGCAAAAGTTACAGTGAATAGGTGATCCGGTATAAAGAGTAATACATCAACTAGACATTTTGGAGGCATTCCTGGAATTGGAGTTAGCGGATTCGCATTGAAAATAGTCACTCTTGTCCCCATAGGGAGCCAAGTGGAGAGTCAGGACTTTCAACGTCACTCAGTTGCAACAAA
This sequence comes from Homo sapiens, assembly GCF_000001405.40. Taxonomy (NCBI): domain Eukaryota; kingdom Metazoa; phylum Chordata; class Mammalia; order Primates; family Hominidae; genus Homo; species Homo sapiens. The sequence goes on along the minus strand of NC_000017.11, from coordinate 21,123,179 downwards.
GCCACCTCCCACCCCACATATCAGTGGAGGTCCCCTCCCCATCCCAGCAAGGGTGGTATCCCTGGAGGCCAACTGGAGAGCCTGAACTCCCACTTGTGCCAAACAACCTCCCTCCACGTGTCAACAAAGGCCAAGTGGAAAACCTGGACTTCCACCCCTACTTGGCAATAATGAAGAGGCATCCCCTTCCCCTGCCAAAGTGGGTCAGGAAGCCTGCTAAAACACAAGATTTAAATGAGATCCAGAGTCTTATGACACCCCAAAGTCCAGGTTTCCACCAAAAAGCACTCATTATACCAAGAAATGGGAAAATCTAAACTTCAATGAGAAAACACAATCAACAGCTGGGCGTGGTGGCTCGCGCCTGTAATCCCAGCACTTTGGGAGGCCAAGGTGGGTGGATCACCTGAGGTCAGGAGTTCAAGACCAGCCTGACCAACATGGTGAAACCCCGTCTCTGTTAAAAATACAAAAATTAGCCGGGCATGGTGGCACATGCCTATAATCCCAGCTACTCGGAGGCTAAGGCAGGAGAATCACTTGAAACCGGGAGGCAGAGGTTGTGGTGAGCCGAGATCACGCCATTGCACTCCAGCTGGGGCAACAAGAGCAAAACTTCATCTCAAAAAAAAAAAAAGAAAGAAAAGAAAAGAAAACACAATGAACAGATGCCAACACAGCCGAACAAGGGGGCACACACCTGTAACTGCAGCACTTCGGGAGGCCAAGATGGAAGGATCCCTTAAACCCAGGAGTTCAAAACCAGCCTCGGCAACATAGTGAGACCCCCATCTCTACGAATAAATTTTTTAAAAAAATTAGTGGGGCTTGGTGACATGTGCCTGTAGTCCCAGCTACCTGGGAGGCTGAGGTGGGAGGATCACTTGAGCACAGGAGTTTGAGGCTGCAGTGAGCTATGATTGCACCACTGCACTCCAGCCTGGGTGACAAAGTGAGACCCTGTCTCAAAAAAATTTTTTTTTAAAAAAAGAAAAATCAATTGTATTTCCATATACTAGCAACAAACATGAAAACCAAAAATTTAAATGCAGTACAATTTATAATCACTCAAAAAATCAAAATACTTAGGTGTAAGTTTAACAAAACATGTACAGGAGTTATAAGCTAAAAGCTACAAAAGATTGTTGTAAGAAATCAAAGATCAGCTGGGCACAGTGGCTCATGCCTACAATCCTAGTACTTTGGGAGGCCGAGGCAGACAGATGGCTTGAGTCCAGGAGTTCAACACAGCCTGGGCAAGACCCCATCTCTACAAAAAAAAAAATACAAAAAATTAACTGGGCATGGTAGCCTGTAGTCCCAGCTACTTGGGAGGCTGACGTGGGAGGATCACTTGAGTCTGGGAGGCAAAGGTTGTAGTGAGCCAAAATCACACCACTGCACTCTAGCCTGGGCGACAGAGTGAGACCCTGTCTCAAAAAAGAAAGGAAATTAAAGATCTAAAGAAAGAGACATTTCAAGCTCATGGACTGAAGACTCAACGTAGTAATGATGTCAATACTCCTTTAATTGATATACAGGTTTAACAAAATTCCTATCAAAATGCCAGCAAAATTTTTTGAAGATGTAGAAAAGATTTTTTTTTTTAATGTATGTGGAAAGGCAAAGGAACTAGAATAAATAGAATAAATAGCTAAAACAATTTTGGAAAACAATAATAAAATGGAACTACCTGATTTCAATTTTTATTATTATTTTTTTGAGACAGGGTCTTACTTTGCTGTCCAGGCTGGAGTGCAGTGGTGCAAACACAGCTCATTGCAGCATCAACCTCCCAGGCTCAGGTGACCCTCCCACTTCAGCCTCCCAGGTAGCTGGGACTACAGGTGCATGTCACCCCGCATGGCTAACTTTTTCTGTATGTTTTGTAGAGACAGGGTCTTGCTATGTTGACCAGGCTGGTCTCGAACTCCTGGGCTCAAGCAATCCTCCCACTGTGGGCTCCCAAAGTTCTGGGATTACAGACGAGAGCAACCGCACCCAGCTTCAAATCTAATTACATAGCTCAAGATTGTTTGGTATTATCGAAGGATGAATACATAGGTCAATGGGAAAAAATAGAGGACCCAGAAATAGCCCCACACAAGTATGTCCATCTGATTTTTTAAGAAAGATTCAAAACAATTCAATGAGATGATAGGCTTTTTCAATAAATGGTGCTGGAGCAATTGAATGTTAATAGGCAAAAATTTAAAAATAAAAATAAAGAAACTTGACCTAAACCTCACACCATTTATGAAAATTAACTCAAAATGAATAATAGATTTAAACATAAAGCATAAAAATTTTAGAAGATAGTACAGGAGAAAATGTGGGGGAACCCTAGTTCTCCACCTAGTTGGTAGAGATTTCTTCAAAATGACACTGAAAGTATGATTCATAAAAGAAAAAAATTCATAAAGTGGACTTGATCAAAATTAAAAATGTTTTGCTCTGCAAAAGACTGTTAATGGAATCAAAAGGCAAACTACACACTGGAAGAATATATATGCAAACTATATATCTGAAAAAGGACTCATATCTAGAATATACAAAGAATTCTCAGCCAGGCACTGAGTGGCTCACACTTGTAATGCTAACACTTTGGGAGGCCAAGGTGGGAGAATTGCTTGAGCCCAGGAGTTTGAGACCAGCCTGGGCAACATAGTGAGATCCTGTTTCTATTTTTTTAAATTAAAAAAAACCTCTCAAAACTCAACGTGAAAAAATTGAGCAATTCAATTTAAAAAATGGACAAAGACATGAACATGAAGAAACACTTCATTGAAGAGAATATACAACCGGCAAATAAGCACATAGAAAGATGATCAACATTACTAGCCATTAGGGAAATACAAATCAAGACCATGGGGAGGTATCACTACACACCTAATAGAACAGCTAGACAGATGTTGAATTTCTTAACACCCCAAAACCTTAGCCTCTCATCCTTAAGATAGTAAAGAAATTGTGAAGCCAAAGATGATAACACTTGTAAAGTGCCACAGAAGATAGTACTCAATAAATTGCAGCCGTTTTTATTGCTGTTGGTGGTGGAATTGTTGCAAAAATACTGGGATGCATAACTATATTTTTCCTCTGATGAAGCCAGAAAAAACTGTCTCAGTAATAACTAAGTTTAGTATAGCTCTAGGAAGAATTTCCTTTAGCGACAGGAACTCTAACAAGTCCCTCCCCCGCCCCCCCCCCGTCCCTCCCGCTGCTGGGAATTTTAAAATAAAATCTGTTTCCTGCTGACCTGTCCTTTGAATGATGCTGCTTGGAGGCTGCGGAAACGTCTCCACCAAATTTCTTTTTCTGAGGTACCTGATGAGCTGCACGGAAACAGCGCCACCTTCCTGAAGCACGCGGAATGGAATCAATAGTTTGTAGTCCCGTGTTTGCGAGTATCACGCCATCTCCTCCTCCGGGAGGTGTAAGGTGAACATTAATGGTGTACTGAAGCTATCAAATTATTAGAACAACCGAGAAGCGATAAGAGAAGAAAAACAATGCATTTTTAAGAACATTGTTGGTTTAAGACTAGGGTGCATGAAGCTGACACAGAGACAAAATGTTCTGTTATTTGCGGTTTCTGGAAAATGTCAGCTTCCTGGCAGGAAAGAAAGTTTCACTGCAACTCCCTGAAACTTAAAAGCTAGTGTTGGTGGCTGCCTCACAGAAATTGTGACTCTCAGAGATAAGAAAGCCCAGACCGGGCGTGGTGGCTCAGCCTGTAATCCCAACACTTTGGGAAGCCGAGGCAGGCGACAGGCGGATCGCTTGAGCCCAGGAGTTCAAGACCAGCCTGAGCAACATGGTGAAACCCCGTCTCTACTAAAACTACGAAAATTAGCCAGGCGTGGTGGCACGTGCCTGTGGTCCCAGCAACTCGGGAAACTAAGGTAGGAGAATCGTTCCAAGCAGGGAGGCAGAGGTTGCAGTGAGTCGAGATCACGCCACTGCACTCCAGCCTGGGTGACAGGGCAAGGCCCTGTCTCAGAAAAAGAAGAGAAAGAAAAAAAAAAGGAAAGAAAAGAAAAAGAAATAAGAAAGCCATATTTCTTCTCTTAGAGAAAGGATTTATAATTTTTATTTATTTATTTTTTGAGACGGAATCATCATGCTCTGTCACCCAGGCTGGAGTGCAGTGGCGCAATCTCGGCTCACGGCAAGCTCCGCCTCCCGGGTTCAAGTGGTTTTTCTAACTCAGCCTCCCGAGTAGCTGGGATTACAGGGGCCCACCAACAGGCCTGTCTAATTGTTTTGTATTTTTAGTAGAGACGGGGTTTCACCATGTTGGCAAGGCTGGTTTCCAACTCCTGACCTCAAGCGATCCGCCTGCCTTGGCCTCCCAAAGAGCTAGGATTACAAGCAGGAGCCATTGCGCCCGGCCAGGATTTATCAAATTTTGTATAAAACTGTATTTTAGGGTCTTACGTCTATTCTACAAACAATATCTATACTGTATTTTCTTCAAATCCTTAATCAGATATTATATTGAAGAGGGACATCCAGAAAGGCTGAGTGCAGGGTAGGACACATATTTTAATAAAATTGATTTTTCCACAGGAAGCTGTTGGCACTTGGGAGCTAGACCATTGCTGTCCCATGTGGTGGCTACTAGGTACATGTGGCTGTTTATGTTTAAATTCAGTAAAGTTTAAAATTCAGTTCTTCAGTCCCACTAGCCACATTTCAGGTGTTCAACACAGTGACCAATACAGCAAATGTCCAATGTTCGTTACAGATGTAGAGCATTTCCACCATGCATATGGGTCGCAGAGAAGCCACATTTACCTTAAAAAAACAGCCCTTCTGCACTCAATTATTTCTACTAAATAGTTCTACTCCTGTTGAAGACATCTCTGTGTCAGACTATGAGCTGATGTCAAATGGGAAAAAACCTCAGACACTGGCATTGAACCTGGAGAGTCTGGCTCCAGAGCACCCTTGCAAACAGTTACACTGTCTGGATTTCCCAGACAGGAGTGGGGTTAGTGGGTGCAGCTCTGCAGTACAATGACATGGCTGGCTCGGTTCTAGTCCAGGGAGGAAATTCTCTGACAGTGGAGTCCCATGAACCCGCCTCCCCACTGACACACACACATACACACACACACACACACACACACACACACACACACACACACACACATCTTCCCTCAGAGATTGTGCAGAATGTGTAGGAGACCTCCCTCCTAAGGAACCAGGTCTTCCTCTGTTGCCCAGGCTGGGGTGCAGTGGCATGATCTCAGCTCACTGCAACTTCTGCCTCCTGAGTTCAAGATTCAAGTGATTCTCCTGCCTCAGCCTCCTGAGTAGCTGGGATTACAGGCATATGCCACCATGCTCTGCTAATTTTTCTATGTTTACTAGAGATGGGGTTTCACCATGTTGGCTGGGCTGGTCTCGAACTCCTTACCTCAGGTAATCCACCCACCTTGGCATCCCAAATAAGAAACCAATTCTATTTCATGCTCACCAGGAGCTGTCTGGGTTTTGTTCGAATCAGCCTGTCAGTTTAACAGGTTACCACATCTTCATCCTGGCTTGATGAGAGACAGTTTTATTTGCTTTTCTCATGTATATTCAACTTCAGAGCTTCCACTTTTTGGTGAACACATTTAATAAATGAAAGGGGGGAAGAAAGAGCCAAAATGAGATTATGATAATTATGAAATATTTTTAAAGCAGTCAATTTAATAAAACGATTTTAACATGCAAATATAAGATGTCATGCATTTGTGATTTTTATAAGACAGTTTCACAATTCATGGAAAAATCTACTAATTGGTAGTGCCTCAGAAGCTGTGCAGTGATGCTGGAGGGAGTGCAAGTGACGTTTTTCTCATCACTGTCTTCTCTGACGCTGCGGCCTCATACAGCAGTAAGGTCCAAAGCCTAAACTCTAGGGCCTTTTTGAATACGAAGTGGGGACCACTGCCTGGCCCACTCCTACCAGCGTCCCTCCTCCAGCAGGCGGTGGGGCCTGGACGTGTCTCCCAGGAGTCATCTTGTCCTGGCCCTTCCAGCCCCATTCTCTCCGTTTCCCAGCAGGCATCTGTATTGATGTTCCCGAGGCAAGTGACTGACCTTCACTGTCCCTTTCCCGCCTTCCTGCCAGGAAGAATACTGGGGTGCATAAGCTACCACCTACCCTGCCATTTAAGCTCCTCCTAGAATCGTGCATGGCCTACTGGTCATGAGGTGGGTTTCTTCCATCTGTTCCAGTCCCTTAGGGAAGCAGCTCCTTAACCCCTCACCGTTAACACCGTGATGCTAACACAGGACATTTCAGGAGTTGTTCAGTTCAGTGTTTCTCTATTCCTTTAGCATGGATGTACCCACACAAGAGGCTATGGGTTTCTAAGCATCTTTGTATTCCAGAGGTGACCACATCCCTCCTTGAGGCCGGGAAAATCTGCCTCTGAGCCAAATAAGGTGTGTGTGTGTGTGTGTGTTGTTTTTTTGTTTTTTGGGAACAGGGTCCCTCTCTGTCACCCAGGCTGGAGTACAGTGACCCAATCACAGGCTCACTGCAGCCTTGACCTTCTGGACCCAAGCAATTCTCCTACCTCTGACTTCTGTGTTGGTGGGACTACAGAGTGCACCAGGAAGCCTGGCTAATTTTTGTACTTTTTTTTTTTTTTTGTAGAGACGGGGTCTCACCATGTGGCCCAGACTGGTCTTGAACTCTTGGGCTCAAGCAATCCATCCACTTCGGCTTCCCAAAGTGCTGGGATTACAGGTATAAGCTACAGCACCCAGCCTCCAAATAAGCTTTGATCTTAAGATTTCTCCCAGGAAAGAATTAAATTATCCAGGCTCAAAAAGTGCTGAAAAGATGCTAAACAGCATCTGCTTGGCAGTGGACTGGAAGCCAAGGGAAGGGGGAAGAGCAGCAAGGACTTAGGGAGGATGCAGGGTGATGAAGATCTCACAGAAGCAGCAGGTTTAGGGGGAAATGGGATGAACTCCTTTTTGGATATGTTGGGTTTGACATTCTGGCAAGAGAGCTTAATAGGGCAGCTCAGCAAGCTTGGCTCTATGAGTTTGTTAGGCCTGAAGACGGAGCAGAGACCACAGGGGTACATGAGATTTCCCTAAGGAATGGGTGTGGGCCCCACATCTACACCGTGGAGTAAGAAGAGAATAGGACTGTGGTAGGTTGAATTTTTGTTTACCCAGATGTGGCACCCCCACATCTGGATTAAACACATTCCTGCTCAGTAGAACCCAGGAGCAGCCACGAGACTTGCATAATCAGCCACATGTAAGCAGAAGTGACATGGGTCACCTCTGAGCAGAAACTGTGTGTGATTTACCATGTCTCTTTCTCTTCTTTCTGCCCTAAGACCATCAATGTCCCAAACAGAGACTTTTCCAACAGACTGGGTCCTGGAGTGAAAAAAGTGATGTGTAGTACTGTAGCAGGCCCACGATGGACACGTAACATGAGCAAGAAATGAACTGTTGTCGTTGTAAGCCACTGAGATGGGAGGGCAGTCATTTTTCACACAGCATAACCTAACCTATACTGACTGATACAAGGTCAAGGACAGATCCTTGGTGATCACTTAGGGCACAGAAAGAGGAAGAGAAGATGTAGAAGATGATCCTCAGAGAAGAGGATGAGAACAGGAATGCAAGTGACAGAAATACTAAAGCGTTTTCTTCATTTAATCCAGCATTAACTGATGATCAGTGTCATTGTTCTAAGCACAATCCCTAAGTAGGGCAATTGAGGAACATCTTTCAATATTTCAAATTTCATGTATGCCCCCATCTGAGCACTTCCATGATTCTATAGATATATTTACATATGTGCTGTGATGGTTAATACTGAGTGTCAACTTGATTGGATTCAAGGATGCCAAGTATTGTTCCTGGGTGTGTCCATCAGGGTGTTGTCAAAGGAGATTAACATTTGATTCAGTGGACTAAGAGAGGCAGATCCACCCTCAATCTGGATGGGCACCATCTAATTAGCTGCCAGTACAGCTAGGATAAAAGCAGGCAGAGGAACACAGGAGGACTAGACTGGCTGAGTCTTCCAGCTTTCATCTTTCTGCTGTGCTGGATGTTTCCTGCCCTCGAACAACGGACTCCAAGTTCTTCAGCTTTTGGACTCTTGGACCTACACCAGTGGTTTGCCAGGGGTTTTTGGGCCTCTGGCCACAGACTGAAGGCTGTACTGTCGGCTTCCCTGTTTTTGAGGTTTTAGGACTTGGGCTGGTTTCCTTGTTCCTCAGTTTGCAGATGGCCTATTGTGGGACTTCACCTTGTGATCCTGTGAGTCAATACTCCTTAATAAACTCCCTTTCATATACACATCTATCCTATTAGTCCTGTCTCTCTAGAGAACCCTGACGAATACATATGCAAAATGATGTATGTACAAGACTATGTAATACATCCTTATTTTTGATAGCAAAAGATTGAACCAACTCAAATATCCATTAATGGAAGCCTGGTTAAATCCATCGGAGTATAGCCACACACTGTAATACCATGAAACTCAAAGAAGTAACTCTATGCACCAACAGGAGAAGTCACTACATATCTTAGTGACATATATAAAGTTTAAAAAAGCAAAGTGAGACTTGATTTTACTGTGATAATATTAACAAATATTGGCTGGGCGCGGTGGCTCACGCCTGTAATCCCAGCACTTTGGGAGGCCGAGGTGGGCGGATCACAAGGTCAGGAGATCGAGACCATCCTGGCTAACATGATGAAACCCCGTCTCTACTAAAAATACAAAAAAATTAGCCGGGCATGGTAGCGGGTGCCTGTAGTCCCAGCTACTCGGGAGGCCGAGGCAGGAGAATGGCGTGAACTTGGGAGGCGGAGCTTGCAGTGAGCCGAGATCGCGCCACTGCACTCCAGCCTGGGCGAGAGGGAGACTCCGTCTCAAAAAAAAAAAAAAAAAAAAAAAAAATTAACAAATACTGCCCCCACCATTGTTAAAATTGGTTTGCCCCCCACCATTGTTAAAATTGGTTTGCGACCAACATTTTCTTGCTCAGAGATCTGTAGGTCAGGTGGTTTGGGCTGCCGATTAGGTTCACATGTGCTCCACATGTCTCTCATTTTGGGACCCAGTCTGAAGGTACAGAGGCTACCTGGGGCAAGTCCTTGTCATGGCAGATGGCAAGAGTGCAAGAGGTCTAGGGGGAACTTATCAGTCCTCCTAAAGCCTCTGCTTGGATATGACACACTTTCACTTGTGCCCAAACGAAGTACACTACATATGGCAAAGCCCAAAGTCAGCCAAAAAGAGAAGTGAACTCTACCACAATGGGGAGAGGTGACAGGAGTGAATATTTGCAGCCCAATCAAAACACAGATCCATAAGGAGCTAGGCTCAGAAACCACACAAAGGATGGGACATGGAAACTGGGATGGGGGGATAAGAATGAGGGAACAGGTCACTAAGTGAATTCTTTACTTTTTATTTATTGTTATTTTAATGTATTAACTTAATGCTTTTGAACCATGTGAATAAAATTTAAGTAACTGAGAAAAAATTAACAATGTGCATTATACTTTGTAAACTCCATCAATGTAAAATAATCAAAAGGGTCAGAATCTAATTTAAAGAGAGTTTATTCAGTCACAAAGTGTAAGGCTAGGCTACCAACACCAACTCCAAAGGAATGAGGTCAGCGTTTCAAAATAGGGACGTTTAGCGATTTCATTTGTATAGGCAGAGACAGAGGAGTTTTGCAAGATTACAACATTATTCATACAAGGATAGCACACGGTTACAGCAAATTGATTAATTATAGGTAGTACTTCTTTTGGGAAGGGTACATTTAACATTTTTTTTTTTTTTTTTGCAGAGGGTCTAATAATCATGAGGTTTCTGTCATCTAGTCTAAGCACAGCAGGACAAAAAAGAGAAGTTTGTTTTTTTTTTGAGACAGGGTTTTTTTTGTTTTTTTTTTTTTTTTTGAGACAGGGTTTTGCTCTGTCACCCAGGCTACAGTGCAATAGCATGATCTCGGCTCACTGCAGCCCCTGCCTCCTGTGCTCAAGTGATCCTCCTGTCTCAGCCTCCTGAGTAGCTGGGGCTACAGGCACATGCCACAATGCCCAGCTAATTTTTGTGTTTTTTGTAGAGACAGGGTTTTGCCATGTTGCCCATGCTGGTCTTGAAACCCTGGGCTCAGGTGATCTGCCTGCCTCAGCCTTCCAAATTGCTGGGATTACAGGTGTGAGCCACTGCACCTGGCCAGGAAGTTAATATTTAACAAGGGTCATTAATTAAGAAGGCAAGGCCAGACATGGTGGCTCACGCCTGTAATCCCAGTACTTTGGGAGGCCAAAGCAGGCAGATCACCTGAGATCGGGAGTTCGAGACCAGCCTGACCAACATGGAGAAACCCCGTCTCTACTAAAAATACAAAATTAGCCGGTGTGGTGGCGCATGCCTGTAATCCCAGCGATTTGGGAGGCTGAGGCAAGAGAATCGCTTGAACCCAGGAAGCAGAGGTTGCAGTGAGCCAAGATCACGCCACTGCACTCCAGCTGGGCAACAAGGGCAAAACTCCGTCTCAAAAAAAAAGAAAAAAGAAAAAAAAGAAGGCAGGAGGGTTTTGTCCCTAATGTCCTTTAGTTCTCTCTAGTCATTGTACAGGACAAGAAAACTAAGAAAGTGAGTTAATCTATAATCTGAGAGCAGACATTGTAACCACATGTGACTCAAATCACAGTCACATCTCTCTCGAGTCTTAACGTGTTTTTTGGGTGTTCCAACAGCTTTTACGTTTTATTTTCACATTTTCCCCTTTTCATCAAGATCTTTTGAAGAAAGCATTGTAGATGAACTCAATAGTTTTAACTCCTTTTTAATTTTTTAAAAATATTTATTTATTTATTTATTTATTTATTTTAGAGACAGGGTCTTACTCTTACCCAGGCCACAGTGCAGTGGCTCAATCACAGCTCACTGCAGCCTTAAACTCCTAGGCTCAAGTGATCCTCCTGCTTCAGCCTCTCAAGTAGCTGGGATTTCTCAGACTCTTTTTATGTCCAGGAGTTTAGTCCCATGTCACTAGGAAGATTCATTCCTAAGATACCATGTCTTATGGTGAAAGTGGAATTGGATGAACTATAAGACTCATGAAGTATAGGCCAAATTTTTTTTTTTTTGAGACGGAGTCTCGCTCTGTCGCCCAGGCTGGAATGCAGTGGCACAATCTCGGCTCACTGCAAGCTTCGCCTCCTGGGTTCATGCCATTCTCCTGCCTCAGGCTCCCGAGTAGCTGGGACTACAGGCGCCTGCCACCACCATGCCCGGCTAATTTTTGTATTTTTAGTAGAGACGGGTTTCACCGTGTTAGCCAGGATGGTCTCGATCTCCTGATCTTGTGATCTGCCCGCCTCGGCCTCCCAAAGTGCTGGGATTACAGGCGTGAGCCACCGTGCCCGGCCAGTATAGGCCAAATTTAAAAAAAACATGAAGGAAGTGACTTTGTGACCTGAGCCAGGTTACTTGGTTACATTTTTAATTAATGTGATTTATTCAAGTGATCATTATTTTAGTCTTTTGAGTCACGCTGACTCAATTATTTATTTATTTATATTTTTCGAGACAGAGTCTCGCCTGCTGGAGTGCAGTGGCGTGATCACGGCTCACTGCAACCTCTGCCTCCCAGTTTCGGGTGATTCTCCTGCCTCAGCCTCCCGAGCAGGTGGGATTTCAGGCACACATCACCACGCCCAGCTTATTTTTGTATTTTTAGTAGAGGCGGGGTTTCCCCATGTTGGCCAGGCTGCTCTCAAACTCCTGACCTCAGGCGATCTGTCCGCCTTGGCCTCCCGAAGTGCTGGGATTATAGGTGTGAGCCACCACGCCCAGCTGGTTTCTTTTTTTTGTTTTTGTTTTGTTTTGTTTTGTTTTTGAGACAGAGTCTTGCTCTGTTGCCTAGGCTGGAGTGCAGTGACATGATCTTGGCTCAGTGAAACCTCTGCCTCTTGGGTTTAAGTGATTCTCCTGCCTCAGCCTCCCGAGTAGCTGGAATTACAGGTGTGTGCCACGCCAGGCTAATTTTTGTATTTTTAGTAGAGACGGGATTTCGTCACGTTGGCCAGGTTGGTCTTGAACTCCTGGCCTCAAGTGATCCACCCACCTCAGCTTCCCAAAGTGCTGGAATTACAGGTGTGAAACTCTGTGCCAAGCCACACTGACTCAGTTGTAAACAAATGTTATAACAGCAACTTAGACAAAAACAAGACAGAACACAACAAATGTTTATAATTTCTAGAATAAGTCATGACTTTACCACCAAGTTTCCCAAGAGCCAAACCAGCTATTTAGCCAGTTGCTTAGAGAACGTTTTGGATATGAAAGATTGGTTATTTGGGTTTTCATATTAGCCATTACCTTAGTGATATTATTTGATTTATCTGGGATATAGACACAGCATTTAGTTTTACAATAACACAGCATTAATGGAAAAACAAAACTCTGTAAACAATTTAAAGAGGTTTATTCTGAGCCAATGTGAATGACCTTGGCCCAGGGAACAGTCTCAAGAGGTCTTGAGAAAGTATGCCCAAGGTAGTTGAATTACAGTTTGGTTTTATACATTTTAGAGAGACAGGAGCCATAAGCAAAGACATAAATCAATACATGGAAGGTATACTTTGGGTCAGATCAAAATGGCAGGACATCTTTTTTTTTTTTTCTTTTTGAGACGAAGTCTCGCTCTGTCGCCCAGGCTGGAGTGCAGTGGCGCGATCTCGGCTAACTGCAAGCTCCACCTGCCGGGTTCACACCATTCTCCTGCCTCAGCCTCCCGAGGAGCTGGGATTACAGGCGCCTGCCACCACGCCCAGCTAATTTTTTTTGTATATTTAGTAGAGCTGGGGTTTCACCGTGGTAGCCAAGATGGTCTTGATCTCCTGACCTCGTGATCTGCCCGCCTCAGGCTCCCAAAGTGCTGGGATTACAGGAGTGAGCCATTGCACCCGGCAATGGCAGGACATCTTAAAGGGGCATGGGCTTCCAGGTTGTAGGTAGATTCAAAGATTTTCTTATTGGCAACTGCTTGAAAGAGTTAAGCTTTGCCTAAAGACTTGAAGTCAGTAGAAAGAAATGCTTTAATCCAGAAAAGGGGGATTGTGGAGGCCAAGGTCTTTGTTACGTAGATGAAGCCTCACAGGTAGCAGCCTTTAGAGAGAATAGATGATAAATGTCTCTTTTCAGGTCTTAAAAGATGGCAGACACTCAGTTAATCTCTCCTATGTCTGGGAAATGCCTGGAAAGGGAAGCCCTGGCTGCATTAATGGAGATTCTCTACAGATAGAAATTTCTACCACAAAAGATGGCTTTGCAGGGCCATTTTAAAACATGTTAAAGAAGTATATTTTGCAGTAAAATATTTTGATTTCCTTAAGGGTCTGCTATCTGTCATGTGATGCTCTATCAGAATCAGGTTGGAATTTGGTATCTTTTTGCCATAAAGAGTCTGTTTTGTCAGACTTATGATCTCTATTTTAATGTTAACGTTGGTCAGTGGTGCCTAAACTCCAAAGGGGAGGAGGTATGATAAGGCATGTCTGACCTCCCTTCCCATCATGGGCAGGAGTTCAGTTTTTCAGGTTTCTCTAGGGTCCCCTTGGCCATTAATTCAGTTGGGGGTGCTTAGGATTTTGTTTTTGGTTTACAACCATTTCTTCTTGGGCCATGGTGAGTATAGCTAAAGCCATATGGTTTTGCAATACAGCTTTTTTCATGAGAGTAACTTTATTATTCAATAATGAGATAACCATGTAGATATATTTAGGACCTTCTGTGTATAATTGCTTAGGGCCTCTACATGCCAAATAACATCTTTAGTACCCAGTTGTGGTACAAAGATAGAAGCTAAATGATCATATGGTCAACAAAAAGAGTCAAGCTCTGTAAAAATATTTGAAGAGATTTATTAGAGCCAAATATGAGTGACCATGGCCTGTAACTCAGGAGGTCCTGAGACCACGTGCCCAAGGTGGTCAGGGTGCAGCTTGGTTTTATACATTTTAGGGAGGCATGAGACATCAATCAAATACATTTAACAAATACATTGGTTTGGCCCAGAAAGGTGGGACAACTCAAAGCTAGAGTTTCCAGGCTATAGATAATTTAAACATTTTCTGGTTGACAATTGGTTGAGTTTGTCGAAAGACCTGGGATCATAGAAAGGAAATGTTCAGGTTAAGATAAAAGACTGTGGAGACCAAGGTTCTTTTAAAGTCTTATAGTAGCTGCCCTGTGAGACAACAGATGACAAATGTTTCCTATTCAGGCCTTTAAAAGGTGCTAGACTCTTAATCTCTTTTAGATTGGGAGGGCCTGGAAGAAAAAGATCTAGCTATGTTAATAGAGATTCTTTACAAATGCAAATTTTCCCCGACAAAGGACAGTTTTGCAGGGCCATTTTAAGATGTGGCAAAGAAACATGTTTTGGGGTAAAATATTTTGATTTTATTTTGTCTCATAATGTTATGCCGGAGTCAGGTTGGAAAGTAAGTGACAATATATAGGGTTAAATAAAACCCATCTGGTGAGAATTTATGGTTTGTAGGGCATGACTCCCCAGACCCCTTAAATAGAAATTTGGGCAAGATAAGAAAAAAATCAGAGCTTAGTCCTCAATGCCAATGGAATACAGAAGGAATCCAACAAGATTGTAAATGAGGGAGATCTGTGAGTTTTGTAAACCAAAAATAAAATTCTAAGCCCTTCAACTGTGGGTGGCAAGCCACCCAGGTGCTGAGGCAAGAGACCGAGGACAGGAGCTGTTCCAGTATAATGAAATATAAAACAAGAATAGTTATACCAGATATAGATCTTGGATATGATTATATATGAATATCATTAATCATTAGTTTGTAGCAATTACTCTTTATTCCAATATTATAATAATCCTCGCTCTATAACCATAACCTAGGAAAAACCAGGCCATACAGAGATAGGAGCTGAGGGGACATAGTGAGGAGTGACCAGAAGACAAGAGTGCGAGCCTTCTGTCATGCCGAGACAGGGCTACCAGAGGGCTCCTTAGTCTAGAGGTAACACCAGCATCTGGGAAGACGCCCGTTGCCAAGCGGACCGTGGTCTAGAGGTAGCGTAAGTGTCAAGGAAAAACGCCCGCTACTTAGCAGACCGGGAAAGGGAGTCTCCCTTTCCCCGGGGGAGTTTAGAGAAGACTCTACTCCTCCACCTCTTGTGGAGGGCCTGACATTAGTCAGGCTTGCCCGCAGTTGTCCGGAGGCCTAACCGTCTCCCTGCGATGCTGTGCTTCAGTGGTCATGCTCCTAGTCTGCCTTCATGTTCCATCCTGTACACCTGGCTCTGCCTTCTAGATAGCAGTAGCAAATTAGTGAAAGTACTAAAAGTCTGTGATAATGGTGTAAGTTGTTTCTCTCTTTGTCTCCTTTCTCTCTCTCTCTCTCTGCCTCAGCTGCCAGGCAGGGAAGGGCCCCCTGTCCAGTGGACAGGTGACCCACGTGGCCTTACCTATCATTGGAGATGGCTCACTCTCCTTATCCTGCCCCTTTGTCTTGTATCCAATAAATATCAGTGCAGCCTGGCATTTGGGGCCACTACCAGTCTCCGCGACTTGGTGGTAGTGATCCCCTGGGCCCAGCTGTCTTTTCTTTTATCTCTTTGTCTTGTGTCTTTACTTCTACACTCTTGTCTCCACACACGGGGAGAAACCCACCGACCCTGTGGGGCTGGTCCCTACACTCAACCATCTGAATGGATCCCTCCTCTTGGCCAAGGGCATTCTAAGGTCAACCTGAAAAACTAGTTCAAGCCATGATGGGAAGGGAGGGTCAGACATGCTTCATTATACCCTCCTCCCTTTTGGAATTCAGGCCCAGCTGACCAGCATTAACATTAAAACAGATCGTAAGGCTGACAAAGTGGACTCTCTGTAGCAATAAGATGCCAAATTCCAGCCTGACTCTAATATGGCATCACATGACAGATAGCAGGCCCTGAAAGAAATCAATGTATTTTGCCGGGCATGGTGGCTCACATCTGCAATCCCAGCACTTTGAGAGGCTGTGGCAGGCAGATCACGTGAGGTCAGGAGTTCAACATGGTGAAACCCTGTCTCTACTAAAAATACAAAAATTAGCTGGGTGTGATGGTATGCCCCTATAATCCCAGCTACTGCGGAAGCTGAGGCAGGAGAATCACTTGAACCCAGGAGGGGGAAGTTGCAGTGAGCCGAGATTGAGCCACTGCACTCCAGCCTGGGTGACAGAGCCAGACTCTGTCTCAAAGAAAAAAAAAAAAAATCAAAGTATTTTACCCCAAATTATGCTTCTTTGCCGTATCTTGAAATACTCCTGCAAAGCTGCCTCTTGTGGGTAAAATCTACATTCTGAAGAGAATCTCTTTCCTTTTCTGGGCATTCTTCCTGATCCAGGAGAGAATTACTTTGATAAGAAACATTTACAATCTATTCTCTCTGAAGCCTGCTACCTGGAGGTTTCCTCTACACAATGGGAATCTTGGTCTCCACAACTGCTTATCTTAAACCCTCACATTCCCTATTGAGCCTAGGTCTTCAGAAAATAACTTAACTCTCAACAGATTGCCAGTCCAGAAATCTTTGAATCTGCCTATGACCTGGAAGCATCCCAGCCCCACCCCCGCTTCAGGTTGCCCCGACTTTGAACCAATGTACATCTTACATATACTGATTAGTGTCTTCTGTCTCCCTAAAATGTATAAAACCTGATCACCTTGGGCATATGTTCTCAGGATCTCCTGGGGCTGTCATGGAACATTGGTCATTCATATACGACTTAGAATAAATCTCTTAAAATATTTTACAGAGTTTGACTCTTTTTGTTGACAGTTTGAAAGGGTAGGCTGGGCGCGGTGGCTCACTCCTGTAATCCCAGCACTTTGGGAGGCTGAGGCGGGTGGATCCCGAGGTCAGGAGATCCAGACCATCCTGGCTAATAGGGTGAAACCCCATCTCTACTAAAAATACAAAAAAAATTAGCCAGGCATGGTGGCAGGCGCCTGTAGCTGAGGCAGGAGAATGGCGTGAACCCGAGAGGCGGAGCTTGCAGTTAGCCAAGATCACGCCACTGCACTCCAGCCTGGGTGACAGAGCGAGACTCCGTCTCAAAAAAAAAAAAAAAAAAAGGGTATGAACTTTTTCACCTTGTGCCCAGGCATAACCCAAAGAACCATCCTAGGGTATCACCTGGTGAAATAGTCCACATTTAGTTGACTCAGCCTTCTGAGACGTGAATCCAAGGGTCTCTGTCTTCTAATTTTGTGGTATAAGGTATGAAAGGAAAATAAGTCTTGGGACGCCAGAATCACTAAGCTAAAGGGAAAAGTCAAGCTGGCAACTGCTTAGGGCAAACCTGCCTCCCATTCTATTCAAAGTCATCCCTCTGAGGCTCCCCTGAGACAAATGCATATCTGATTGCTTCCTCTGCCCTATTGCTTATGTGAAAATGCATATTCACTGAGCCATTCTAAATTGTGTATTCAGTGGAAGGCTGATCAAGGACTCAAAAGAATGCAACCTTTTGTCTCTTATCTACTTCTATCCTGGAAGCCCCCACTTTAAGTTATCCTCCCCTACTGGATGGAATCAATGTACATCTTACATATGTTATTGATTTCTCATGTCTCCCTATAATGCATAAAAGCAAACTATACCCCTGACCACCTTGGGCACGTCTCAGGACTTCCTGAGGCTGTGTCACAGGCTCATCCTTAACCTTGGCAAATAAACTTTCTTAAATTGACTGAGACCTGACTCAGATATTTTGCGTTCACAAATGATGCAGGATTTTTCTCAGTCACTTTGCCAACTGGAGACCTCCACAGGCAGTGACGCCCCCTAGCCTGGGCCTTGCTTGGCCCTGGGCCAGCCACTGGAGGTGCCCCACCCAATCGGCCTGCCTGTGCTATAGCTTGTACCCATGTTTGGCAGTTCCCAAGCTCTTGTCCTGCATCCAAGAAGAATGAGGATATGCTGACAATTGAAGGGTGAGAATGGGTGGAGAAGAATTTTATTGAGTGATGGAATAGTTCTCAGCAGAGAGGAGATGCAGGGGGTGGTTCCCCCTAGCTTAGTCCAGGGCTTTTATGGGTTCAGAATAGGGGAGTAGATACTGATTGGTTTGTGAGTATCAAAGAAAGGCTACAGCAAAGACACCACTAAAGGATGAGCATGGCAGTGTAAAAAAAACAATTAGGAAAGGGTAGGTATATGTAAAATAGGTGAAGAGTGGGGATCAATCAGAGGAAAGCATGCCAAACGGGAAGACAGGTTCTCGATCCTATCCAAGGATCTACGTGGCACTGTCTTCAGTTCAAAGGTCGGGTTTCACCAGGGACCCACCCCTATCTGCCTAGGCATTTGACTGCCTCCTGTCACTATCCCAAAGGGCTACTAAGGAGTAACTGATAAGGTCCATACCGTTTTGATTGAAGAGAGTTTTCTTGTTTGTGTTTTTCATTTAATTTAATTAATTAATTAATTTATTTTTAAGACGGAGTCCCACTCTGTCACCCAGGCTGGAGCGCAGTGGTGTGATCTAGGCTCACTGCAACCTCCGCTTCCCGGGTTCAAGCGATTCTCCTGCCTCAGCCTCCCGAGTAGCTGGGATTACAGGCACGCACCACCATGCCCAGCTAATTTTGTATTTTTAGTAGAGACAGGGTTTCATCATGTTGGTCAGGCTGGTCTCAAACTGCCGACCTCAGGTGATCCACCTGCCTTGGCCTCCCAAAGTGCTGGGATTACAGGCATGAGCCACTGCGCCCCACCGAGTTTTGTTTTTAATGTTATTTCCAATAGACGAAACCTGCTGGTTGAAGTCTGTGGTCCTTGCAGTTTTAGTTTCCCAGGAGCTCACTATGAAAAGATTCTTTCACTAATATGTAATTTATAATTGTTTCATAAGACCATTGTAATATCTGGATCTGTCTCCCTTTACTGTTACAGATGTACAGTTTTCTGGAGATAATTTCATAGGTCTGCGATTATGATTTTGAATGGAGATTCAAAATCCCCAGCTGGTGCTTACCAAAAGGGGGTCAACCTAGATGAAGCAGAACCAGTGGAAGGAAGAGCTTTTGGCTAAGGAATTTTAAAAGCCTCAGTTAATTTTCCCAGTTGAGCTTTTGTGTGGGTGTTTTTTTTTTGGGGGCGGGGACGGAGTCTCGCTCTTCCCCCAAGCTGGAGTGCAGTGGCACAATCTTGGCTCACTGCAAGCTCCCCCTCCCAGGTTCACGCCATTCTCCTGCCTCAGCCTCCCGAGTAGCTGGGACTATAGGCGCCCGCCACCAAGCCCAGCTAATTTTTTTGTATTTTTTAGTAGAGACAGGGTTTCACTGTGTTAGCCAGGATGGTCTCAATCTCCTGACCTTGTGATCTGCCCGCCTTGGCCTCCCAAAGTGCTGGGATTATAGGCGTGAGCCACCATGCCCGACCATTTTTTTTTTTTTTTTTTGAGACAGAGTCTTGTTCTGTCGCCCAGGCTGGAGTGCAGTGGCACAATCTTGGCTCACTGCAACCTCCACCTCCTGGGTTCACGGCATTCTCCTGCCTCAGCCTCCCAAGTAGCTGGGACTACAGGCGCCCGCCACTACACCTGGCTAATTTTTTTTTTTTTTGTATTTTTAGTAGAGATGGAGTTTCACCATGTTAGCCAGGATGGTCTTGATCTCCTGATCTCGTGATCCACCCGCCTCGGCCTCCTAAAGTGCTGGGATTACAGGCATGAGCCACCGCGCCCGGCTTATTTTTGTTGTTTTTTTTTAAGACACAGGGTCTTAACTTGTTGCCTAGGCTGGAGCACAGTGGCATGATCATGGCTCACTCCTGGGCTCGAGCAATCCTCCCACCTCAGCCTCCCAAGTAGCTGGGACCACAGGTGTATGCCACCATGCCCAGCTAATTTTTTGTATTATTTGTAGACATGGGGGTCTCATTATGTTGCCTGGTCTGGTCTCAAACTCCTGGGCTCAAGTGATCTTTTGCCTCAGCCTCCCAAAATGCTGGGATTACAGGTGTGTGCCACCTTGCCCAGCCTTGAGTTTTGATTATTCCATTTATGCGTTTTTATTTTGTTGTGTTTTGTCTTGTTTTGAGACAGGGTCTTGCTCTATCGCCCAGGCAGGAGTGAAGTGGAGTGATCTCGGCTCGCTGCAACCTCTGCTTCCTGGGTTCAAGCTATCCTCCCGCCTCAGCCTACCAACTAGTTGGGGCTACAGGCATGCACCACCACTCCCAGCTAATTTTTGTATTTTTAGTAGAGATGGGGTTTCACCATGTTGGCCAGGGTGGTCTCAAACTCCTGACCTCAAGTGATCTGCCTGCCTTGGCCTCCCAAAGTGCTGGGATTACAGGCGTGAGCCATCACAACTGGCTGCATTTATCTGTTTTATTAACCCAGGTAACTACAAATGATGAACACATTGTAAATGTTGGAGAATGGGCCACATTTTATATACTGATTGGTTAAGGGAATTTTACTTACTCCTAAGGCTGTTGCTTTTCTGCACGGAAATGCCTTTTACCCTGTGAGAAAACATGCAAATCATTACCAGAACATATTTGTATATTTGCAAGTGTTAAATCAAGTTTAGCCTAAAGCTGCCTCCTTACGTATTTTAAGTTTGGCCTAAAGGTCTCTCTGCACATTGTGAACTATAACCTAAATGAAGTTGTAAGCAGACTGTAGCCTACTCTTGTGTCAGTCACTGCATTTTGGCCAATGCAAAGGTGGCCTACTGTTCAAACTCTGTTCAAGTAAGGTAAATGCTGAGCTGTAACCAATCCGCTGTTTCTGTACCTCACTTCCATTTTCCATACCTCACTTTCCTTTTTCTGTCTGTAAATCTTCTTCCACCACATGGCTGTACTGGAGTCCCTGAGCCTACTCTGGCTGAGGCTACCTGATTTGCCAATCGTTCTTGTTCAAATAAACTCTGCTAAATTTAATTCAGCTGAGTTTTTCCTTTAAGACAAGGGTGGCAACTGGAGTAATCCAATAGCCGTACCTTGAAAGGGGCCTCTGGTAAAGGAAAATGTCCTTGGGAACTGTATGACAGTTTCCTTAGATTACGTTCTGGACAAATGTGACAGTTTTACACCTTATGAGTTATAGTTGGAGAAGTTTTCCAAAAATAGCTTTCCCCAAGCAACCATTTTGTCAGGGCTCTAGTGAGTGAGGTCAAATACACAGGTTAAAAATAACTGACCCAGCACTTCGGGAGGCCAAGGCGGGCGGATCACGAGGTCAGGAGATGGAGACCATCCTGGCTAACACGGTGAAACCCCGTCTCTACTAAAAATACAAAAAATTAGCCGGGCGTGGTGGCGGGCGCCTGTAGTCCCAGCTACTCGGGAGGCTGCGGCAGGAGAATGGCGTGAAACCGGCAGGCAGAGCCTGCAGTGAGCCGAGATCGCGCCACCGCACTCCAGCCTGGGCGACAGAGTGAGACTCCATCTCAAAAAAATAAATAAATAAAAAATAACTGAGCCGGGCGTGGTGTCTCACGCCTGTAATCCTAGCACTTTGGGAGGCCGAGGCAGGCAGATTGCCTGACCTCAGGAGTTCGAGAACAGCCTGGGCAACACAGTGAAACCCGGTATCCACTAAAAAATACAAAAAATAAGCCGGGCTTGGCAGCGTGCACCTGTAGTCCCAGCTACTCGGGAGGCTGAGGCAGGAGAACTGCTTGAATCTGGGAGGCAGGATAATTGCTTGAACCCAGGAGGTGCAGGTTGCAGAGCTGACGCCACTGCACTCCAGCCTGGGACAGCGCGAGACTCTGTCTCCAAGAAAAAAAAAAAAAAAAAAAAAAAAAACCACAACCAAAAAAAAGTGTAGGCTGGGCGCGGTGGCTCACACCTGTAATCCCAGCACTTTGGGCGGCTGAGGTGGGCAGATCACCTGAGGTTGGGAGTTCGAGACCAGCCTAACATGGAGAAACCCCATCTCTACCAAAAATACAGAATTAGCCGGGCGTGGTGGCACATGCCTGTAATCCCAGCTACTTGGGAGGCTGAGGCAGGAGCATCACTTGAATCCGGGAGGCGGAGGTTGCAGTGAGCCGAGATCGTGCCATTGCACTCCAGCCTAGGCAACAAGAGCAAAACTCCATCTCAAAATAAATAAATAAATAAAATAACTGTAATTCAGCAGGAAGTATAGGCACATTGTTTGGCACACACTGTACCTCATCTTTGGTGGAGTATGTTCCCCCTTTTTCTAGAGGGCAAGAGCTGTATCTAGTTTGTTGCCACGGTGCTATGTGCTTTTCATACAGACATTTATTGACTGCAATACAGAAATACTGAGGAAGTGATGATGTTGTCATACCACCTCCTGCATGAAGGCTTCCCTAACCCTGCCTCCTTTCCCAGACTGAAAGTAATTTCCACATTCTCAGAATGTGGAATATTCTTATAGCTCCAAACACATGGAGCCTTCAGGAACAATTACTCACATATTCGTCTTAATTATCCAAACCACCCTGAATCTTGCTACAAAGAACATAAATTCTATGTATATTCAATGTGACTTTTTGGCACAGATTAAGCATTAATAACCTTTTGAAGAAAGGTTATGGTTACATGGAACTTTAAAGCATATTTTAATCTGTTTATGAATACTTAATTTCCCCTTGTAATTTAGGTATTGATCTTTGAAGTTATAGGGCTTTTTATCTATAAAGTGACTCTGGGCCTGGCGCAGTGGCTCAGGCTTGTAATCCCAGCACTTTGGGAGGCCGAGGCAGACGGCTCACCTGAGGAGTTCGAGACCAGCCTGGCCAACATAGTGAAACTCTGTCTCTACTAAAAATACAAAAAATTAGGCCGGACGCAGTGGCTTACGCCTGTAATCCTAGCACTTTGGGAGGCCCAGGCGGGTGGATCATGACGTCATGAGTTTGAGACCAGCCTGA
The DNA here is from genome assembly GCF_000001405.40 of Homo sapiens. Taxonomy (NCBI): domain Eukaryota; kingdom Metazoa; phylum Chordata; class Mammalia; order Primates; family Hominidae; genus Homo; species Homo sapiens. The sequence goes on along the minus strand of NC_000017.11, from coordinate 21,100,219 downwards.
CCAACATGGTGAAACCCCGTCTCTACTAAAAATACAAAAATTAGCCAGGCGTGGTGGCGCGAGTTTGTGATCCCAGCTACTCGGGAGGCTGAGGCAGGAGAATCGCTTGAACCCGGGGGGGTGGAGGTTGCAGTGAGCCGAGATCCCGAGATCACGCCACTGCACTCCAGCGTGGACAACAGAGCAAGACTCTGCCAAAAAAAAAAAAAAAAAAAAAAAAAAAAGTGACTGGAAAATAATAGTCATTTTTAGGTTGGGCAGTGCTCAGCGCTATATTGGGGTCTCAAAAAGTGTCAACCAGTGTATTACTGAAGACGGACAGGTGGTGGCAGGGCTCTTAGCTGAGGGATGGAAAAATGCTTGCTGCCTAGAATTCACTTACATTCTTTGTTTCCTCTCTCCAGGTTTCTGGCTCTGTGTGGAATAGGCACTGTCCTCCTGGTAGGTGTAAGGGAATCAGATGTTGCATTTTGATCGTGATAAGTTACTTGCTTTTCTGCTTTGTTCACCTTAAATTGAAAGTGGAGAGATGCAAATTCTGCCCCATCCTGGGGAGGCAGCTCCTGCTTCCAGCCAGCTCTGGAGCAGGTTCAGGTGTCCGCAACTTTAAAATTGCCTTGGGGGTCTTTCGGGAAGCACTTCGCAGGGGACAAGCGCGTGGTTATGGTTTGGGTACAGGCAGCGTTTTCCCCAAGGACTTGCTGGCGCCCGCTTCAGGGATGCGCGTAAGCTCCCGAGGCTGTCAGTCAGTCCCTCGGTCGCTCCGGAAATTTGAAAGATTGTTAATCAAGAGGTCTCCACCAATGGATGGGCACAGGTCGTGGCTGGGCCAATCAGGCTCTGTCTCTAGGACTTTGGCGCGAAAAGACGCAAGGTCCAAAAAGAAAAAGAAAAAAAAAAAGAAAAAGGAAACGGTAGTGTGAGATTGATAGATTCTAGCAGCCCTCCTATGAACCTGCCCGTTAATTCCTCTTCTCTAAATGTCTGCCTTTTTTCTTCGTGTACAATTCCTTTTTGTCAGTGTAGCAGGAATAAATATCGATCTCTATCAACGTTGGTGTAAAAGGACCCTGCCTTTTAGCAGCTCATTCCGCCCCCAACAAAAGACTACACTTCCCAGCGACCCTTGCAGACCCGAAAAGCCGGTTTCCACACCCCGAGGCTCTCTCATGCCCTTCTCCCAGTCACTATGCCTAGCCCCAGATAACCACTCTTCTGTCCTCTAGCACCTCCATCACCAGTTCCTGGACTTCATGAAGGGGTACGCTTTGCATCTGGCTTCTTTCACCCAACATCATGTCTGTGATATTCGAGTAATGATTATATGGGTGTGCACATGTATAAAACTCGTAAGTTTGTACTCTTAAGATTGATGTTTTGTTGTTTTTTGAGATGGAGTTTCGCTCCGTCGCCCAGGCTGGAGTGCAGTGGTGCGATCTCGGCTCACTGCCATCTCTGCCTCCCGGGTTCAAGTGATTCTCCTGCGTCAGCCTCCTGAGTAGCTGGGACTACAGGCGTGAGCCACCACTCCCGGCTAATTTTTGTATTTTTAGTGGAGACAGGGTTTCACTATGTTGGCCGGGCTGGTCTCAAACTCCTGGCCTCAAGTGATCCTCCCGCCACGGCCTCCCAAAATGTTGGGATTACAGGCATGAGTTACAATCATATGTATAGTATACCTTAAAAAAAGGATGTAACATTTCATTCTTGAGTTTGTATTTCCCAAGGTATCCAAAATCAGGCCAGAAGGTTTTAGTGAAATTCTCTACTTTTGTTTTAATCAAATTTCATATTCTAGGAAATCACTCACTTTCACCTTCAGGCTGAAGTGCACACTCCTTTGATTAGTAATATGCAGTTAAGGGAGCAGGTTCTGGGGCCAGACTTCCTGGGCACAAATCACATTTCTGCCTCTTACTAGCAGTGTGAGCCTGAAGAAAGTATTTAACCAGTTTAACTCATCCATAAAATGAAATAATCGCAGCCTGGCCAATGTGGCAAAACTCCGTCTCTACTGAAAAAAAAAAATTAGCCGGGAGTGGTGGCGCTCGCCTGTAATCCCAGCTACTTGGGAGGCTGAGACAGGAGAATGGCTTGAACCCAGGAGAGGTAGCAGTGAGCCAAGATCACGCCACTGCACTCCAGTCTGGGCGACAGAGCAAGACTGTCTCAGAAAAAAAAAAACCATCATATTACCTATCTCTCAGGGTTGTTGAGTGGTTAAATGTGTGCTTATGAAAAGTGCTTAGAATACTAAGAACAACAGAATGCGTGCTATTGTTATTGATGCTCAGTATTATGATTGGCCCACAAGGCTCTTCCTGATCTGTTTCTTATCAGCCTTCCAGCATCGTGTCTCACCATTCTCCCTCTGGTTTCTACCCATCCAAGTGTACCTAATCTTGCTGTTTAACTTATTTTCATGTTCTCCTCCCTCTGCCCAAAACACCCTTACCCCAGGCTGGAGCATCCACCATATAGTTTGAGCACACACTTAGGGCACCAGCAAAGCAGAGGCAACCCCCTAAGAAAAAAGAGAGTGAAGAAAAAGAATATATCTCTACAGTATTTGATGGCTGGGCGTGGTGGCTCAAGCCTGTAATCCCAGAACTTTGGGAGGCTGAGGCGGGCAGATCATGAGGTCAGGAGATTGAGACCATCCTGGCTAACATGGTGAAACCCCGTCTCTACTAAAAATATACAAAAAAATTAGCCGGGTGTGGTGGGGGGCTCCTGTAGTCCCAGCTACTTGGGAGGCTGAGGCAGGAGAATGGCATGAACCCAGAAGGCGGAGTTTGCAGTGAGCCGAGATCATGCCACTGCACTCCAGCCTGGCCGACAGAACGAGACTCCGTCTCAAAAAAAAAAAAAAAAAAAAGAATATATCGCTACAGTATTTGATGGTTGACACCCTGTCCCTTCCACCACCAGCAAAAAAAGCATGGAAGGAGTTACAGGAAGTTCATACTTTATTGGGCTGCATTGCCCCTATTTTATGGTCTAGAGTTGTTTGTATTTGAAATACATTTGGGTGGTGGGATGAGTGTAATCTCTTCAGTACTTAGGCCCTTACAGGTCTTTGTGGCAGATGGTGTTTTCCAAAATGGCCACAGTGATATCTCCCATCCCACATCCTCTTTCCTGCAAGGTGACTTTGACACTTCTGTTGAGAGGTAGAACCTCTCCACTTCAATCTGGGAGGGCTTGTGACTATGGTGAAAGTGAGGCCATGTCACTTCCAAGTCCGGGTGAGATAGCTTCTTCCTTGTTCCCAGGAAGTGTAGCCCCAGACTTGCTGTTGGAACCCAGCTGCTGTGCTATCAGGAAGTCCGGGCTACATGAAGAGGCAACATGGAGTGTTCTGGTCAACAGCCCCAGCTGAGGGCCCAGCCAACAACTAGTGTCAACCGGTAGATATTTCAGTGAAGCCTTTAAGATGAATCAAGTACCAGCCCCTATCTCCCTGCAACTGTATCAGAGATCCTGAGAGAACTATACCAACCAATTTCCAGAACCACGAAAAAGTAAAGCAAAATGTCGTCGTGCTAAGCCACTAAGTTTTGGAGTGATTAACAGTTGTAATGGGGCCCTCTCCTTCCCCACCCAACTTATCCTATTCTTCTTTTCTTTTCTTTCTTTTTATTTATTATTTTTTGAGACAGTCTTGCTTTGTCACCCAGGCTGGAGAGCAGTGGCGCAGCCATGGCTCACTGCAACCTCTGCCTCCCAGGTTCAAGTGATTCTCATGCCTCAGCTTCCAGAGTAGCTGGGACTACAGGCATGTGCCACCACGCCCAGCTAATTTTTGTATTTTTAGTAGATTCAGGGTTTTACCATGTTGGCCAGGCTGGTCTCAAACTCCTGGCCTCAAGTGATCCTCCTGCCTCAACCTCCCAAAGTGCTGGGATTACAGGCATGAGCCACTGCACCTGGCCTTTCTTTTCTTTTTTTTTTTTTTGGAGACAGTTGCCCAGGCTAGAGTGCAGTGGCAGTGGCACAGTCATGGTTCATTGCAACCACTGCCTCCTGGTCTCAAGTCATCCTCCCCGTTCCACTTCCCAAGTAGCTGGGACCATAGCCACACACCACCACGCCTGGCTAATTTTTATTTTTATTTTTATTTTTGTAGAGATGGAGTTTCGCTATGTTGCCCATGTTGGTCTTGAACTCCTGAGCTCTAGCAGTCTGCCTGCCTTAGCCTCCTAAAGAGCTGAGATTACAGGCATCAGCCACTGGGCCCAGCCCCATACTTGATTTTCTTTCTTTTTGAGACAGTCTGATGTTCAAGACTGCTCCAGTGTCCCACCTGTAGGTGGCCTTCCCTGACCTTTAGGGCTGAGTGAGGTGCTTCCTCCAGGCTCTCACAGTCCTTTGCATCCCTCTATCATGGCTCTACCATGCCCTATTATCACTGCCTGTTTACTTGTCTGATGCCCTCATTTAAAAGTTTAAACTCCCGTGAACAGTGACTGCATTTTTAAAATAAATCTGTATTCTCAGTAGCTAGGACAGAGCTAGAAGGAAAAAAAAAAATAGTAAGGGCTAGTAAAGTATACGGAGGGAACAACTTCAGCAAAGCTGGTGCTTACAAGTCAAGCACTGGCTGGGCAAGTCAGAGCAGGGCTTATGGGGACAGGCTGCCTGGTTCCCTATCCCAGCTTCACTCCAGCCTGGGCAACACCATGAGACTCGAACATTCTCTCTGACCTCTTCTATCCCTATCATTAGACAAGTTACTGAACTTCTCTGTGTCCCAGTTTCTGAAATAATGGGAATGAGAATGGTACTCCCAAAGAGAAAAGTCTAATGTACAAGTTTCATTACAAAGGAGTCTAGCTCTCAGAAAACCAACTAACAACGGACGGATAAAAAGAGAAGGTGGTGGCCGGGCGTGGTGGCTCACGCCTGTAGTCCCAGCACTTTGGGAGGCCAAGATGGGCAGATCACAAGGTCAGGAGATGGAGACCATCCTGGCTAACATGGTGAAACCTCATCTCTACTAAAAATACAAAAACAAAATTAGCCGGGCATGGTGGCAGGTGCCTGTAGTACGAGCTACTTGGGAGGCTGAGGCAGGAGAATGGCATGAACCCAGGAGGCGGAGTTTGCAGTGAGCTGAGATCACGCCACTACACTCCAGCCTGGACAGAGCAAGACTCCATCTCAAAAAAAAAAAAAAAAAGAGAGAGAAGGTGGTGCTTATTGTTCAAATTATTATACAGATGTCATCAATTGTCATTGGAGGTTGCTTGTCTTCTTTTGATAAAAACCAGAAATTTCTGTCTTTGATTAATTAAAAACAAGATATGGTTTATATAAGATGCTAAGCTTTTGGTGTATTTCAAGGCTTCCTGGAAGCTTCTATATTCATGGCCTGTCTCAGAATGCAAGGTTTTTAGAAATTGAAAGCTTTTTGTTTTTATTTTATTTTATTTTGAGAGACAGGCTTTCACTCTGTCACCCATGCTGGAGTGCAGTGGTGTGATCATAGCTCACTGCAGACTCAAACTCCTGAGTTGAAGGGTTCCCCCCGCCATAGCCTCCCGAGTAGCTGGCACTACAGGTGCGCACCACTATGCTTGGCTAACTTTTTTTTTTTTGGTGGTGACAGGGTCTTGCTATTGTTGCCCAGGCTGATGTTGAATTCCTAGCCTCAAGCAATCCTCCCATCTTGGCCTCCCAAAGCCCTGGGATTACAGATGTAAGCCACCACGGCTGGCCTTCCTTTTTACTTTTTGAAGTGTAAATATGTTCTGGGTTGAAGAGTCTAATGAGTCAACATCAGACAGAGCCAGTCTCAACTACCTCATTGGGTTGTTATGAGGTTTAAATTATACATACAGTTGACCTTTGAACAATACAGGTTTGAACTGGATGAGTCTATTTATAAACGGATTTAAAAAAATAAAATGTGCCTGCCTCTTCTGTCTCCCCTTCCATCTCCTCCACCACTTCTTTACCACTCCTGAGACCCCAACACCAACCCCTCCTCCCCCTCTCCCTCCTCCTCTTTCTCCCCCTCATCCTCTTCTGCCTTAGCCTACTCAACATGAAGATGATGAGGATGAAGACTTTTATGACGACCCACTAAATATATTTTCTTCCTTATAATTTTATTTTCTCTTTTTTTCTGAGACAGTGTCTTGCTCTGTCACCCATGGTGGAGTGCAGTGGCACAATCTCAGCTCACTGCAGCCTTGACCTCCAGGCTCAAGTGATCCTCCCACCTCGGCCTCAGAGTATCTGGGACCACAGGTGTGCACCACTACTCCTGGCTAATTTTTGTATTTTTTGTAGAGACAGGAATTCACTATGTTGCCCAGGCTGGTTTCAAACTCATGGACTCAAGTGATCCTCCTGCCTTGGCCTCCCAAAGTGCTGGGATTACAGGTGTGCGCCACTGCACCCGGCCTGATTTTCTTTTCTTTTCTTTTCTTTCTTTCTTTCTTTCTTTTTTTTTTTTTTTTTGAGATAGGGTCTCTCTCTGTCACCCAGGTTGGAGTGCAGTGGCGGGATCTCGGCTCACTGCAACCTCAACCTCCTGGGCTCAAGCGATCATCCTGCTTCAGCTTCCCAAGTAGCTGGGACTACAGGTGTGCACCAGCATGCCCAGCCTGGTTTTCTAAATAATGGTTTCTTTTCTCTAGCTTACTTTATTGTTAAGAATACAGAGTAGAATATATATAACATTAAAAAAATGTGCTAATCAACTTTATGTTATCAGTAAGGCTTCCCATCAACAGTAAGCTGTTGGTAGTTAAGCTTTGGGGGAATCCAATGTTATATGCAGTTTTTCAACTGTGTAGGGGGTTGGTGTTCCTAACACCCCCCCACCCCCGCCCACCGATTGTTCAAGGTCAACTGTATATGGATGGATGGATGGGTGGATGGATGGATCTATGTATCGCAATAGAACAGGTCTTGGTACATAGTAACTACTTAATAAGTATCAGTCAGCCTTGTTATTGCTGAAGCTTATCAAGGCCTCAGAAAGCCAGCTTCACATCCTCAGCCACCACTAAAACTGTGTGAATTTGGGCCTCTGAGCCGCAGTCCCTTGTGGGTGAAATGGAAATTGATGCCTGCTTCATGGGGCAGTTGTAAAGACCACACAAACATAGATGAAAAAGGGGTGGCCGAGTGCAGTGGCTCATGCCTGTACTTCCAGCACTTTGAGAGGCCAAGGCGGGCAGATTGCATGAGGTCAGGAGTTCGAAACCAGCCTGGCCAACATGGTGAAACCCCGTCTCTACTAAAAAAATACAAAAAAAAAAAAAAAAAAAGGCTGGATGCAGTGACTCAAGCCTGTAATCCCAGCACTTTGGGACGCCAAGGCGGGCGGATCACCTGGGTCAGGAGTTTGAGACCAGCCTGGCCAACATGGTGAAACCCCGTCTCTACTAAAAGTACAAAAATTAGCCAGGCGTGGTGGCGGGCACCTGTAATCCCAGCTACTCAGGATGCTGAGGCATGAGAATAGCTTGAACCTGGGAGGCGGAGGTTGCAGTGAGCCAAGATCACGCCACTGCACTCCAGCCTGGGCAACAAGAGCAAGACTCTGTCTCAAAAAAAAAAAAAAAATTAGCTGGGTGTGGTGGCACACGCCTGTAATCTCAGCTACTTGGGAGGCTGAGGCAGGAGAATCACGTGAACCTGGGAGGTGGAGGTTGCAGTGAGCCACGATCATGCGACTGTATCCCAGCCTGGGTGACAAAAGACAGACTCTGTCTCAAAAAAAAAAAAAGAAGAAGAAGGTGGTGGGGGTGGTTTCAAGAAGCATAAGAGATATTAATATTGAATGTTTTCCCCAAAACAGCTAAATACAGGATAGTCTAATTCGTTTCAGAGAAGAACATTTCCACGTGCACTTCATTTTCATTTCACTTTTATTACATGAAATCTGTACTCAGCTCCTTCTCCATTTCTGCCAGCAAAACGTCACTTTGCAGGTCTGTCCTTTGCAAGTAATGCTGAGTAGTTCACTTCAGAACCAGGCCTCAAAAACTGCAAGTCTTAAAATTTAACAAGGGGGTCTCAGAAAGAACAGGGAAGGTCAGAAAAAAATGTTACTTATTTATTTTATTTTTGAGACAGTCTCACTCTGTTACCCAGGCTGGAGTGCAGTGGTGTGATCTCATCTCATTGCAACCTCCGCCTCTAGTTTAAGCAATCCTCCCACCTCAGCCTCCCAAGTATCTGGGATCACAGGCACGTGCCACCACGCCCAGCTAATTTTTGTATTTTTTGGTAGAGACGGGGTTTCACATGTTGGCCAGGCTGGTCTTGAACTCCTGACCTCAAGTGATCCGCCTGCCTCGGCCTCCCAAAGTGCTGGGATTACAGATGTGAGCCACTACGCCTAGCCCTTTTTTTTTTTTTTTTTTTTTTTTTGAGACAGTCTCATTCTGTCACCCAGGCTGGAATGCAGTGGTGCGATCACAGCCCTGCAGCCTCAACCTCCTGGGCTTGAGTGATCCTCCCACCTCAGCCTCCTGAGTAGCTGGGGCTACAGATGCAAGCTACTACACCCAGCTCATTTATGTATTTTTAGTAGAGACGGAGTCTCGCTATGTTGTTTAGGCTGGTCTCAAACTCCTGGGCTCAAGCAATCCTCCCATCTTGGCCTCCCAAAGTGCTGGGATTATAGGCATGAACCACCACACCCGGCCAGAGAGAATGTTCTACATCACAAAGTATTTAAAATAATTTATTCTAAATAATCTATTTTAAATAAAATATTTTAGATTATTTATAATCATAATAAACTGTTTTAAATAAGCTGATTTGTGATGATGGTAACTTGAGAGCGGCCACCACAATCCTGCCCTCTGCTGTCAAATGGGAAGTGCAGAGTCATGTGAATATCTGTAACAGTTACCCACTTGTGCTGTGATTAAAATAAGCCTTTTCTTGCAAGTATAATGTAAACATAGACTTTAGAAATTGTTGCCATGTCTTGCACCAAAAAAAAAGGAAAAGAAGAAAAAGAAAAAGGAAGAAAAGAAGACCTACAAAAAGGACATTATTTCTACATGGTTACCTTAGTTGATAGTTGTTGCTCTGGTGATAGTGTTGTCATGGGCATCTCTGTATTCTTAACAGATACTTTTAAGGTTTACTTGTTAAATCTGAAGAGCATCGTTGGCCTTCTTTCTTCCCACATGCGTGATGGAAAATGTCCAACTCCTCTGGGCTTATTTAACAATGAGTTTGAGAGTTTGAATTAGGAAGCTGGACTCTGCTTATCAGGAAATTGTGATAATTCAACCTGCTTGGGACAGAAGTTGGCTCTTGTTAACATGTAGAAAAATGGTTTTTAATGATATCACATTTTTTAGTGATTGAATCTGGTGGGCATTACTAATTTCAAACTAATATATTACTTTTGTGATTACTTTGTTAACACTAAATTATGGTTGGAAAGTCATAACATGAGGCTGGGTTCGGTGGCTCATGCCCGTAATACCAGCACTTTGGGAGGCCGAGGCGGGTAGATTAATATATTAATTTAATATATTAATATTAAAATAATAAATTTTAATATTTCAGGATTTTCATAAATTCAAAAAGGGCTCTTCTGTAATTTGAACAGGGTCAATGGCTTCTGCTGTAGACTGTTTCTGAAAAGGGCAGGAGAGAGGAAAACATAAGATAGAGGAAAGAATAACATGAGCACTGAGGTCTCCAAGAAAATTGCTGAGCAGTTTTTAGTGGGCACCTCTAATTAACATTTCAAATAACAGCATCATGCTTTTGCTTAATGTACAGTACATGACTCTCCTTCATACTTATTCTCATCTTCTTTCCTAAAAGGGGAGACACAAACTCCCCTCAGTCACCGTATTCAGTTCTGTATGATGTTAATTCCTCTTCTATTTCAGGCACAGTCCTGGATAGTCTGTCCCTGGAGACTCTGAGGTTAATCACCACCCACTTTCCTTATGTAAAATAGCTGGAGAAAAGAGAAATAAAACTGAAATTGATTCATATATACAAATACAAACAGACTAAAGTATGCATATTTACTACAGTCTTCTTTACTATAACTAGTCAGAGACCATCATTAATATTTATAACTTCCTTCTTTCACTATCTGTTTCATTGCTACCTTTGCCCTCAGCCACCCTCTCAGCTGATCAGCGTTCTGTATCTGGAGGAATAACCTAAAATTTTATTCCTGAAGGATCTGAGGCCTTAGTGATCTCATTTTTATTGGGTTGCTATAATCTTCCATTAACTTTTACTGTTGGACATAGGACGAGAGTGTTTATGTACTACTTAAACTAAGGTGGTATTTTTCAAACTAGGTTGTTACAAGTTTAAGATGTCATATGTAATTTACAAGGCAACCACTTAGGCAATTACTAAAAAAAGACAGAAAAGGAAAGAAGAAAGAAATCAAAATGAAACATTACAAAAAATCAACTAAATACAAAAAAGGCAGTAATGGAGGAACTGAGGAACCAAAAACCATATAAGACATACAGAAAACAAATAGATAAATGGCAAGAACTCTACAAAATTTGTAGATTTGTATCCTAATCTGATTTTCTGTCTCTGTGAATTTGACAGAAAGCAGATTAGAGGCTACCAGAGACTGGCTCATGGAGTTCTTGCAGAACACTACCATAACCCCAGAAACTGTCCTCATGCCCCTTCTGGTCAGTCTTCATTGACAATCTCCCAAAGCAATTCACTGTCCTGATTTTTTTCCAACATGGATTTATTTAGCCTCTTCTAGAACTTTGTTTAAATGGAACCATAGAGCATGCTTCCTTTAAGGCTTCTGTCACTCAGCAAAATGCTTTTGAGATTCATCTATGTTGTGGGTAGCAGTGACTCATTCCTTTTTATTACTGAGTAGTGTTCCAATGAATGAATTTACTACAGTTGAGCATTTTCCTATGGATGGCTGCTAGGGCTGCTTCCTGTTTGGGATTACTGTGAGTAAACCAGAAACGTACATTATAGTACAAGTCTTTTGGTGAAAATATATTTCATTCCTCTTGGTGCACACCAAAGGGTGGGACACTGGGTCAGAGAGTAGATGCATGTTTAGTTTTACAAGAAACTCCCAGGCCTAGGTTGCAGTGAACCAAGATCACACCACTCCACTCCAGCCTGGGTGACAGAGTGAGACTCCATCTCAAAAAAAAAAAAAAAAAAAAAAAAAAAAAGAAGAGGAAGAAAAGACAAACTCCCAGGCCTTTTCCGAAAGTGATTGGACCAGTAATGTGTGAGAGAGCTCTGGTTGTTCCACATCCTCACAAATATTTGACTTTGTGGGTTATTTTAATTTTAGCAATTTTGAGGGTATAAAATGGTGTGTGATGGATGTGAAATGTACTTTTAATTTACATTTCCCTGATGACTAACAATATTGAACATTTTCATGGGTTAATTGGCTACTCATATGTGTCTTCTTCACAAAGTGCCTGTTCTAATCTTTTACTTATTTTTTTATCAAGAATACAATACATTGTTATTAACTGTAGTCACCATGTTTTACAATAGGCCTCTTGAACTTATTCCTGCTGTCTAACTGAAATTTGGTATCCTTTGATCAACATCACCCCATCTCTCCAGCCCCTGGTAACCATATCTGACTCTGCTTCTATGAGTTTCATCAATTTTTTTTTTTTTTTTGGAGACAGGGTCTCACCCTATCGCCCAGGCAGGAGTGTAGTGGCATTATCTCTGTTCACTGCAGCCTCAACCTCCCAGGCTCAAGCAATCCTCCCACTTCAGCCTCCTGAGCAACTGGGACTACAGGCACATGCCACCACACTGGCTAATTTTTGCATTTTTAGTAGAGATGGGGGTTTTGCCATATTGGCCAGGCTGGTTTCTAACTCCTGGCCTCAAGTGATCCCCTTGCCTCAGCCTCCCAAAGTGCTAGGATTACAGGCATGAGCCACTGCACCTGGCCAAGTTCGACCTTTTTTAGATTCCACACATAAGTGAGACTATGCAGTATTTATCTTTCAGTACCTCACGTTTTTCACATAACGTATCCTCCAGGTTCACCCATGGGAATCTTTTACCCATTTTTAAATTTAGTTATTGGGGTTTTATTATTGAGTTGCAGGAACTTTAAAAGTACACGATGGGTACTAGTGAGGCGCGAGAATAGGGTCTGGAGGCAAGGAACCTAAAGGCAATTAGCACTGACTTCCTAGAACTGAATCAAAAGGAAAATCTCTCCACAGCAAAGTAACAAAAGGATCAAAGGCTACTCCCTTTGCACTGCCTTGAAGATGAACAATGGAAAGTACTTCTGATTGATTCCCTCCCACAAATAAATAAGAAATATTTATTTTTTGAGGCAGGGTTTCGCTCTGTCACCCAAACGGGAGTGCAGTGGCACAATCCTGGCTCACTGCAGCTTCCAACCCCCCATACTCAAGAGATCCTCCCACCTCAGCCTCCCAGGTAGCTGGGACTACAGGTATAGACGACCATATTCTGGCTAGTTTTTGTGTTTTTTGTAGAGACAGGGTTTCGTCAGGTTGCCCAGGCTGGTCTTGAACTCCTGGCCTCAAGCAATCTGCCTGCCTCGGCCTCCCAAAGTGCTGGGATTACAGGCATGAGTCACTGCACCCAGCCAAAATAGGAATTTTTAAAAATAAAATAAACCACCAAAGATGTGGTGGCCAAACCCTTGTTGGAGAGATGAGACCTGCAACACTGGGATCCAACCAACCATCTCAGCAGAAACAGCTTGGATAGAATAAGAAAACAGCCCTTGCTGGAGGAGAAAACAGCCCTAGAGACACAGAGACAGACAAAGGAGAATGCCATATGAGGATGGAGGCAGAGACAGGGTGAGAGCTACCTACAAGCCAGGGACACCAAGGGGCATGGCAGCCTCCAGAACTGGGGAGAGAAACCAACCCTGGGACACTTCGATTTCAGGCTTCCAGTTTTCAGAACTGAGATTTATATTGTCTTTTCTTTTCTTTCTCTCTCTCTCTCTTTTTTTTTTTTTTTTTTTTTTTTTTTTTTTTTTTTTTTGAGACAGAGTTTCACTCTGTCACCTAGGCTGGAATGCAGTGGCGCCATCTCAGCTCACTGCAACCTCCACCTCCCAGGTTCACATGATTCTCATGCCTCGGCCTCCCGAGTAGCTGGGATTACAGGTGCACAACACCACGCCTGGCCAGATTATATTGTTTCAAGATACTCCATTTGTGGTAATTTGTTATGGCAGTCCTTGGAAACGAATACACATACTTTAAAAAATAATTATATAGCAAAAATCTTTGGGGAGGAAGGACCCTGCCAGGGTAAATTAGCATACATTCTTGGAGGGCAATTTGTAATTGGTTACAGTTTGCACAAAGGAAGAGATTCCAGGTCAATTTCACCTGCTATTGTTTACAAGAACAAAAGATGGAAACAATTAGTAGCAGGCTGATAGATACATTATAGAACATCCACTCACTGTAAACACACAAAAGGAACAAACACAGGACTGTTGATAAGATTTTCTTTAAAAAGAGAAACCTGAAGCAAATATGGTGAAATATTTTTAAAATAAAATGACATAATGGGGATGCAACAGCAAAATACACAAAGGTGGAACCCCTACAGGACGAAGGCACCCAGTTTTTTAAAAATAAATAAATTACAAGGAAGGAAAAAAACAGTGAACGCCACTAGCAGAGACTCATGGAGGTTCTGGTTCTGTGTGGCAGAGTAAGTACCTACGGGAATGGACCTTTCTGCGGAGAATGAGTGGAAACTCTGGCCAGGCACGGTGCCTCATGCCTGTGATCCCAACACTTTGGGAGGCCAAGGCAGACGAATCACCTGAGGTCGGGAGTTCAAGACCAGCCGGACCAATATGGTGAAAATCCATCTCTCCTAAAAATACAAAAATTAGCCAGGCTATGGTGGCATGTGCCTGTAATCTCAGCTACTCAGGAGGCTGAGGTGGTAGAATCACATGAACCCAGGAGGCGGAGGTTGCAGTGAGCCGAGATGGCGCCACTGCACTCTAGCCTGGGCAACAGAGGGAGACCTTGTCTCAAAAAAAAAAAACCTTCTTTTATTTTTACTATCCTGGAATGTAATATATCTGAGGAAATTTGCTGTTAATGCCTAGATGTGAGGAAACGGAGAATCGTGGAAAATTGTCTCCCAACAGCAGCAAGAGGAAAGCAGTTTATCACACATGGAAGTGAGAGGTGACAACTCGCTAGCAGCCCTCGCTCTCGGCGCCTCCTCGGCCTCGGCGTTCGAGGAGCCCTTCAGCCTGCCGCTGCACTGTGGGGGCCCCTCTCTGGGGCTGGTCGAGGCGGAGCCGGCTCCCTCTGTTGGCGGGGAGATGTGGAGGTAGAGGCACAGGTGGGAGCCGGGGCCGCGAGCGGTACTCGCTGGACGGCGCGGGTTCCGGTTGGGCGTGGGCTCCGCGGGCGGCCGGCCGGCACCTGCTAGGCTTGATCGGGGGACAAGCTCCCTCTGGGATGCTGGAGTGCACGGGCTAGGTGCTGCAAAGTCCTGAGGTGAGTGCCATTGAGAGGTGAAGTCGGCTGGGCTTCTGGGTTGGGTGGGGACCTGAAGAACTTTTGTGTCTAGCTAAAGGTTTGTAAATGTACCAATCAGCACTCTGTGTCTAGCTAAAGGTTTGTAAATACACCAATCAGCACTCTGTGTCTAGCTAAAGGTTTGTAAATACACCAATCAGCACTCTGTGTCTAGCTAAAGGTTTGTAAACACACCAATCAGCACTCTGTGTCTAGCTAATAGGGTAGGGGACTTGGAGAACTTTTTGTGTCTAGCTAAAGGATTGTAAATGCACCAATCAGTGCTCTGTGTCTAACTAAAGGTTTGTAAATGCACCAATCAGTGCTCTGTCAAAATGGACCAATCAGCTCTCTGTAAAATGGACTAATCAGCTCTCTGTAAAATGGACCAATCAGCAGGATGCGGGTGGGGCCAGATAAGGGAATAAACGCAGGCCACCCGAGCCAGCAACGGCAGACCTGCTGGGGTTCCCTTCCATGCTGTGGAAGCCTTCTTCTTTCCCTCTTTGCCATAAATTTTGCTGCTGCTCACTCTTTGGGTCTGTGCTACCTTTGTGACCTGTAACACTCCCTGTGAAGGTGTGCAGCTTCATTTCTGAGACCAGCGAGACCAGGAACCCACCGGGAGGGACGAACAACTCCAGATGTGCAGCTTTAGGAGCTGTAACACTGACCGCCAAGGTCTGTAGCTTCACACCTGAAGCCAGCGACACCACGAACCCACCAGAAGGAACAAACTCTGAACATGTCGGAACATAAGAAGGAACAAACTCCGGACACACCATTTTTAAAAATTGTAACACTCACCGCAAGGGTCCACGGCTTCATTCTTGAAGTCAATGAGACCAAGAACCCACCAGTGCCAGACAACAGAAGGAAAAGCCTGGAATGGCTGCTAACTTCTCATCAGAAACGAGGGGGCTGGAAGACACTGAAACATCTTTGAAGTGCCAAAAGAAAAAAATTCTAACCCAGATTCTACTTCCAACAAAAAAGATTTGTTTTTCTTTTTCTTTTTTGAGAGGGAGTCTTGCTCTGTCACTCAGGCTGGAGTGCAGTGGTGCAACCTTGGCTCACTGCAACCTCCACCTCCCTAGTTCAAGCAATTCCCCTGCCTCAGCCTCCCAAGTAGCTGGGATTACAGGAGCATGCCACCACGCCAGGTTAATTTTTTTTTGTATTTTTAGTAGAAACAGGGTCGGACCATGTTGGACATACTGGTCTCAAACTCCTGACCTCGGGCAATCCGCCTGCCTTGGCCCCCCAAAATGCTGGGATTACAGGTGTAAGCCACTGCACCCAGCCAGAAGATTTTTCAAGAATGAACATTAAATGAATGTACAGGCCGGGTGTGGTGGTTCATATCTGTAATCCCAGCACTTTGGGAGGCTGAGGCAGGCTGATCACCTGAGGTCACGAGTTCAATACTAACCTCGCCAACATGGTGAAACTCCATCTCTACTAAAAATACAAAAATTAGCCAGGTGTGGTGGTGCACACCTGTAGTCCCAGCTATTCAGGAGGCTGAGGAAGGAGAATCACTTGAACCCAGAAGGCAGAGGTTGCAGTAGCTGAGATCACCCCACTGCACTCCAGCCTGGGTGACAGAGTGAGACTCCATCTCAAAAATAGAAAAATAGATTTACAGATTTTAAAAATTGAAAATTATACTATAAAAAATTAAAATTATACTTTTAAAAATTAAAAGAATTCATCACTAGTATACCTGCACTGCAAAAATCCTAAAAGAAATTATTCAGCCAAGGGGAAAGAATACTAGATGAAAACCAGAACTTTAGGAAAAAATAGAGTGTCAAGGCCAGGCATGGAGGCTCATGACTGTAATTCTAGCACTTTGGGAGGCTGAGGTGGGAGGATTACTTGCATCCAGGAGTTTGAGACCAGCCTGGGGAACATAGGGAGGCCGAGGTGGGAGGATTACTTGCATCCAGGAGTTTGAGACCAGCCTGGGGAACATAGGGAGGCCCTATCTCTACAACAAACAGAAGAAAAAAAAAAAGCTGGGTGTGGTGGTGCATGACCGTAGTCACAGCTACCCAGGAAGCTGAGGCAGGAGAATTGCTTGAACCTGGGGGGTCAAGCCTGCAGTGATCTTTGACTACACCACTGCACTCAAGCCTGGATGACAGAGTGAAACCCTGTCTCAAAAAAAAAAAGGGGCTTACTGTAAAACTACAGTAATCAAGCCAGTATGGTACTGGTAAAAGGATAAACAGATCAATGGAACAGAATAGAAAGCCAATAAATAAATCATATTTATATTATTTAATTTTTGACAAAGGCCCAAAGCAATCCAATGAAGAAAGTAAAGTCAGCCAGGCATGGCAGCTCATGCCTCTAATCCCAGCACTTTGGGAGGCTGAGGTGAGAGAATCACTTGAGCCTAGGAGTTTGATTCCAGCCTGGGCAACATAGTGAGACCCTGTTTCTACCAAAAAATATGTACAAAAATTAGCTGGGCATGGTGGCATGCACTGGTAGTCCCTGCTGTGGTTGGAGGATAGCTTGAGCCTGGGAGATTGAGGCTGCCATAAGCTGTGATCGAGCCACTGCACTCCAGCCTTTGCAACCCCATCTCAATTTTAAAAAGAAAAAAAATACTGGGTGCGGTGGCTCACTCCTGTAATCCCAGCACTTTGGGAGGCCGAGGCGGGTGGATCACGAGGTCAGGAGTTTGCGACCAGCCTGGCCATCATGGTGAAACCCCATCTCTACTAAAAATACAAAAATTACTTAGGTGTGGTGGTGGGCGCCTGTAATCCCAGCTACTCAGGAGACTGAGGCAGGAAAATCACTTGAAACCAGAAGGTGGAGGTTGCGATGAGCCGAGATCGCAGCATTGCACTCCAGCCTGAGCAACAAGAGTGAAATGCCGTCTCAAAAAATAAGTCTTTTCAATACATGGCTCTGGAATTACTATATGTCATTATGGGGTAATAAATGAACGTTAATCTCATACAAAATTCAAAATTCAGTCAAGATGAACGATAGACCTAAACATAAGAGGGTGAAAACAGGATTATGCCTTCAGGAATTGGTGGAAGCGGGGTGTGGGGGTGGTAGACAAAAGTTTCTTAGGTTAGAAAATAATAATAAAGTAAGTTCTGATAAACTTTACTAAATTAAAACTGCACATCAAAAACTATTAAGAAAATAATTCGGCAAGCCACACGGGGGTGGGGGAAATATGCAAAAAAACGTGTGAAAAAGGACTAGTGTTACCAGTCGAGGGTCTTGACTACAAGTCATCCAGGTTCTTGATGTTTTGAACAAGACTGGGTCAAAACGCACAAACAAAGCAATGAAAGAATGAAGCAACGAAGGCACAGGTTTATTGAAATGAAAGTACACTCCACAGAGTTGGGAGCAGGCTTGAGCAAGCAGCTCAAGAGCACTGGTTACAGAATTTTCTGGGGTTTAAATACCTTCTAGAGGTTTCCCATTGGTTACCTGGTTACACCCTATGTAAATGAAGGAATGGCCCACGACCAGTCTGATTGTCTGGGGAAGGCTACCAATCAGAGGCTGAGGTGAAGTAACAAAGTTACACCCCTGTGCATATGAAGGTTAGGCCCATGACCAGTTTGATTGGTTGTGGGAGGCGACCAATCAGAGGTACTTTCCATTTTTCATCTGCAAAGTAGTGCAAACGGAGTAGCCTCTGATCCTTCTGTTACTTTGGTGTGGAGAGGTGGGATTTTCCTTTTGATTCAGCTCTAGGAAGTCTGTGCTAATCAGCCTTAGGTTCCCTGCCTCCAGACCCTATTCCCCTGCCTCATACCCAGTAGTGGAATTGCTGGATTATATGTTAGTTTATTTTTAGTTTTTTGAGGAACCTCCATACTGTTTTCCATAATGCTGTACTAATTCACATTCCCACCAACAAAAGGGAAAATGGTTCCCTTTTCTCCACATCCTTGTCAACACCTGTTACCCCTTGTCTTTCTGATAACAGCCATTCTAACAGGTGTGAGGTGATAGCTCATTGTGATTTTAATTTGCGTTTTCCCCATGATTAGTGATGATAATTTTTTTTTCGTTTACCCATTGGCTGTTTGTATGTCTTCTTTAAGAAGTGTCTATTCATATCCTTCCCCTATTTTTTAATTGGGTTGTTTTCTTGCTATTGAGTTGGGTTCTTTATATATTTTGGATATTAACCCATTATCAGATGTATGGTTTGAAAATATTTTCTCCATTCTACAGATTGTCACTTCACTCAGTTGATTGTTTCCTTTGCTGTGCAGAAGTGTTTCATTTTCATGTAATCTCATCTACATCTTTTGCTTTTGTTGCCTATGTTTTTGGGGTCATAGCCAAAAAGTTATTGCCCAGACCAGTGGAGCTCATGGAGCTTTTCCCCTCTGTTTTCTTCTAGTAGTTATACAGTTTCAGATATATTTAAGTCTTTAATCCATTTTGATTTTTGTATATGGAGTGAAATAAAGATCTAATTTTATTCTTTTGCTTGTGGACATCCAGTTTTCCCCACACCATTTGTTGAAGAGATGTCCTTTCTCCATTGTGTGTTCTTGGTACCTTCACCAAAAATCAGCTGGTTATAACTGCATGAATTTATTTCTCGGCTTTCTAATCCGTTCCATTGGTCTATGTGTCTGTTTTTATGCCACTACCATGCTATTTGGATTACTAAGCTTTGTGATATATTTTGAAGCCAACTAGTGTGATGCCTCCAGCTTTGGTTTTGTTGCTCAAGATTGTTTTGACCATGCAGTGTCTTTTGTGTTTCCATATGAATTTTTTTTTTTCAAGATGGAGTTTCGCTCTTGTTGCCCAGGCTGGAGTGCAATGGCACAATCTTGGCTCACTGCAATGGTTGCACTCCGCCTCCTGGGTTCAAGAGATTCGCCTGCCTCAACCTCCCAAGCAGCTGGGACTACAGGCACCTGCCACCATGCCTGACTAATTTTTTGTATTTTTAGTAGAGACAGGGTTTCACCATGTTGACCTGGCTGGTCTCAAACTCCTGACCTCAGGTGATCCACCTGCCTTGGCCTCCCAAAGTGCTGGGATTACAGGCGAGAGCCACTGTGCCCGATCTGGTTCCATATGAATTTTACCATCATTTTTTATATTCCTGTGAAAAATGTTGCTGGGAACAGGCCCCCCAAATCTGGCCATAAACAGGCCATGAGAAACTGGCCATAAACTAAATCTCTGCAGCACTGTGACATGCTTGTGATGGCTATGACACTCACGCTGGAAGTTGTTGGTTTACTGGAATGAGGGCAAGGAACACCTGGTCCACCCAGGGCAGAAAACCACTCAAGGCGTTCCTAAACCACAAACAATAGCATGAGTGATCTGTGCCTTCAGAATATGTTCCTGCTGCAGATAACAAGCCAGAGTCTGTCCCTTTGTTTCCCATAAGGAATGCTTTTAGCTAATCTATAATCTATAGAAATAATCCTTATCACTGTCTTGCTGTCAATAAATATGTGGGTCAAACGCTGTTCGTGGCTCTCAGCTCTGAAGGCTGTCAGCCCCCGATCCACTTTGCACTCTATTTCTGTGTCTTTGTCTTCATTCCTCTAGCACTGCTGGGTTGAGGTCTCCACGACCGAGCTGGCCTTGGTAAGTGGCGCCCAAATGTGGGGCTCGAACCTGGGTCGAAGTGCTGCCGGAGCAACGGTTGGAGAATGTGGACCTACACTGGAGGACACCCGAGTACTCTTAAGCAATCCCTGTGGTGAGTAAGGGGAGCTCGGAAGCATCCGGGTAACAATGGGACAAGGGTCCAGCAGGCAGGAGGCTTATATGAGTCTGCTTCGGCAGCTGCTCAGAAAGGAGGAGTGAAGGTTAGCACTAGCCAACTTATGCAGCTTTTTAGTGCAGTAGAGAAATATTGCCCCTGGTTTCTGGACTGAGGAACTATGAATGTAGAGGTCTGGGAGAAGGTAGGCAGCTCACTGAAAAAGGCATATAAGGATAGTGCTGAGGATATTCCTATAACTGTCTGGTCAGTGTGGGCTCTGGTTCGTTCCACCTTGGAGCCTTTTCACACAGATGACAAGGAGGAGGAATCAGAGGAAGAAGGAGAGTATAACGAAGTAACAGAAGAGGTGACAGAGCAGGTTTGCTTGCCAGCTAAAGCGGCAAAGGAGGGAGAGGTTTGTCCCTACCCCTCTACACCGCCTCATTATTTTGAAGAAAAAGAGTGGCCTGACCCTCAGATCTTTCTTTTCCAGAGGACACTGGACGAAAAGCAGTTGCCCAAGTGACTATTCGAGCAGCGCCTCGAGTGACCACTCTCAGTTCTATTCAGGCAGGAATCCAGCAAGCTAGACGAGAGGGTGATATGAATGCTTGGCAGTTCCCTGTTAGAACACACCCACCTGATCAACAGGGGAATATTATAGCTACATTTGAGCCTTTTCCTTTTAAAGTACTTAAATAATTTAAACAAGCTAGTAATCAATATGGACCAGTTTCTCCTTTTGTGATGTGACAGTTAAAGAATGTTGCTGTCTCCAGTGGGATGATTTCTACTGACTGGGATGCTTTTACTCGAGCTTGCCTGACTCTGCTCAGTTCTTACGATTTAAAACTTGGTGGGCAGATGAAGCTTCCATTCAGGCTGCTTGCAACGCCCAGGCCCAACCTCAAATTAATATAACTGCAGACCAACTTTTGGGGGTCGGCAGCTGGGTTGGTTTAGATGCATAAGTGGTAATGCAGGATGATGCCATAGAGCAGCTTAGAGGAGTGTGCATTAGAGCATGGGAAAAATCACTTCAGGAGGAGAACAATACCCTTCCTTTAGTGCTATAAAATAGGGACCAAAAGAACCATATGCAGATTTTATAGTTCGGTTACAGGAGTCTCTTAAAAAGGTGATTGCAGATTCGGCTGCTCAGGATATAGTGTTGCGGTTACTAGCTTTCAACAATGCCAATCCTGAGTGCCAAGCCGCTCTGCGACCTATTAGAGGGAAAGCACATTTAGTTGATTATATTAAGGCCTGTGACAGTATTGGAGGTAGTCTGCATAAAGCTACTTTGTTGGCACAAGCTATGGCAGAACTGAGAGTGGGTAAAGGAAATACTGTGTTTCCTGGAGCTTGTTTTAACCATGGGAAGCATGGTCATATTAAAAAAATAGAGAAAGAATCAGCGAGTCAGGCTGCCAGATGGAGGAAAAAAGAAAACTGCTGAGTCTGAAATATGTCCAAAATGTAAAAAAGGAAAACATTGGGCTAATAAATGTCACTCTAAGTTTGATAAAGATGGGAACGTGATTTTGGGAAATGCCATGAGGGGCCTGTCCTGGGCCCCGTTCTAAACCAGGGCATTTCCAGCTCAGGCCATTCCCTCACCCCTGTACAATGTCTGTCCCCTGCTACAGCCGGTAGTGCCGCAGTAGATTTATGCTGCACAAAAGCTGTGAGCCTTCTGCCTGGGGAACCCCTGCAAAAAGTGCTAACAGGCGTCTGTGGACCCTTGCCAGCAGGGATGGTAGGATTGCTTCTAGGCAGGTCTCGTTTAAATTTAAAAGGAGTGCAAGTACATATAGGAGTCATTAAGATTACAATGGGGAAATTCAAATTGTTATAACTACTTCTGTTCCCTGGAAAGCAGAGCCAGGAGAGCATACAGCATAGCTCCTTGTTGTGCCGTATATGGAAATGGGGAAAAGTAAAATTAAATGAACAGGAGGATTTGGAAGCACAAATAAATAAGGCAAAGCAGCTTATTGGCTAAATCAAATTACTAATAAACGTCCTACCTGTGAAATAACTATTCAGGGAAAGAAATTTAAAGGATTGGTAGATACAGGAGTGGACATTTCAATCATTTTTCTACAGCACTGGCCGTCCGCGTGGACAATTCAACCCGTATCTTTAGAAGCAGCACTCCCTTTCCAGTGGCAAAATCTGTAAGGTTTCCTAGGGCTTCCATAATAAATTGCCACATGCTTGGTGGCTTAAAACAACAGAAATTGATTCTCTCATGGTCCTTGGGGCCAGAAGTTTGAAATCAAGGTTTTGGCAGGGTTATGCTCTGACAGCTCCATGAAGAATCCACTGTTGCCCCTTCCTGATTCTGCTGGCTGCCAGCAATCCTTGGTGTTCCTTGGGTTGAATCACCCCAACCTCTGCCTCCGTCTTTACATGGTCTTCTTTCTGTGCACCTGTTTGTCATCAAATCTCTCTCTTTGTGAGGAATCAGCCATTGGATTTAGGGCCCATCCTAATCCCGTATGACCTCATCTTAACCTCATTACATCTGCAAAGACTCTATTTTCAAATAAGTACCAGAGGTTAGGACTTTAACATATTTTGGCAGGAGTGGACATAATTCAACCCACAACAAAAATCTCTGGATCTTTGACATTCTGTTGCATCCTGCAGCTGACACTCTCCAATGACTGTTGTGATTTCTTGATGCCAACAGTTGGATGGATACAAACCCAGATACCACATGGCTTTTTGGTCAGTATCTCCAGAAGACTCCAACTTTTTCCTGCTAACGTGGACTCCCATTTCCCTGCCTGGTGCATATATTAACTATTTGACCTGACCAGAATCCCAGCTCCCAACTCTCCTGTTTTGTTTTGGCTTTTTTTGAGACAGGGTCTTGTCACCCAGGCTGGAGAGTAGAAGAGTGATCACAGCTCACTGCCACCTCAACCTCCTGGGCTCAAGTAATGCTCTTGCCTCAGCCTCTCAAAGCAGTGGGATTACAGGTGTAAGCCACCACACTGGCCCCAACTCTCTCTTCCTGATACAAGTAATTTTGGGCATCCTCCTTCCCACTCAGTGCAGCTGTGTGGGGCCTGCTTGTCAAGGTGCCTGTCCTCCCCTGGCCAAGATGGGCTGGGTGACTCAAGTTAGCCAATCAGACTCTTCCTACTAGGGCTTTGACACCTAGGTAGAGTAGCAAGATGATGGAAAAATAGATGGGATGAATTCAACTTTGTTTTGTGGTCCCCCAGGCCACTCTCAGGTTTGATGATTCGCTAGGAGGGCTCACAGAATTTGGAAAAACTGTTATGCTCACAGTTACAGTTTATTATGGGAAAAGAATACATCAAAGACTTGCCAGAACTTGGGGATAAAAAGAATACAGATTAAAATCAGCATAGGAAAAAGGGACAATAGGGCAGAGTTCAGGAGAAACCGGGGTGAACTTCCAGGAGTTCTCTGCGGAGTCACATGGACAACACTTAGTCCTCCCAGCAACAACGTGTGACAATAATACACACCAATTACTGTCAATGAGGAAAGCTTACCCAAGTCTTGGTGCCAGGATTTTTATTGGAGGTCAGTCATATAGGCATGGAGCATCTACATGACTGGCCTTAGCAATTTATTCCTCAGTTCCCCACCCATCCAGAAGTCAAAGAGATACAGCATGGCCCAGGGCTCCCAGCAAATAAAAACAGGTCTTCCCCATAAACCACACTGTTAGCATAAGGTGTAGGCAGGGCTGAAGTCTCAGGTCACAAAGGTGCTCTCCTCAGGCATATTCCAAAGACCCAGAAGTTAGCTCCCCAGAGCTGGTCAGGGGCCAGTCCTTCCTTCGGAATGTTCAGGATTTGAGCAACCTAGTTCCACCGAGGTAACCCTTTTTAGCACACACTTGCTCCCTGATACTCAACATTTCATGAGAGGAGAGGGAGTTTCTACTCCACTCCTCAGAATGGAGATTGGTGGGGAAAACATATATCTTATGCGAGGCCGACTGACTTACCTGATTGTGGAGGTTTGAGGGACAAAACTGAGCTTGTCCTGTTCAGTGCTCCCTTAGGATCCCCGCGCAGCACTTCCGGCTTGCTCTCCGCCATGTTGGATCTCAGGCTTGCACACCCATTCCTGCCCGGGGGCTTTTGTCCTCGCTGTTCCCTCTGCCTGGAATGCTCTTCCTCGTGCATCTCCGTGGCCTCCTCCACTTCATTCGGGCTTCACTAAACTTCATAGGGGCCAGAATACATTTTCCTCATTATCACATTGGCTGGTTGTTCCTAATAGAAAAATAGGTCAGCAGCCTCGCTGGAGGGAACTGGGCAGCCGTGAGTCAGGGGAAGAGCATGTGTCTGCCACAGCTCGGCTCTCACTGCTGCTGTAGAGCCACTGCCTCCAGGCCCAGCTGCAGCTGCTTCTGTTAATTAATCTTCTTTCATTTGTTGGGGCTGAACAAGACCCACCCACAGACCACATGGGCCTGAGGATTAAATTTTGTATGGTGCAGAAAAATTTCAAATGGGAACTAACATGTCTGTGACAAGTGGAATTGTGGCAGAAAAGGCTAGCTGTAGCCCATATCCATTCTCCCCTTCAACTCTTAGTGTTATAACAAAAGAATCCTTGAGTTTTAACAAGGTTGGCAGAGGCTCAATGTTGCGGAGAAAAGAGGCTACAGACTCGTAATTCAAAAGCAAGACTTTGCTGTTTATAAGAACTGCATCGGCCGGGCACGGTGCCTCACGCCTGTAATCCCAGCACTTTGGGAGGCCGAGGCAAGTGGATCACCTGAGGTCGGAAGTTCGAGACCAGCCTGACCAACGTGGAGAAAATGGTGAAACCCCATCCCTCCTAAAAATACAGAATTAGCCAGGTGTGGTGGCGCATACCTGTAATCCCAGCTATTTAGGAGGCTGAGGCAGGAGAATCGCTTGAATCTGGGAGGCAGAGGTTGTGGTGAGCCAAGATTGCACCATTGCACTCCAGCCTGGGCAACAAGAGTGAAACTTCATCAGAAAGAAAGAGAGAGGGAGGGAGGGAGGGAGGAAAGAAGGAAGGAAGGAAGGAAGGAAGGAAGGAAGGAAGGAAAGAAAGAAAAGCTGGGAGGGAGGGAGGGAGGAAAGAAAGAAAGAGAAAGAAAGAGAGAGAAAGAAAGAAATTTGGGACTTTTGGGGTTGGCAGTATTTAGATGAGATTTTGTAACTGGAGTTGATAATGGAATGGGTTCAGACTTTTAGGGGTGTTGGAATAGGGTGACTATACATTGCAAGTGGGAAGAACATGAATTTATGGGAACCAGAGGGTAGACTATTGTGGGTAGATTCATATCTCTGAAAAAGATCTGTTGAAGTCCTGTTGTTTTAAGCCACCAACTTTGTGTTGATTTGCTATGGCAGCCACAGGAAACTACTCCAGCGGTCAATGTGAAAGGGTTGTCAGTGGGAGGCCAGGCTCCAGCAGGGGCCAGCATGCAGGAGGCTGTTCCCCAAAAGGGCTGTATGTGCAAAGTGGCCCCCAAATGCCAGAGGAGCCAAAAAACCAAAGAATGGGGCAGACATTCAGTTGTCGGTATAGGGTGATTTATTAGGGGCATTTATAGACAGAAGCGTGGTCTTGGGTGGCCACAAGACAGGTAGATCCTCACGTTGCAATCCCCCAGATCCAGGTCTTATGTCTTGGGGAAGAAGCATAGTGCTCTGGAAGGAGTGTGTAGGTGGCTATGGGCATCACAGCCTATGATGTATGCAACAACATCCAGGGTTGTTTTGGAAGAAAGGTGAATCTTACAGTGACTAGGTGTTTCTACGTAAAAAGCAATATGTCAACCCCACATTTTGGAGGCATTCCTGGACTCAAGAGTTAGTCAGAAGTGGCATGGTGGATTAGTATTTAAAAGAGTCATGCTTGACCCCACAGATGGAAGTTCTTAGATAAGAACTTATAAGAGCAAGGCAGGCCGGGCATGGTGGCTCACACCTGTAATCCCAGCACTTTGGAAGGCCAAGGAGGGCAGACCACAAGGTCAGGAGTTTGGGACCAGCCTGGCCATTATGGTGTAACCCTGTCTCTCCTAAAAGTACAAAAAAAAATTAGCCAGGCGTGGTGATGCACACCTGTAATCCCAGCTACTCAGGAGGCTGAGGCAGGACAATTGCTTGAACCTGGGAGGCAGAGGTTGCGGTGAGCCGAGAGCCGAGATCGCGCCACTGCCCTCCAGCCTGGGCGACAGAGGGGGAC
The DNA here is from genome assembly GCF_000001405.40 of Homo sapiens. NCBI lineage: Eukaryota > Metazoa > Chordata > Mammalia > Primates > Hominidae > Homo > Homo sapiens. The sequence goes on along the minus strand of NC_000017.11, from coordinate 21,073,729 downwards.
TCCGTCTCAAAAAAAAAAAAAAGCAAGGCAAAGGTCTCAGTCCTAAAGAGCCCTGGTCCTGGGGTGCCACAAACTGCTGTGGCTCACAGATGAAAATGAGGCCAGGCATGGTGGCTCACACCTGTAATCCCAGCACTTTGACAGGCCGAGGTAGGAGGATTGATTGAGGCCAGAAGTTTGACACCAGCCTGGGCAAAATAGCAAGACCCCATCTCTACAAAAAATTGTAAAAATTAGCCAGGCATGGTGTTGCACACTTACAGTCCCAGCTACTTGGGAGGCTGAGGTGGGAGGATGACTTAAGCCCTGGAGATTGAGGCTGCAGTGAGCTGTGATTGTACCACTGCACTCCAGCCTGGGTGACAGAGCAAGACCTCATCTAAAAAAAAAATCCAGGTAACTATCAGTGTCTCTTGTGGCTGGTTGCTGCCACGTGACTAAATTCTGACCAGTGAAGATTTGAGCACAAGCATCCTGTGTTCCTTTTAAGTGCGTATCCTTTAAGGGGCAGGATGGTACCTTCCCTGCCCTTCCCCCTTCTCTCTTCCTGGTGGCTGTGGCTGGAGGTGGCAGTGTGCAGGGACACCATGCAGACCTGGCCGTACTGCAGGGATGATGGAGGCGGCCTGAGTTCTGGGCACTGGCACTGCCTCCCTGACGCCAGACTTCTTATACCCAAGGCGGCTCTGAAATAAGCATCTGTCTTGTTCAAGCTCTCTTGTTTTGTGTTGCTATTACACGTGGCCAAAGCTATATTCTAACATATGTAGAGACTTGGAATTGGGGTGTGAAATCCAGGCCAGATGGCCTAGGGAGTAGGGGATGTGGGGAGTGGGGGAGCTTAGCTGAGGTGGGCGGGACAGGCAGGGCGGGCTTGGAGCCCAGGCATCGGTCACATGGAAGGGACGGCCGCAGGAGCTGCCGGAGTGGCTTTAGCTGTGGGCCTAGACACAGTTCTTGGGCTGAGTGGGACAGGAGCTGGGAGCAGGGGTGCCTCGGGCCTGGATCTCAGGTCGCCCTGCCACCCTGCATCAGTCCTAGGGCCTCACAGGTCCTGAGGTCCTGTTTTTCAAACCACAAGTCAGGACTCAGTAATGAGTCAGGAAATGAATTTAGAGACAAATTTTAGTGAAATAGAGGAGAAGATACCAGAGAGTATTATACCTAGCAGGCATAAGCATTGCTTGGTGACATCATTATTTCAGTTATATGCAGTCGGCCCTCTTTATCCATGAGTTCCACATCCTCAGATTCAACCAAGGGCAGATGGAAAACCTTTGAAAACGACAATAATAAAAAATAACATTTCAACAATAAAAAATAATTCAAATAAAAATACAGTATAACAACTATTTCCACATCATTTACACTGTATGAGGTACTGTAGGTAACCTAGAGATGATTTAAAGGACACGAGAAAGCCGGGCATGGTGGCTCACACTTGTAATCCCAATACTTTGGGAAGCCGAGGCGGGCAAATCACCTTAGGTCAGGAATTCGAGACCAGCCTGGCCAACATCACGAAACCCCATCTCCACTAAAAATACAAAAATTAGCCAGGCATGGTGGAGCAGCCTGTAGTCCCAGCTACTCGGGAGGCTGAGGCAGGAGAATTGCTTGAACCCAGGAGGCAGAGGTTGCAGTGAGCCGAGATTGTGCCACTGTACTCCAGCTTGGGGGACAGACAGAGTGAGACTCCATATCAAAAACAAAACAAAACAAAACAAACAAACAAAACTACACAGGAGGATGTGCATGAGTTATATGCAAATACTATGCCATTTTATATCAGGGACTTGAGCCTCCCAGATTTAGGCATGTGCAGGGGTCCTGGAACCAATTTCCAACAGATTTCAAGGGACAGCGGCACACTCGTGTATGTATGTGGGTATATGTGTGCATGTAAATGTGTGCACGTGTGTGCACGTATGTGTGTACCATGTTGCTAAGAAAATGTATTCCTGGCCAGGCACGATGGCTCACGCCTGTAATCCCAGCTTGGGAGGCCGAGGCGGGCGGTTCACCTGAGGTCAGGAGTTCGCGACCAGCCTGACCAACATGGAGAAACCCTGCCTCCACTAAAAATACAAAATTAGCCGGGTGTGGTGGCGCATGTCTATAATTCCAGCTACTCGGGAGGCTGAGGCAGGAGAATCGCTTGAACTTTGGGGGGCAGAGCTTGTGGTGAGTTGAGATCATGCCATTGCACTCCAGCCTGGGCAACAAGAGTGAAACTCTGTCTCAAAAAAAAAAAAAAAGAAAATGTATTCCTTTCTACAGATCTGGGCCAACAGTGGAAGCCACTGATGTGCAACTAAACCAAATGCTTGACTTCCCCAGAAGTGTAGCCCTCATCAAAGGACAGATGTATTCACAGGAGTAAGGACATGCCCTCCTGCATACAAATCCCAGCACTGCACCTGTCAGTTTTGGGCATTGGACCTCTCCAGGTCTTGATTTCTTCATCTGCATCATGGGATAATCAGAGTACCTACTTTGTGGCATTAATTACTGAGGAATGGATGAAAGAACATCTGCAGATCGGGGGGCGGTGGCTCACGCCTGTAATCCCAACACTTTGGGAAGCCGAGACAGGTGGATCATGAGGTGAAAAGACTGAGACCGTACTGGCCAACGTGGTGAAACACTGTCTCTACTAAAAATACAAAAATTAGCTGGGCATGGTAGTGCGCGCCTGTAATCACAGCTATTTGGGAGGCTGAGGCAGGATAATTGCTTGAACCGGGAGTCGGAGGTTGCAGTGAGCCGAAATCGTGCCACTGCAGTCCAGCCTGATAACAGAGGGAGACTCCATCTCAAACAAAAAATAATAATAAAAAATAAATAAAATGGCTGGGCGTGGTGGCTTACGCCTATAATCCCAGCACTTTGGGAGGCTGGGGTGGGTGGATCATGAGGGCAGGAGATCGAGACCATCCTGGCTAACATGGTGAAACCCCATCTCTACTAAAAATGCAAAAAGTTAGCCCAGCGTGGTGGCGGGTGCCTGTAGTCCCAGCTACTTGGGAGGCTGAGGCAGGAGAATGGTGTGAACCCGGGAGGCGGAGCTTGCAGTGAGCTGAGATCACTGCCACTGCACTCCATCCAGCCTGGGCAACAGAGAGAGACTCCGTTTAAAAAAAAAAATCTGCAAAGTGCTCAGCATGGGATGTGGCACATAGTTAGCCTGTCTTCTGCTTCCTTCTCATTATCATTACCAATCACAGTAATAGTAATTAGTATTACATTTATTGGACTTAAAACTTGTGGGGAAGAAGTATTATTATTATCATTGTCAGTTACACCTGAAGCAGATAGGGAACAGCATTTCCCCTCTAGAGACTAAGAATGCAAAATACATTTATCTAAAACTACAACTCTAGGTTTGGGATCAAAGGTTTGTATTGATGTTAACCCAATTGATCTAATGCCCTCTGCTGCAACATTTTGAATTTGGGTTTGACCTGGAGGCTTAGAGGGCTCACTCGTCAACCCCCTTGTTTCATAGGAGGCCCAGACAAGGGAAGAGATTTTCCCAGCCCAGGAGTTGAGGGCCTAGCACAGCCAAGAAGAGATCTGTGTCCTGAGGCCCTTCTCGAAGCCCTCTCTGGAGGCCTTTCCCACCCCAGCCCTGCAGTGGCTGCCGTCCATGTTCTTGGTCCTGACCCGTGGCATTAGCAACACAGCGCATTTGCTGTCCTCATGCACACAGCCACTCCCTCCTCCCCTCCTGGGGCCCCATGACCAGGCTGTGGGCGGTCTGTGCCCTTGGGTCTTATTCCAGGGCCTTGCCCAAAAGCATCACCCAGGCCCACTCGTAGCCTCCCGAATTCATTCATTCTGTTTGCTTCTCTTGGTCATTTGCAGTCAGTCACTCTCGAGGGAACAAAATGACAAAGAGTTGGTGAACAACCGCCGGGTGCCCTTGCTCCCTTGCATTTGGTGGCTAGTCCATCTGGCTAGTGTCTCTGCGGGGTCCCACCTGGCCTTCTGTTGGCTGGCTGGTCCAGAAGGAACATGTGATCGTTTCCTGTGGCTGCTGTAACAAACTACCACAAGCTTAGTGGCTTAACACATTTGATCTCAGGAGAATGTTTCTGGAAGTCAGAAGCCTGAAATAAGCTTCACAGGACAAAAGTCAGGGTGTGGGCAGAGCTGGTTCCTTCCAGAGGCTCGAGGGGAGAACAAGTGTCCTTGTGTCTTTCAGCTTCCAGTGGCCACCTGTGTTCCTGACCAAGCCCTATTCTCACGTCACTACATCCCCTCTGTTGTCACGTCTCCTGCTGCTGCTCCTCCTGCCCCCCTCTTATGAGGCCCTGTGATTACATTGAACCCACCTGGTTGGTCCAGGGTCATCTCCCATACAGGCACAGTGGCTCACGCCTGTAATCCACAGGTCCTGGGGATTAGGATGTGGTCCTTCCGTAACCATTATTCAGCCTGCCACTTTGGAGGGCTTTGGAATTCCAGGAACTGGGGGAGAACTTTTGCTCCGCCCCTTACCAATCCTGCTGTCTGAACTCCTTCCTCAAAAAGGAAGCAGAAATATTAACATCTAACATTTAACTAAGTGAAATGAAATGATGCTGGGGGCAGTGGCTCACACCTGTTATCCCAGCGGTTTGGGAGGCCGAGGCGGGAGGATCGTTGAGGCCAGGAGTTTGAGATTAGCCTGGGCAACATAACAAGACCCTATCTCTAGAACTCTACCAAAAAAAAAAAAAAAAAAAGATTAGCTGGGCATGGTGGCACACATTGTGTAGTCCCAGATTCTTAGGAGGCTGAAGTAGAAGGACCACTGGAACCTGGGAGTTTGAGACTGCAGTGAGCTGCGATCAGGCCACTGATTCCAGCCTGGGCAACAGAGCAAGACCCTACCTCAAAAAAAAAAAAAACCACAAGAGAAAAGATGACTCTGGATTCAGGGGACCAGAGGAGGAGGCAGGGTCACTGTCTGTGGACCTGGCAATGGATGTGGAGAGGAAAGGAAGTAGATATTCTCTGGGGGAGGAATGATCAGGACTTCGTGATGGATAAGAAGAAATAAATGTATGAAAGCCGGGAGAGCTCCTAGGGCAGAGAGAACCATGTGAGGGGGTAAAGGGGAAGCAGTTACAAGTATTTACTGAGGGGCAGGTACCTGCCTATAAAGGGAGAGAGAAAACAAACATGATAAAAGTAATTTAATGTGGACAAATAGAAAGCAGGTTAAAGGGAATTTGAATGCTGAATAAGGAGGTGGTGCAAGTTTAATAGGATGGTCAAGAAGAGCTCACCGAGAAAGGGACCTTTGAGCAACTTGGCAAGGGAGCATGCTGTATCCAGGGAAGAGCCTTCCAGACCACAGGCATCAGGTGCAAAGGTCCTGGGGCAGGAATGTTCCTGGTGTTTTGGAGGAGCTGGAAGGAGTGGGAGTGTGGCTGGAGTGGACCAGAAAGGGGACAGTGGAGGAGATGGCCATGGAGGAATGGCTGGTTGTAAGGGCCTGGGTTGTGTGTGTGTGTGTGTGTGTGTGTGTGTGTGTGTGTGTGTGTATGGTAAAATATGCAAAACATAATATGTTTATCATTTTAACCACTTTTTATAATTTTTTTTTTTGAGACAGAGTCTCACCCTGTCACCCAGTCTGGAGTGCAATGGTGTGATCTTGGCTCACTGCAACCTCCACCTCCCGGGTTCAGGTGCTTCTCCTGCCTCAGCATCCTGAGTAGCTGGGATTACAGGCGTGTGCCACCACGCCTGGCTAATTTTTTGTATCTTTAGTAGAGACAGGGTTTCACCATGTTGGCCAGGCTGGTCTCGAACTCCTGACCTCGTGATCTGCCCACCTCGGCCTTACAAAGTGCTGGGATTACAAGCGTGAGCCACCGCGCCCCGCCCCACTTTTTATAATTTTAATGCAATACTTTAAAACTTTTTTTATTGAGGTGAAATTCACAGAATATAAAATTAAGCATTTTAAAGTGTACAATTCAGTGACATTAAGTGCATCCATAATGTTATGCAGTCACCACCTCTATCCAGACACTTTCATCACCCCATAAGGAAATGTCGTTCCCACTAAGCAGTGACTGCCCCTTTGCTCCTCCCCTGGTCCCTGACAACTACTAATTTACTTCCTATTCTGGACATGTCATATACGTGGAATTGTACAATGTGTGGCCTTCTGTCTGGCTTCTTTCACTCAGCATCATGTTTTTGAGGTTCATCCATGTCGTAGCAGGCATCAGTACTTCATTCCTTTTTATGGCAGAATGATATTCTGTTTTATGGATATACCACATTTTGCTGATCCATTCATCTGTTGACAGATGTTTGGGTTTTTTTTTTTTTTTTCAGATGGAGTTTCACTCTTCTTGCCCAGGCTGGAGTGCAATGGCGCGATCTTGGCTCACTGCAACCTCCCCCTCCCGGGTTCAAGCAATTCTCCTGCCTCAGCCTCTGGAGTAGCTGGGATTACAGGCATGTGCCACCACGCCCGGCTAATTTTGTATATTTAGTGGAGACGGGGTTTCTCCATGTTGATCAGGCTGGTCTGGAACTCCAGACCTCAGGTGATCCGCCCGCCTTGGCCTCCCAAAGTGCTGGGATCACAGGTGTGAGCCACCGTACCCGGCCTGGGTTGTTTTAAGGACTTTGCTTTGATGCTGAGTGAGGTAGGGGACATTGCAGGGTTCTGAACAGGGAGGGGACAGGACGTGGCTGAAGTGAAGAAGAGAAAGGGAAGGAGATCTGTTAGGTTTTAGAGTAGTCATCTAGGTAACAGATAAAGGTGGCTTGGCCCAGCATGGCAGCAGCGAGGGTGCTGGATCTATTTCAAGATGCACTGGGATTAGCTGGTGGGCAACACAGACACCTGCAGGGAGAGCCTCCCGCATGCTCTGCGAGCCCCTCCACTCTGTGGCCGGCTCTGCTTACTGTCCTGCCAGCTCCTTAATCTGCTGGGGTGCCATCTGGGTGCAGAGGAGGGTGCAACCAAGGGAGAATGGAAAACAGAGCCCTTTATCATGTGAACAGGAAAAATCTGTGACCTGCAAGGCACATCTGGAGGATAGAAATGAAAGCCAAGTGCTCCATCTCCATTCTGGAGATCAGCTGAGTCATCTGGCCTAAGACTGGTGGCCAGACCTCTCCCTCCTCTCTCCTCTGCACCACAAAGCCGCCCCGAGCTGGGTAGACCCTGGAAACTCATGACACAGCATGCATCTGTTCAGCTGCCATCACCCTTGGGCCTCAGGCATCCTGATGCCAGAGAGCAAGGCACCCAATGTAGGGCTTTACCTCTGTGGTTCCCTGGCAGAAGAGAGTAAGAGCTGCCCCCTCACCCTGGTGGCACATCTGAGGCCACTGGTGCCTTGAAAACACCAAGGAGTGGCGTGCTGTCTGGTTCTTGCTCCTCACAGAGCAAGACTTTCAGTGTCTGAATAGCCAAGTGTCAAGCACATATTGAGAATGCCTGGCAGAAGGGGGCTGGAAATTTCTGGGGATCTGACTTCTTGGCCCCTCCAAAGCCCCCAGTATGGACAACTCTGGTGCTAGAGCCCCGGGAAGTGTGAAGTTGGCCAAGTTTGGCCTTGACAGATGCTTTCCCTACTCCTGGGTTAGGAGGCAGCTACTCAGCTCCCCTCCCTGTCTTGCCTGAGGCTTTTGGGGTTACCTTCCATAGGCAGTTTATCTTTATTATGAGACAAATATGACATTAACAGGAAGTATGAAAATCAGAAAGAACCCATCTCTGGCCCACTGTGTGGCAGAGCAGCAGGCACACTGGGAAGAACTGGTGTTGGGGATGTGACATTGTATGAGCTTGGACAGGTTGTCTGATTTGCCTGGTCCAGATCTCCTCGTCTGTAAAGTGGGGTTAATGACCGCCCCCCGACCTGTGGAATGCTGCATCTCGCACACCCGACATGATGCCTGGCACACAGTGCTCGCTCAGTCCATGCTGTCACGGTGCTGAGGAGGATGCTGGTGTCCATAGGATTCCTCCCAGCTTGTGTCCATGGACTTCTGCATCGTGTGGTGCATGTGATGATTGGGACAAATGTATTAAGGGAGGAGACCACCCCTCATATTGTCTTATGCCCAATTTTTGCCTCCAAAGAAAGACGAAGTAAAAACTGAAAGGCAAAAATGAAATCCACAAGCAGACAGCCTGGCGCCACACCGTGGGCCTGGTAGTTACAGATGGACCCCTGACCTAATCGGTTATTTGCATAAAAAAGCACTGTGAAGACCCCTGTCCTGTTCTGTTCCATTCTAATTACCGGTGTATGCAGCCCCCAGTCACGTACCCCCTGCTTGCTCAATCGATCACGACCCTCTCACGCGGACCCCCTTAGAGTTGTGAGCCCTTAAAAGGGACAGGAATTGCTCACTCAGAGAGCTCAGCTCTTGAGATAGGAGTCTTGTCAATGCTCCTGGCTGAATAAACCCCTTCCTTCTTTAACTCGGTGTCTGAGGGGTTTTGTCTGTGTCTCTTCCTGCTGCAGTATGACTCATGTTACCATGTGCCAGATTGCCCTAAATTCTCTTTTTGTTTGTTTGTTTGTTTTTTGGAGGCAGAGTCTCACTCTATGGTCTAGGCTGGAGTGCAGTGGCATGATGTTGGCTCACTGCAACCTCTGCCTCTGGGTTCAAGCTGTTCTCCTGCCTCAGCCTCCCAAGTAGCTGGGACTACAGGGGCATGCCACCATGCCTGGCTAATTTATTAATTTTTATTTTTGTAGAGATGGGTTTCGCCATCTTGCTCAGGCTGGTCTCAAACTCCTGGGCTCAAGTGATCCACCCGCCTCAGCCTCCCAAAGTGCTGGGATTACAGGCATGAGCCACCACACCCAGACTGCCCTAAATTCTTTACTCTTTGAAACTCATTTAATCTTTATAACAGCCCCATAATGTGGATATTGTCATTACCCCATGTTACAAATTAGGAAACTGAGGCAGCAACTTGCTCAAAGTCACATGCCTGTAAGCACTGCAGACAGAATTGGAACCTAGGCAGTCTGGTCCCAGACCTAGGCTCTTTTATTTATTTATTTATTTTTTTATTAAGTCTTGCTCTGTCACCCAGGCTGGGGTGCAGTGGCGCAATTTTGAGACTAAGTCTCGCTCTGTTGCCCAAGCAGGGATGCAGTGGCGTGATCTTGGCTCACTGCAACCTCTGCTTACTGGGTTCAAACTATTCTCATGCCTCAGCCTCCTGAATAGCTGGACTTACAGCCATGCACCACCATGCCTGGCTAATTTTTGTATTTTTAGTAGAGACGGGGTTTCGCCATGTTGGCCAGGCTAGTCTCGAACTCCTGACCTTAAGTGATCCGCCCTCCTCAGCCTCCCAAAGTGCTGGGATTACAGGCATTAGCCTTTAATAATTACTACAGGGCCTGAAGCCATGTCCAGCCACTTTCTGACTTTAATCGTGACACAAGATGCTTTACTTTGTCCCCTTAGAGGCATGTATTCCATATTCCTAGCTATTTTAGAAATTATGTCTTCTGTGCTTTCTTTTATACAGAGGAGAATTCTAATAGCCAAACTATTTCAACAGGCCCTCGTGTGCTAGGGCCTTTCATTGAGTGAATATGCAAGGTTCTCTCATTAAGTAAAGATGAATTAGGAGCAAAACAACCAAATGATGAAGATGAATGAGACTGAGACAAGGACTGTGGCCAAAGCCCACATTCCACTGACTTCAGGATGTAGTCTCCTGCATTCTGTGGGGACGATACCCTCTGATGCTTGTATCCACTGTCACCTTGGGGAGGTGATTTGAGTTCCCAGAGGCTCCGTTTACCTGTCCACAAGAATGGGATGAAAGCACACACCTCACAGGATTATGGCAAGGGTCACAAGAGATCAGATGTGGAAAAGCCCTTTAACACCTACAAAGAGGCCGGGCGCAGTGGCTCACGCCTGTAATCCACACACTTTGGGAGGCCGAGGCAGGCAGATCACCTGAAGTCAAGAGTTTGAGACTAGCCTGATTAAAATGGTGAAACTCTGTCTCTACTGAAAATACAAAAATTAGCCGGGTGTGGTGGCGCACGCCTGTAGTTCCAACTGCTCGGAAGGCTGAGGCAGAAGAATTGCCTGAACCCAGGTGGCGGAGGTTTCAGTGAGCCGAGATTGCGCCACTGCACTCCAGCCTGGGCTGCAAGAGTGAAACTCCGTCTCAGAAACAACAACAACAACAGCAACAACAAAAACCTACAAAGAGTCATGCACATGGATGGTAATGGTATTTTTCTTCTCTACTCTTTTTTCCTTCTTCTTAGTGGAAAATATTACCCAACATGATATATGGCAATCTCTGCTTTGGCAGTTTGGAGGAATTAATGCAAAATAAATAATCTATTAAGACATTTGTGGGCTGGGCACAGTGGCTCACGCCTGTAATCCCAGCACTTTGGGAGGCCGAGGTGGGCAGATCGTGACGTCAGGAGTTTGAGAGCTTCCTGGCCAACATGGTGAAACCCCGTCTCTACTAAAAATACCAAAATTAGCCAGGTGTGGTGGCACACACCTGTAATTCCAGCTACTCAGGAGGCTGAGGCAGGAGAATCACTTGAACCCAGGAGGCAGAGGTTGCAGTGAGCCAAGATTGCACCATTGCACTCCAGCCTGGGTGACAGAGCAGGACTCCGTCTCAAAGAAAAAAAAGAAGACATTTGTGTCATCAGCACCACTGTTAAGAAAACTTATCCAAAGCTTGAAAATAAGGTAAACTGATTTTTAATTTCCTGCTAGACATTACAGCTTTGAGGGATATGCCTCTGCCTAGCCTACCATTTACTCCTGATTAGAACCCAGACATTTACAACTCTCTAAACTTAAAGATTAATGAGCAGACAACCAATAAGGTGCAGTGATTTTCCTTTGTCACCAGCAGAAAAGCCCACTCCAGAGCTGCATTTCCCTGGAGAATATGATTCTCAGAGCGTGGTGCTGGGCCAGCAGCAGCACTTGGGAATGTGGATTCTCAGGCCCCGCTCTGGACCTACAAAATCACAAACTCGGGGTGCAGCCAGGCACCCCAAGCTTCTTCTGTTGTGTGCTCTGGTTTGAGAAGGATTGTGGTGGAGCATTAACATTTTCCAGCTGATGAGCAAATATTATCTCAGTATTCCGTTTCCCATTACTGATTATAAAATTCCCTTTTCCTCATATCGTCTTTTGTCTTGTCTATGTCTTCCTGCTGGTTCCCTCACTAATGAGTTAAACACAATTTTCATGCCATGCTCACTACTCGTTTTTATGAGGATTATGTTTTTAACATTTTGAAAATTAGACTCTGACACCAACACTAAGGGAAATGCACTGAGTTTCTGTTTCTGGTTGTGCTTCCTGGTGGCTGCCGACAGGGCCTCTGTCACACTCCAGTGGCCTCCCAGCACCTAGTGAACAGCCACCCTCTGTTTGGGGAACGTTCCACATCAAGGGTCTCTCATCTTCAGGATGGGAAGGCCAGAAATTCACTTTCGCAGACTCCATTTCCTCAAGGGTACAACACATGATCAGGATCCACCACATGGGCGTGCCTGGGAGGGACCGCAGGAGACAGTGCAAACATGCTTCCCAGGCCCATTTTCTGGTGGAGGTAACTGGAGGGGTTCTCACTCTGTGGCCTCCTAGAATTTGGGTGGTTTCTTTGTCTTTTCATTTATTTATTTTAGAGATGAAGTCTTGTTGTGTTGCCCAGGCTGGTCTCAAACTCGTGACCTCAAGTGCTCCTCCTGCCTTGGCCTCCCAAAGTGTTGTTGATGGCAGCAGTGGGACATCCGGAGTGGCCACTGCCATCATGCCAGCTGCAGCAGGGAGGTACAGGCAGTGGTGGCAGGAGGCAGGAGTGGCTGCAGGAGCAGCAGTGGCAGTGGTGGGTCCCCTGTGCCCCATCTCAGAGGCAGCCAATGGCATCATCCCCACCCTCACATAGCCAGGCAGGACGCTCTCCCAGGCCCAGAGCCTCTGCTGTGGCTTCAACCTCGCTCCCCACCACATCCCGGGAGCCCGTGAGCACCGAGCCAAAGGCACAGCTGGGGCTTTCAGGGCCAGCCCTGAGAGCATCAGGTTCATTTGTGCGGGGTTGGCCAGGGTCGCCCTGCCACCTGCACCTCACCTGCCACCACTGCAGGGAAAACACAGAGAGGAGGTGAGCAGTCCTTGGAGCCCACCCCTGGGAGCCCTCCAAAGCCGGCCACCCTGGGAGCCACCAAGATGGGGCCAGGCTGAGTTGCCTGCCAGTGGGGGAGCAGCACGGTAGAGCACGGAGGGACGGGCAGAAAGGGGCTCCTAGGCGGAGCTGGACCCAGGGCAGTGCCATGCTCCATGGTACTGGGAGGAGCCAGAAGCAGAAGAGCCCCACCCTCCCAAGCACAGCTGCAGCAGCCCAAGTCACAGCTAGGGACCCTGGCCTCCCTGTACTCTTGGGGGCTGGAAGCAGGCAGGAGCCCTACCCTCCTGGGGGCAGCTGCAGCTGCCCAAGCCGTGGCTGAGGACCCAGGCATCTCTGCACTCTTGGGGACCAGGATGGCCCCCCTTCCTCCCACATGCTGGGAGTGTCTGCTCCCACTATCTGGCCTCTCCCTGCTCCTGGCACCCACTACAATCTTGAAGCAAGGATGGGGCTGAGCCTGGGCACTGTCACAGACCAGCCAGGTGTGCACACACTCAGGGCAGCACTGACATACCAGCCCCCTGCCACCTCAGCCCCCTCTGGACTTGGGCACTGATGAGCATGGGAAGGAGGCTGACAGTGGGCTGAGGGCAGCTTGGTGCTGGTCTGCAGGCACCCTTTGGCATGAACAGCCTAGGCTTCATGAATGGCAGCAGGAGGCATACAGGCCCCAGGGTGGAAGGCGACGGGTCCCCAGTGAAGCCCCAACTTCAAGCTAGGGAGGGCCTGAAGCCCGGGGGCTGGGCTGCTGGTCCTGTGGACTGGAATGGGAACTTGTGGTGCTTTTTCTGGGCCTACCCATGGCTGCCCATGGACCAATTGGCATGTGCTTCCTCCCTTCTGAGGCCCATAAAAACCCTGGACTTAGCCAGACCAGAAGAGATGTCGGGACTGCCAGCTGTGGAGAGGAGCTACCCACTCTAAGGTCTCCTCTCTGCTGAGAGCAGGGAAATGACAAGACAACCTTCTCTGCGGGGGAGCTACCCTCTCTACTGAGCGCTAAGTACTCATCGGGACGACCTGCCTAGGAGAGAGGAGCTACCCTCTCTATTAAGGGCTGAACACTCACTGGGACACCCTGGCTACGGAGAGGAGCTACTCACCGTGGCTCTCCTCTGAGCTGTTCCATTGCTCAATAAAGCTCCTCTTCATCTTGCTCACCCTTCACTTATCTGAGTACTTCATTCTTCCCGGACACAGGACAAGAACTCAGGACCTGCTAAATTGCAGGGCTAAGAGAGCTGTAACACAAACAGGGCTGAAACACACCCCTTGCTTGCCATGTTATGGGTGACAAGGAGAAAAAAAGAGAGGAGAGAAGAGCTGTGGCCCTTTGGGGAACCCAGACCTAGGAGCTCCCTGAGCCAGGGTTGTGCCTCCCCCTTTATGGCTCTGTGGTTCCTGGTGTCTCCAAGCTTCCAGGCACCACTGTGTTCCTCAGTGTCAGCTGTGGAAGTTGCTTATGGTATGCCTGGTCTAGCCACAGCCTCGCAGGAAGCTGGTGCCTGTACAGGTGCCTAGAACTGCCTGCCTGGCCATAACCGGCGTGCCTGGCTGTGCACAGTGGCCGGGCCCCATGCTTGCTCACACACCCCTTGCCGCTCCTCACCTGGCTCACCCTTGGCAAGTATGAGATCTAAGCCAGTAGCGCAAGCTGAGCACAGCCTGCCAGGCCGAGTGGGCAGAATGAGCCCAAACAGGCCAGAGCAAAACTTGGACAAAGGTGCCACTGGCCACAGAGGTTTCTGGCTGCTGAAGTGACACTCAAGGATCCTGTAATATTGGGATTATAGGCTGAGTCACTGCACCCAGCAATGGTGTCCTTTTCTGCTTAAACAAAAGCATCTTTCTTTCTTTCTTTCTTTCTTTCTTTCTTTCTTTCTTTCTTTCTTTCTTTCTTTCTTTTTTGAGATGGAGTTTCACTCTGTCACCCAGGCTAGAGTACAGTGGCACAATCTTGGCTCACTGAAACCTCCATCTCCTGGGTTCAAGTGATTCTCCTGCCTCAGCCTCCCAAGTAGCTGGGATAATAGGTGCCCACCACCACGCCCAGCTAATTTTTTTTTTTAGACGGAGTCTTGCTCTGTGGCCCAGGCTGGAGTGCAGTGGCACAATCTCGGCTCACTGCAACCTCTGCCTCCCTGGTTCAAGCAATTCGCCTGGCTCAGCCTCCCAAGTAGCTGGGACTACAGGTGTGTGCCGCCATGCTCAGCTAATTTTTGTATTTTTAGTAGAGACGGGGTTTCATCATGTTGGCCAGGATGGTCTTGATCTCTTGACCTCGTGATCTGCCTGCCTCGACCTCTCAAAGTGCTGGGATTACAGGCGTGAGCCGCTGGGATTACAGGCATGAGCCACTGTGCCCAGCTTAATTTTTGTGTTTTTAGTAGATATGGGGTTTCACCACGTTGGCCAGGCTGGTCTCGAACTCCCAACCTCAGGTGATCCACCCGCCTCGGCCTCCCAAAGTGCTGGGATTACAGACATGAGCCACCATGCTTGGCTCAAGAACATATTTCTTACTATTTCTTACTGCAAACTTTGACCGATACAAATCAAGAAGAGTCTATTTGATATGGCATTCTCCTGCATGTCATTACAAAATTCAGGATAATTTATGTGGAAAGACAGTCAGGCAATAAGGATTATATCATGTCTAAGCAATGTCTGCTTTAGTAGAAATGAGGTCTGGGGGCCACCTCTCTGCTGTGTTTGACTGGCATGTGGCTTAGGGCTTGCCTCTCGGTACCCTGGTCCACCAGGTTCTTGGCAACTGCAGAGAACATGCATCTCCTCACTTTTGCCTCCCTCCCTGGGGGCCTGGAGAGCCCTATCCTGACTGCATGACTCACAGCTCCTTCAGCTTCTGTCTGCAGCTCCCCTTGTGGGAAAAAGACAGCCAGAGGTATATAATTTTAAAACAAGACTTTGTTGCTGCATTGCAAGAAGGAAGAAAGAGAATGCTCACTGGGCAGTCTGGGACTGTTTGACCCCCCAAGTTCTTTAACACATCAAAATGACAAACTTTCTTTTACATCTGAATATACGCAAGATATCTACCAGAAATCACTTTGGGATCTGCAGGGAAGAGAGGGCCCTGTGCACACAAAGAAATTTCAGGCCAGGCACAATGGCTCAACTTGAGTCCTGGTGTTTGAATAGCATGGGCAACACAGCAAGGTCTCGTCTCTCAAAAAACAACAAAAAAAAGCCAGGTGTGGTGGCTGTGGTTTGTGGTTCAAGCTACTCAGGAGGCTGAGGCAAGAGGATCACTTGAGCCCAGGAGGTAGAGGCTGCAGTGAGCTGTGATTGCGCCACTGCACTCCAGCTTTGGTGAAAGAATGAGATCTTGTCTCAAAAATAAATAAACAAATAATAAAGAAATTTCACAAGGCTGTCACAATTGACACGAAACCAAATGCAATGTGAGAGCCTTGGTTGGATTTTGAATGGAAACTAATAACAGCTATAGGAGACCCTTTGGTACAATTAGGGGGAAATCTGAATATGGATTATGAAATGCATTGTATATGAGGCAATGCGTATAGGGGAATGTATTGTATTGAAGTTAAATTTCCAGTATATGATCATTGCACCATGGTTTTGCAGAAGAAACTAGTTCTTCTAGCTTGTCTGCAAGTAACTCAAAGTGTGTCTGTAAGTAACTCAAACACAAAATTTAAATTAAAAATATACGTGGAGAGATAAGGTAAAGTGGTAAGAAAACTGGATTAAAAACGTATCGCTAACTAGAGAATCTAGATGAAGTGTCTATGGGTGCTCACTGCATAATTCTTATGACTTCTCTTTAGGTTAGAAAATAGTCAAAAATAAAGTAGAATTGGGGAGTTTGGTTAGAAGCTTATATGTGTAGGGTCTCCCAGTTTCTCCCACTTTCTTTCTGAGACACAGAGAGCACCTTGGCCACTCTGTGATCTGGCTGGCTGCATGCTTCCGCTGTGGGCTGGAACCTGAGCTGGGGCCCTGAACATTCCCAGGCACTGATAAACTTGCTTATGTTGTTGTCCAAAACACTTCAAGATCAAACATCTTGCTAAACATGTAGCAACTGACACCTTCCCCACGCCCCTCTCCAAGGGCTCCTCTCCGGGGGGCACCCATTTCCCTGAAGGCCACCTGAGGCCTGTGACAGCCCTATGTATGTAAGCGCCCTAATGCATGCTTTGCACTGGTCACCCTGGCGTTTGGTGCTTCTTTCTTTGGAATCCCATCCAGGGCTGGTCTGGGGTACCAGACCAGGGAACAAGGGAACAGGGGAACAAGGGTACCAGACAAGGGAACATCCTTGCCGCAACCCTAGCTGTGGGTTCAGCTGAGAGGATGCAATTTCTGACAAGATGACCATAAGTTGGTCACCCTTTCAGTTGGGTGGCTGGTGCTTATTTGAGGCTTCAGTGTGATATTCATTCTAACATTCCATAGAACAGTTTTTTAAAGGCTGAACATCTGGGCTGGGCACGGTGGCTCATGCCTGTAATCCCAGCACTTTGGGAGGCCGAGGTGGGCGGATCACGAGGTCAGGAGATCGAGACCATCCTGGCTAACACGGTGAAACCCCATCTCTACTAAATATACAAAAAATTAGCCAGGCGTGGTGGCGGGTGCCTGTAGTCCCAGCTACTCGGGAGGCTGAGGCAGGAGATTGGCGTGAACCCGGGAGGCGGAGCTTGCAGTGAGCCAAGATCGCGCCACTGCACTCCAGCTTGGGCGACAGAGCAAGACTCCGTCTCAAAAAAAAAAAAAAAAAAAGGCTGCACATCTGAAAAGAGATCTAAACGTGCATTTTTATAATAAGGGGGCTCTCCTTCAGCATCAGTTCAAAAGTTCAAAGGGGAGGGTGTTACTGAATGTCTCTACAGGAGTCACATGAGTTATTCACGGGAATAACACATTAGGGAACATTTTTGAGGTTTTTTTTTTTTTTTTTGGAGATGGTATTTCACTCTGTCACACAGGCTGGAGTGCAGTGGCGCGATCTCGGCTCACTACAGCCTCTGCCCTCTGGGTTCAAGCAATTCTCCTGCCTCAGCCTCCCAAGTAGCTGGGATTACAAGCACACGCCACCATGCCTGGCTAATTTTTTTGTATTTTTAGTAGAGGTGGGATTTCACTGTGTTGTCCAGGCTGGTCTCGACCTCCTGAGCTCAGGCAATCCACCTGCCTCAGTCTCCCAAAGTGCTAGGATTACAGGTGTGAGCCACCGTGCCCGGCCACATTTTTGAGTTTTAAACTTTTAGAAAACATGATGTAAAGTTCTGTGATGACAGAGGGGCAATTTTTCTCTTTGTTCTCTACTCTGTGGATGTAAAAATCCATTCCTGTATATTTGTTAGGCTATAAATGTACCATTTCCAGGACGGTAATACAACCTAACAGGGACAAACCTGTAGTCCCAAAACAATGGATTTCTTAGCATCCTTGCAGCAAGAGTGATCACTTACCTGAGGAACCTGGTGTCCTCTTCAAACAAAGGTAGAGGAAGGGTTTGTTTGTTTGTTTGTTTGTTTGTTTTTTGAGACGGAGTCTAGCTCTGTCTCCCAGGCTGGAGTGCAGTGGTGCGATCTCTGCTCACTGCAAGCTTCGCCTCCTGGGCTCACGCCATTCTGCCTCAGCCTCCCGAGTAGCTGGGACTACAGGCGCCCGCCACCATTCCCGGCTAATTTTTTGTATTTTAGTAGAGGGGTTTCACCGTGTTAGCCAGGATGGTCTCGATCTCCTGACCTCATGATCCACCCGCCTCAGCCTTCCAAAGTGCTGGGATTACAGGCATGAGCCACTGCGCCTGGCCACATAGAGGCAGGGTTCTTACAGGATCTGGAGGAGGGTGGAGGTTAGGTACAATATAAATGAATCAGTGTTGTGGATAGGCGTGAAGCAAGCAGGATTATGTGTGTAAAGCTATAAAGGGGTTAACATCAGAAGCCGACCCAGGGTCCTGTTCCCTTAGAAACTACAAAGTTAAAATAAATGTAGGATGTTGTGCTTAAAAAGCTCCTTTGTTTGTTTGTTTGTTTGTTTGTTTGTTTTTGAGACCGAGTCTTGCTCTGTTGCCCAGGCTGGAGTGCAGTGGTGCCATCTCAGCTCACTACCAGCTCTGCCTCCTGGGTTCCCACCATTCTCCTGCCTCAGCCTCCTGAGTAGCTGGGACTACAGGCGCCCGCCACCACACCCGGCTAATTTTTTGTATTTTTAGTAGAGAAGGGGTTTCACCGTGTTAGCCGGAATGGTCTTGATCTCCTGACCTCGTGATCCGCCCACGTCAGCCTCCCAAAGTTAAAAAGCTCTTTTCTAAAAAAAAAAAAAAAAAAAAAAAAAGAAAGAAAGAAGAGAAAAATCCTGTTTCAGCTGGAAATTGAGGCTGCTTCTTTGTGTCAAAGAATGTTCCAGTCTCACTAACATGGTTTCAAACAGCAAAGTTTCTGACAGTCCGTGATTTTACAGAACAAGGTTCTCTAAAATCTATAGTTTACATTTTCTATAGGTTGACAATCACAGAGGAGGACTGTGGCTAAGAGACACTCCTGCAGGTCATCACGGTGAGACGGGGAAGGAGGACTCCCAGGTGGACAGGATAAGATAAAGATGGTTCTGAAGCTGTAGGTGGCACTGTGCCCAGGGCATTTTGGGATCCAGTTCAAGCTGTGGTCCTAGGGTCATCCTCACACCTCCCTTCACAGTGTGGCCCTCACTCCTTCAGTCTGGATGCCTCCGGGTACCCTGTTTACCCTTCAAGGCTCTCAATCTTAAGTGGTGTCTGTGTTGATAGACAAGCCAGGCTCTCCCATGGTGATGGCAGTCTTGGTGAGGTTGTATGGGGTGTCCATGAGTGGGTGATTCTCATAATGAGCTGCACGAACCCCCATATGGTGAGGTTGCACTGTATGGTGAAGGGGGGTCCAGGGATTTTCACAGCTGGCCTATGTGGTGGAAAGCAGTCACTGTCCTCTGGATTTCCAACGGGAAAGGATGTGTTGCTGTGGGATCCAGGGTTGGCCTGGCAGGCCCTTAGTAACGTGAAAAGAAATTGGACTAGAAGAGAGGTTTTGTTTTGTTTTGAGCTAGAGTCTCACTCTGTCGCCCAGGCTGGAGTGCAGTGGTGAGATCTCGGCTCACTGCAGCCTCTGCCTCCTGAGTTCAAGCGATTCTCCCACCTCAGCCTCCCGAGTAGTTGGGACTACAGGTGCCCGCCACCACACCCAGCTAATTTTTTTGTAGAGACAGGGTTTCACCAGGTTGGCCAGGCTGGTCTTGAACTCTTGACCTCAAGTGATCCGCCATCCTCGGCTTCCCAAAGTGCTGGGATTACAGGCGTGAGCCAACGCACCCAGCCAGAAGAGAGGTTTTGAAGGATCACCCAGAACCTGCATGGAAAGCCCCACAGCCTCCCTGCAGAGGACTGCCTGGGATCCAAAGCCAAAGTCGGTGACTTTGCTTTACATCTTCACCTGACAACTGGAAGGACCCAGGCCGTTTGCAGTCTGTGTGGCTGAGGTTGAACCCAACTATGAACTGAGCTCTGCCTGGGTTCTGGTTTGAGAACTAGAGGGACTGAGCTGACCACTAGCTATGGTTATTATGTCAGTGATCCCATAACTTCAAGTGGGGAGTGGCCACATGGCCCAGGTCTCTGGATCAGTCGTGCATGTGACCTATCCCTTCTGTCCACCCACCCAAGCTGACACGCTCTTAAGATATGCAAATGTTGGCCCAGCGCGGTGGCTCATACCTGCAATCCCAGCACTGTGGGAGGCCGAGGCGGGTGGATCACGAGGTCAGGAAATCGAGACCATCCTGGCTAACATGGTGAAACCCCGTCTCTACTAAAAATACAAAAAAAAAAAAATTAGCCAGGCGTGGTGGTGGGTGCCTGTAGTCCCAGCTACTCGGGACGCTGAGGCAGGAGAATGGCATGAACCCGGGAGGCAGAGCTTGCAGTGAGCCGAGATCGCGCCACTGCACTCCAGCATGGGCAACAGAGCCAGACTCTGTCTCAAAAAAAAAAAAAAATGCAAATATGTGGGGCCAGGCACGGTGGCTCACGCCTGTAATCCCAGCACTTTGGGAGGCCAAGGTGGGTGGATCACCTAAGGTTGGGAGTTTGAGACCTGCCTGACCAACATGGAGAAACCTCGTCTCTACTAAAAATACATAATTAGCCGGGCATGGTGGCACATGCCTATAATCCTAGCTACTCGGGAGGCTGAGGCAGGAGACTCGCTTGAACCCGGGAGGCAGAGGTTGCGGTGAACCGAGATCGCACCACTGCACTCCAGCCTGGGCAACAAGAGTGAAACTCCATCTCAAAAAAAAAAAAGATATGCAAATGTTTTCACATCTGTCATGTCTGATATAGTAGTAGCTAGCCACATGTGGCTGCTGAGCACTTCAAATCTGACTAGCATGACTGAGGAACTGAATGTTTAATTTTATTTAATTTTAGTTAATTGAAATTGAAATTGAGAAACTGATTCTTGATTCAGTTTTGGAAAACTTGTATGTTTGGAATGCCTTGGATACTTGGCTCTACTTGTTCTCCTACAGAGACCGTAATTCCACGTAATCAGGTTGCTTGAAGTTGTCCTTCAGCTCTGTTCATTTTTGTTTGTTTTTTATATCTACCATGTTTCTACTGAACATGTTCAATCTCTCCTCTAGCTTTTTGAACAGACGGAATGTATTTACAGTAGCCATTTTAGTGCCCTTGACTACTAAATCTGTGTCCCGCATTTCACTTTGAGGTCTGTTTCCGCCGATTGAATTTTCTCTTCTTTATAGGTTGCGTATTTCTGTTTCTTTGCAGGCTTGGTAAGTTTTGACTGGATGCTAGACACTGAAATTTTTACCTTGTTTGGTGCTTCTCCTTCCCATCCCCTTCTTTCTCTTTGAAAAATATTTTGGTTTTGTGTTCCTTAAACGTTTGAGAGGCTTTGTTCTGGATCACAGGTAAGTTACTGGAAGCAGTTTGTTCCTTTTAAGCTTTTATGCTTTATAAGGAATGACCAGGTAGATCAGCCTTATTCTAGGGCTACTTTGCTCCCACTACTAAGGCAACACCCTCCTGAGCCCCCTTCCTGATGACCTATGTATTACCAGGTGTCTCCACTCTGGCTGTTCGGAATGTGAACTATTTCTAGCCCTGCAAGCTCCAGGAACTGTTCCATCTGCTTTTTTCTGGCAGTTATTTCCCCTGCCTCATGTAGTTTCAGTAAAAACTTAACTTGCAGCCTCCACGACATGTCAACCTACACTGGCCTGTAAGCAAAAAGCCTTGAGGGGATCAGTGGCAGATTTCTGAAATGCAGTCTCTGTGCAGCTCTCTTTGGTCATTTGTCCTGTGAATCCTAGCCACCGTTACCTCCCTACATTGTCAACTCATGAAACGTGTTGGTCTCTGTCTGGGAGAGTGGCCGACCTTCCCAGTTTAACCAGGACTGAGGAGTTCCCAGGACCAGGACTCTCAGCGTCAAAGCTGGGGAATCTCAGGTGCCCTGCACTGGGCTGCCTGGCCTCATACTGCAGCCTGCAAGCTCTGTCCAGGCAGCAGCTGGAGAGCTGCAGGGCTCAAATCACGGTTCTGCACTTCCTGTTTTCCGGTGTTTGGAAACCAATGTTTCTCCCTCTTTTTTTTTGAGACAGAGTCTCGCCCTGTCGCCAGGCTGGAGTGCAATGGCGCAATCTCTGCTCACTGCAAGCTCCGCCTCCCGGGTTCAAGCGATTCTCCCGCCTCAGCCTCCTGAGTAGCTGGGACTACAGGTGCGTGCAACCACGCCCAGCTAATTTTTGTATTTTTAGTAGAGACGAGGTTTCACCATGTTGGCCAGGATGGTCTCAATCTCCTGACCTCGTGATCCACCCGCCTCCGCCTCCCAAAGTGCTGGGATTACAGGCATGAGCCACTGCGCCCTGCCTGGAAACCAATGTTTCTTATAGTTTGTCTCGGTTTTCATTGTTGTTGTTTAAAGCAGGAGGCAAAATCTGTCCTGACACTCCATCACAGGTGGAAGTGGAAGACATTTAGCCTAGTAACATCTAAAGGAATTATTGATAATGTTTGTAGTTACGTCTGCTATTTTATTATTTGATTTTTGTTTGTTCTCTGTGATTTTGTTCCTCTTTTTCTTCCCTTCCTGCCTTATTTTGGGTTATTTGAATATTGTTATAATTCTATTTTCTGGCTGGGCATGGTGGCTCACACCTATAATCCCAGCACTTTGGGAGGCCAAAGTGGGTGGATCATCTGAGTTCAGGAGTTTGAGACCAGCCTGGGCAACATGGTGAGACACTGTCTCTAAGAAAAATACAAAAAATTAGCTGGGGTGATGGCATGTGCCTGTAGTCCCAGCTACTCAGGAGGCTGAGGTGGGAGGATCACTTCAGCCTGGGAGGCAGAGGTTGCAGTGAGCCAAGATCCTGCCACTGCATTCCAGCCTGGGTGACAGAGTGAGACCCTGTCTCAAAAAAAAAATTCAGTTACACCTCTTTGCATCATTTTTTAGTGGCTATTCTAGGGATTATAATATCAACCTGTGTGTTTTCATAATCTATTTAAATTTAATATTGTAGCTCTTCACATAAAATATGGAAATCTTAGAACTTTATAAGTCCATTTACACCTCCTTCCTGTCCCTTGTGTAACAGTTGTCATATGCATTGTATCTATGCATATATTATAAACCATTGGAAACAATGTTATGATTTTCACTTTAAATCATCATATGTATTCTGATGCTCTTCATTTCATGCCTTGAATATCCAAGTCTCCATCTGGTACTTTTTCCCGTAGGCCCATAGAACTTCCTTCTCTTTTTTTTTTTTTTTTTTTTTTTGAGACGGAGTCTCGCTCTGTCACCCAGGCTGACAGATCTCGGCTCATTGCAACCTCCATCTCCCAGGTTCAAGTGATCCTCCCACCTCAGCCTCCTGAGTAGTTGGGACTACAGGTGCAAGCCACCATGCCCAGCTAAGTTTTGTATTTTTTGTTGAGTAGGGTTTTTGCTAAGCTGCTTAGGCTAGTCTCAAACTCCTGAGTTCAAGTGATCTGCCCACCTCGGCCTCCCAAATTACAGCCATGAGCCACTGCACCCGGCCCTGATTTCTTGTACGGATTTGCTGAAGAAACATTATCTTAACTTTCTTTTATATGAAATTTAATTATTTTATCTTTATCACTGATGGATATTTTCATTACATATAGAAATAGGTGTTGACAACTTTTGTCTTTCAACACTTTCAAAATACTGTTCCACTGTTGTCTGGCACCCACTGTTTTCCTATTTTCTTTTATTTCAATAGGTTTTTGGGGAACAGGTGGTGTTTGGTTACATGAATAAGTTCTTTAGTGGTGATTTCTGAGATTTTGGTGCAACTCTTCTTTTTTTTTTTTTTTTTTTGAGACAGAGTCTCTCTCTGTCACCCAGGCTGGATGGAATGCAGTGGTGCGATCTTGGCTCACTGCAACCTCCTCTGCCTCCTGGGTTCAAGCTATCTCCTGCCTCAGTCTCCCAAGTAGCTGGCATTACAGGCACACACCACCATGCCTGGCTAATTTTTTTTTGTATTTTTAGTAGAGACAGGGTTTCACCATATTGGCCAGGCTTGTCTTGAACTCCTGACCTCAGGCAATCCACCAGCCTCAGCCTCCTAAAGTGCTGGGATTACAGGCATGAGCCACCACGCCTGGCCCTCTTATTTTCTTGATAAGAAGAAAGTCATTGTCCCCTTTAAATAATGTCTTATTTTCCTCTGGCTTCTGTCAAAATTTGCTCTTTACTATTTGTTTTCAGCAGTTAAACTATAATGGGCTTATATGCATTTTCTTCACATTGATCCTACTTGGAATTCAACAGCATTTTTGAATCTGTAAATTTGTATCTTTCAGCAAACTTGGGAAAATTTCGGCCAGTATCCCTTCAGACATTTTTTCTCTCTCATTCTTCCACCTTTCCCTCCAGGACTTGAATTAAACATATTCTCAGCCTTTGATATTGCCCTACAGGTTTCTGAGACTTTGTTTTTTTTTTTCTTACAACTATTTTTTCTTTGTTCTTATGCCATTTCCATTCTGCCTTTAAGCCCATTTGGTGACCTTTTTATTGCAGATATTGATATTTCAGTTCCAGGATTTCTATTTGATTCTTTTGTATAGTTTTTATTTCACTGCTATTTTCTTTTTGTTTTTTTAGAGACAAGGTCTGGCTCTGTTGCCCAGGCTGGAATGCAGTGGTGTGATCATGGCTCACTATAGCCTGCAACTCCTGGGCTCAAGTGATCCTCCCACCTCAGCCACCCAAGTAGCTGGGATTACAGGTGTGTACCACCACACCCAGCTCTTTCTTTTTTTTTTTTTTTTTTTATAGAGACAGAGTTTCATCATGTTGCCTAGGCTGGAATTTGTTTTTTGTAGAGACAGGGTCTCACTATGTTGCCTAGGCTGGTCTTGAACTCTTGGCCTCAAGCGATCCTGCTGCCTCAGCCTCCCAAAGTGCTGGGATTACAGGTGTGAACCACTGCACCTGGCCTTCATTGCTATTTTCCATCTTTCATTCATTTCAAACATACTTTCCTTTACCTCATTGTGCACAGTTACCATAGCTGCTTTGAATTCCTCATATACTAATTTTGATATCTGACATATCTTATGGTTGATCATCTTTCTTGTTTTATTTCTTAAAAAGGGGCACATTTTCCTGTTTCCTCATATGTCAAATAATTTTGAGCTGGGCGCAGTGGCTCATGCCTGTAACCCCAGCACTTTGGGAAGCTGAGGTGGGTGGATCACCTGAGGTTGGGAGTGTGATACCAGCCTGACCAACATGGAGAAACCCTGTCTCTACTAAAAAATACAAAATTAGCCAGGCGTGGTGGTGCATGCCTGTAGTCCCAGCTACTCTGAAGGCTGAGGCAGGAGAATTGCTTGAACCTGGGAGGCGGAGGTTGCAGTGAGCCAAGATCGCACCATTGCACTCCAGCCTGGGCAACAAGAGCGAAACTCCATCTCAAAATAATAATAATAATAATTTTGGATCATATCCTGGACATTACTACTGTTATGTTGTTGAAAG
Source organism: Homo sapiens (assembly GCF_000001405.40). Taxonomy (NCBI): domain Eukaryota; kingdom Metazoa; phylum Chordata; class Mammalia; order Primates; family Hominidae; genus Homo; species Homo sapiens. Next base: position 21,048,472 of record NC_000017.11, on the reverse strand, counting down.
TATGAATTTTGTTATATACCTCCAAAGACAGTTAATATTTTTGTTTTAGCAGGCAATTAATGGTATTTAGTGGTTTCTTGACTAGTAGCTTACATCTCCGCTCACTTCTTTTTGTTCTAGTTTGGCTGCTTGGAATTTGCCCCATAGGAGTGGTTTGGTGGTCAACTGGACCCCTGGATGTAGTTTATGCACAGATTCTGCGGCTTCACATCTCTGAATCTCTTCTCACTTTTCAGTGGCTTTGGTTGCTCTGTACTCTGTCTTCTGCTTCTTCAGTCCAGAAATACCATGGATTTTCTATCAGAGTTTCAGGCTTCCTGTCTAGATGCCAAGTATGTCCTGTCCTCAGTCTATAAACCATCGACATCGGGTTACTCCTATTGGGCAGGTCCCTTTTTCCATGTGTCTGCACCTAACTAGGTCTGCCTGCTTTGGTTCACTCTCCAAAGCCTTTAGATATTTGTGCTTGCATTATGTCCACAGTTCATAGTTGTTATATGAGGGAGGATTGGTCTAGGATTATTACTTGACCATCTAGGAACCATAATTCCATGGGTGTTTTAACTTCTTTTAAATTTGAAAACAAAAATTTAGAAAATAACATTTTAGGCTGTGTTAGTCTCATGGATGGTGGGAAATGCCTTTTCAGGCAAAAACCTGACCAGGTCACACTCCTTTTTAAAAACTGTCTTTCGGCTGGGCGCGGTGGCTCACGCCTGTAATCCCAGCACTTTGGGAGGCCAAGGCGGGCGGATCACGAGGTCAGGAGATCGAGACCATCCTGGCTAACAAGGTGAAACCCCATCTCTACTAAATATACAAAAATTAGCCGAGCATGGTGGCGGGCGCCTGTAGTCCCAGCTACTCGGGAGGCTGAGGCAGGAGAATGGTGTGAACCCAGGAGGCAGAGCTTGCAGTGAGCCTAGATTGCGCCACTGCACTCCAGCCTGGGTGACAGAGCGAGACTCCATCTCAAAAAAACAAAACAAAACAAAAAAAAAACCCTGTCTTCCATACCTAGGTAAGGCATCAAAAAACATTTCCAGATCTCCTCCACCATACCTGTCTGGGGAGGATTACGGTAAAGAGGTGTCTTGGAGTATTACGATATTACCTAGACTTTCCTTTATCGCTGCAGTTTTATATTCCTATAACATCCCGCTAATGTTGCTGGCAATATTGCTACTAAGCACACTACACTGTGGGATTCTTTTTTTTTTTTAAGACACCGTCTCACTGTATCACCAAGGCTGGAGTGCAGTGGCGCGATCTTGGCTCACTGCAACCTCCACCTCCCAGATTTAAGTGATCCTCCTGCCTCAGCCTCCCAAGTAGCTACAATGACAGGCATGCACCACCACGCCTGGCTAATTTTTGTATTTTTAGTAGAAATGGGGTTTCACCATGTTGGCCATGCTGGTCTTGAACTCCTGACCTTCAGTGATCCACCCACCTTGGCCTCCCAAGGTGCTGGGATTACAGGCATAGGCCACCTGGCTTTCTTTTTTGAGACAGAGTCTTGCTCTGTCGCCCAGGTTGGAGTGCAGTGGTGCAATCTTGGCTCACTGCAACCTCCACCTCCCGGGTTCAAGCGATTTTCTGAGTAGCTGGGACTACAATGGTGCCATCACATCCAGCTAATTTTTTGTATTTTTAGTAGAGACGGGGTTTCGCCATGTTAGCCAGGATAGTCTTGATCTCCTGACCTTGTGATCCGCCCGCCTCGGCCTCCCAAAGTGCTGGGATTACAGGCGTGAGCCACCATGCCCGGCCTTTTTTTTTTTAAATTAAAAAAAAAAAAATTCTCCTCTCCCATCCTCCTGGGATTCTTGAAGCAAGAAATTGTTGTAATCATCTCAATTGCCAGCAACTATCAGATCAATAACTGCTAATGTTTCTTGAGCCCTTATTAACAACAGGCACTTGCTAAGAGTTTTGTATGGATTATCTCATTTATTCCTTGCCATACACTTCAACGTAAGCACAGAGCTGATATTCTCCCAATTTTAACAGATAAGTGAACAGGCTGAGAAATTTAGGCAATCCGCCCAAGGTTACACAGATAGTAGGTGGCAGAGCCTGACTGTAATTTAGCAATCTGACTTGATTCTTGGATACATGAATAAATGCATATACTGAACATGTGGGCCACTGTTTTCTACATGTTGTAGAACAGTGTGTTCCCTCGTACCATGACACTTTGTCATTTCTTTTTAAGTTTTAGTGATTTTTAAATACAAAGGAATATATTAATTTTCATTGTAAGAAAACATTCAAACATTACAGATTAAGTCACATCTACCTTTTCCTTTCCAGAAGTTACTGTTATTGATGGGTGTGTTTCTTTCTTCCAGGCCTTCCATTATTTTCCTACAAACGTCAGCATATTTTCTGTAATTTTCTGCAATTTGTTGTATTCATTTATGTTTTATGACTTTTTGTACTAGTACTTACAGATCTAGTTTTTTTTTTCTCTGTTGCCCAGGCTGGAATCACTGGCATGATCAGGGCTCATTGCAGCCTCGACCTCCTATGCTCAAACAATCCTCCCGCCTCAGCCTGCTGGGTAGCTGGGACTATAGGCGTGCACCACCACAACTGGCTTTTTTTTTTTTTTTTTAATTTCTTTGTAGAGATAGGGTTTCATCACATTGCCCAAGCTGGACTTCATTCTTTTTAATAGCTGTGTACTATTCCCTAGAATGGCTAGTCCATCATTTATTCAATGATTCTCCTATTAATCGTCATTAACGTTTCCATTTGTTTCCCATTAGAAAAAAAGCACTTCATCCATACATCTTTTGGGGACTGCTTCTCAAGAGTATATTCTGTAGTTTAAATTTTTTAAAATCACTAAGGTTGTTCTGATTATGGAACATTTAAATCATTATAATTGATTCAAGTGGACAGCACAGATATTCTTCTGTGCTTAGATGATCGTATTGATAAAAAAAAAGATAATAAATATTAGGGCCTGAATGCTAAGTGCACATTTGTGAAGCCAAATCATATTTGTATAAGCCCAACAATATGAGAAAACTCCTTACATCAATATTTATAGAGATGGATCACATATTTTTGTAATTCCTGACTTACTAGTTAGGATTTTAGTTTTTTGTAAGCTGACATTCTTTCCTCTAACATAAACATGGTTTTCCTTAACAAGTGTTTTATTCTAGAAATGGTCTCGTTAGATTTTTCTGTAAATGTGTTTCGGGTTAATTAATTCGGCAGGGTTTTGTTTTGTTTAGAGATGGGGTCTTGCTTTGTTGCCCAGGCTAGAGTGTAGTGGCACAATCACAGCTCACTGCAGCCTTGACCTCCTGGGCTCTGCGATCCTCTTGCCGTAGCCTCTGGAGTAGCTGGGACTACTATAGGGCTTCACCGGGTAATTCCGAGTACCTGCATGTAGCCAATACAGTTCTGGGAACTTGCGGCTGTAGTAGTACATAAAACACACAATATCATTACCCTCTTGGAGGCCAGGCGCAGTGGCTCACGCCTATAAGCCCAGCACTGTGGGAGGCCGAGGCTGGTGGACCACTTGCTGTCAGAAGTTCAAAACCAGCCTGACGAAACCCCATTTCTAGTAAAAGTTCCAGATCAACATGGTGAAAGCCCCTCTCTACTAAAAATACAAAAATTAGCGGCGTGGTGGCAGGCGCCTGTAATATCAGCTACTGGGGAGGCTGAGGCAGGAGAATCGCTTGAATCTGGGAGGCGGAGGTTTCAGTGAGCCGAAATTGCACCACTGTACTCCAGCCTTGGGCAACAGAGCGAGACTCTGTCTCAAAAATAAAAAATAAAAAAAAAAGATTACCCTCTCGTAATTTTTCATGCTATTAAGGGAAGAGACAATAAAAAAAATAAGTAAATATTCATTACGCCAGATAGTGATAAATTCTTTGGAGAAAAACAAAGCAGGGTAAGGGAATGGAGAATTTTGGGGGGCTTGCAATTTTCATTAGGGTGGCAATTTTCCTTTTCACGGAAAAGGAGGTGTGTGATAAAGCTGGAAGGAGGTGAGCGAGCATCAGACATGGAATATAAGGATGCAGAGGGTGAGGGGGTAGGGAAAGCATTTTAGGGAGAGGGTACTGCAAGCACGAAGGCCATGAGGCAAAAACCTGTGCTCGGCAATTTGTCTTGGCCACAAAAGCTTTATCCCAGTCGTCAGTCCATTAAACCCTGTAGCTTTAAGTGTTGTGAGATCACAATCTTTATTTTTTAACTTGTGATGGTTCTGGACGGCAATTGCTGTTTCCTGCAATCTGTGGATGAATGAATGAGCAAAGCAGTTAGCAGCGGGATGAGTACAGGGGAGCAGCTCCACACCTGACACCTTATCCAAGTTCCCCCAGACCCTTGGCGCCCTGGTTCCCCCAGAACTTCGTTTGCATTCGTCTTTAAATGTCTTCTCAGTTTGCCTTGGGTCAGTTATTTGTATACCGATTAGACCTGTGCCGCCCACTGCGGTAGCAGCTAGTAGGAATTGGATGTGCTTTAAGTGTAAATACCAGATTTCCAAGACTTGCTGCAAAAACTGTAAAACATTCCACTAACGATTTTGCAATACTGCCTACATGCTGAAATAATTTGACTTTATTGGGTTGAGATATATTACTGTAACTTTCTTTTTTCATTAGAAAAATGTAGCCACTAGCAAATGTGAAGTGTCAGGCGTGTGGCGCGCAGATGCCTCTTTAAACTGGATGGCGCCGGGTTGGCCCTCACTATCAGCGGGCTCCCGACAGGAGGCGCCCCAGCTTGCGGCCGGGGGCAGCGCCTACCAGGCAGTTGGCAGGCAGTTCCAGCCCCGGGCCACGGCACTGCAGGGCCCGAGCCAGGTTACGGCAACCGGGGGCCCTGCAAACAGCTCCCGATTAGGGGGTGCTTTTGGGTGGGAAAGCGCAGGCCCTGGATGGAGGCCCGACCTGCGGCGCTCCAGCTCATCGCCCCGCCTCTTTGCGGCAGAGCTCAGGCCGGCGCAAACCGGTTCAGTGCTAGGACTGACGTCTCGCGCCGCCCAACCGCAGCACGCCCCCGCCTCCCCAGTCCTCTGGAAGAGACAGGGAACGTCTAGCCGCCAGGGTCCCGGGAGGCGGCTCTGTACCAGACGGACTATACTGAGAGCCTATGACAATAGCCGAAGGTGCCGGGGGGGGGGGGGGGGTGGCCTACTACCAATAAAGGAAGGGGAGGGGCGGGCCCTCGTTAGCTTCCCCCCCCTACCACGCTTCCTCGGGCGCGGGTCTACCCAGAGCCTAACGGGCGCGCGAGTGTGGGGGAAGGGCCTGGCGCGGGCTGGAGACTGCGCAGTGCGGTGCCGGCCGGGAGGGGGGGGGGGGGTGACGTAATCTCCGTCCGCGGCCGCGGCGCCCCGCCCCGCGACACCCTCCGCGAACCGCGAGAGCGCAGCGCAGGCGGTCCGCAGCAGCCGCAGCTCGGGGGCGGTGCCTGCCTTGCAGCCTCCCCTCGGCGATCGCGCAGCCCCATCTTTGTCCGGCCTCCGCGCTTTGTTCTCGGCGCCCGGGCCTTGGCCAGCCTGGCCAGCCGCCGAGCAGCCCCCACGCCGCGCTGGCGTCGTCCTCGCCTCCCTCGCCGCCGCCCCCCGCGCGCGGCCGGGCCTTGCCCCCCATGGTGTCCCGGCCAGAGCCCGAGGGCGAGGCCATGGACGCCGAGCTGGCGGTAGCGCCGCCGGGCTGCTCGCACCTGGGCAGCTTCAAGGTGGACAACTGGAAGCAGAACCTGCGGGCCATCTACCAGTGCTTCGTGTGGAGCGGCACGGCTGAGGCCCGCAAGCGCAAGGTGCGCCCGGCAGCCCACCGCGCGGCGGGCTCGGGGCCTTCTGCCGCTCCTGAGGCCGGCCGGCGGAGGGGCCCTTTTCCTGCCCTCTTCCCTTCCCCCGTTGCCTTTCCCTGTCCTTCCTCTTCCTCTCTCCTTCTGCCCTCTCTTCTCTTTACCCCTTCCCCCTCCTTTCCTTCCCCCCTCAACTCTCTCCCTTCCCTTATCTCCTCATCTTCCTATCCTTCCCCTCTCCCCCCTTCCCCCATTCTTCCTTTCCCTCCCCCTCCTCTCTGTCCCCTCCCCCTCCTCTCTGTCCCCTCCCCCTCCTTTCTCTCCGCCCTCCCCCTCCCTTATCCTTCTTGGCCCGGGAGGGGCGAGTGCTTCCGGGCCGGGGGTGGTGTTCTCCTGCCCTGCTGCCTGGGGAGCCTGGGACTTCGGTGGGCGGTCCCGGGCGTTCCTGCGCGAGGTCCTTGCGGGGAACTCTCCTGGTTCTGGAGGGTTCGGGGCTGGATGCGGGTGCAGAGAAAGAAATATTTCAAAAAAATGAGTAAAGGATGGGGGGCTGTCGAGTTCTGGGCGTTGGTCTGCAGCGGTCACCCGCCGCCAGGAGCGACCTTGGACGGGAGCTGGGGCAGGAGGCGGGCTGGGGGGCGCGGGGCCGGAGCTTCGCGGCTGCCTCGGGGCCCGCGAGGAGCTGGAGGTGGAGGGCGGCAGGGGCTGGGGCCGGGGCGAGCCTGTGGGTGCGGAGCCACAGCCCGGGTTTGCGTTGCGGCTGAGGAGTAGACTTGGAAGCGCGCCGTGGGCTGTGGGAGGCCTTAACCAGGAGTGAGTCCCCTCGGGGAGCCCAGTCTTGCGTCCCGCAGTTAGGCTTGGTAAGGGTTTGGAAATCAAAACGTAACGTGATTCTTCTATGTGAATAAAGTTTATTTTTACAGTTTCACGCGCTTTTGTAGATTACAATCCGAGATTGGGAGTTGTGAGGGCAGTTTCCACCTTGAGTGGCATTTTTTTATTTATGGGAATACCAACAGGCTCGCTGAGATTGTAGGGTATGTTAAGCAGTAATTCAAAAAAAAAATTATTTTTTTGAGACGAAGTCTCGCTTTGTACCCCAGGCTGGAGTGCAGTGGCGCGATTTCGGCTCACTACAATCTCCGCCTCCCGGGTTCAGCCGATTCTCCTGCCTCAGCCTCCTGAGTAGCTGGGATTACAGGCTCCTGCTACCACGCCCGGCTAATTTTTGTATTTTTAGTAGAGACGGGGTTTCACCATGTTGGCCAGGCTGGTCTGGAACTCCTGATCTCAGGTGATCCACCCGCCTCTGCCTCCCAAAGTGTTGGGATTACAGGCATGAGCCACCGTGCCCGGCCTCAAAATTTTTTTTATCTGTAATGGTATCAGGTAGCGTTATGTCTGGATGAACTAAAATCAGACATAAAACGTTTCAGGATCGGAGTTAGAGTCTTGCTAGTAGAATTGTGTGTCTTTAAGAAAAGATGGCCTGGCTTGGCGCGGTGGCTGACGCCTGTAATCCCAGCACGTGGGGAGGCCGAGGGGGGCAGATCACGAGGTCAGGAGTTCGAGACCAGCCTGGCCAACATGGTGAAACCTCATCTCTACTAAAAATACGAAAAGTAGCCGGGTGTGATGGCGGGCGCCTGTAATCCCAGCTACTCCAGAGGTTGAGGCAGGAGAATCACTTCAACCCGGGAGGCGGAGGTTGCAGTGAGCAGTGATCGCGCCACTGTACTCCAGACTGGGTGACAGAGCAAGACCCCCTCCGGAAAAAAAAAAAAAAGGGTGGCCTGGTTGAAGCCAGTCTTCTACAGGGAATGTGCTGTTGCTACTCTGGGTCAGTAGTGTCCGGATTGGGACGTGACGCGCCCAAGATTTGTTACTACTTTGGATGAAGTGGGGACCGCCCCACTCTTCCTCTCCCTCCTTTTCTTTTTCCGTTCCCTCCCTCCCTCTCCCTTTCTTCCCCCCTCTGGTATTTTTTAACCAAATAGAAGGAGTCAAGTTTAAACCATCATTAACTAACTTTGCCTAATTTCCTAAAGTTAAGAATTACTTTTTTTTTTTGCGCTACTTATGGCTCTGATTAATCTTTTAATTTCAGATGTCAGTTGCTTAGTTTCAAAACTGTTGAGCCACATGTATGTTATTCACCAATTAGAAGTTGAACTGTAGTCGGGTAGTGAAAAATATTTCTTTCAAAATTTAGGTGGGGGCTGCTGCAGTGCCAGTTGGCAGTGTGCCAGCAAGGAGCCCTTAAGCCCTCCATGCTTTTTCCTCTGACTGGGGGGACTTATTTACCTGTATCACTTCATGTGCGGTGTCCTGCATTTCTAGCACTCTCTAGTGGCCCAGTTAAGGAAGAGTTGGTTTGGGAAATAGTTTAACAAACCTGATGATTAACAGTTGGACAATCTGCATAGGATTTCCATCAGATCTGTAAGCTTAGGACATTTTGTTTTTTAAATTTTATTTTATTAAAAATTATTTTTTGTAGAGACAGAGTCTTGCTCTGTTACCCAGGATGGAGTGCAATGGTCTGGTCAGTGATCACTGCAGCCTCAGATTCCTGGACTCCAGCCTCTCCTGAGTAGCTGGGACTACGGGCGTGTGTCACCACGACCGGCTAATATTTGTAGAGACAGTGTCTCACTATATTGCACAGGCTGGTCTTGAACTCCTGGACTCAAGCCATCCTCCTGTCTCCCAGAGTGCTGGGATTACAGGCCAGAGCCACTGAGCCCAGCCATATTTTTGGTTTTAATGATATGAACTTGACTGTAAAAGTACTTTAAGCTGATGATTGTGCCACTGTACTCCAGCCTGGACAACAAAACCTATCTCAAAACAAACTTCAACTTGAATTATAATCTTTGTAAACAAACAAAGGTACTTTTTGAGATGGACATCTCAGGTACAGTTTAAAGAAATGAATCCCTGAATGAATAGGAATTACGAGTTTTGTTATCTAAGGACAGATGGATTATGCATTTTGTACCCAAACTTTGATTCTTCTTTTAACAGGCAGAACATGACAAAAACATGACCAGGCTTGATAAATTTCTGTCCAAAAGAAGCTTGAATTGCAGTAAAACTCTGTTTTTTGAGATGGGGTTTTCACTCTTTTTGCCCAGGCTGGAGGGCAATGGCGTGATCTCGGCTCACCACAGCCTCCCCCTCCAGGGTTTAAGTGATTCTCCCAAGTAGCTGGGATTACAGGCATGCGCCACCATGCCTGGCTAATTTTGTATTTTTCGTAGAGATGGGGTTTCTTCATGTTGGTCAGACTGGTCTCGAACTCCCAACCTCAGGTGATCCGCCCATCTTGGCCTCCCAAAGTGCTGGGATTACAGGCATGAGCCACCGCGCCTGGCCCGAATTGCCATAAAACTCTTGTATTGCAGACTATAAAAATATTTCTGCCGGGCATGGTGGCTCACGCCTGTAATCCCAGCACGTTGGGAGGCCGAGGCGGGCGGATCACGAGGTCAGGAGATCGAGACCATCCTGGCTAACACGGTGAAACCATGTCTTTACTAAAAATACACAAAATTAGCTGGGCATGGTGGCACGCGCCTGTAATCCCAGCTACTCGTGAGGCTGGGGCAGGAGAATCGCTTGAACCAGGGAGGCGGAGGTTGCAGTGAGCCGAGATCGCACCACTGCACTCCAGCCTGGGCGACAGAGCGAGACCGTCTCAAAAAAAAAGAAAAAAACTATTTCCATGATTTAGGACTGGCACGACCACAGTGGCGTCTCCTTTGTGTTTTTGGTGTGTGTTAAATATAACAAATTTCTTACCATTTCAGGGTTTGTCTGTAAAGATAGGAACTGGCAGGAAGTGATTATGATTTAACATTCTACATTATATTTTGAATATAGACACTTTGGAGAACAGGTAATGTTTTTAAAACCATTTCTCTCTTTGAATCTAAAATTTTATGGCACTGTGTCCTCAAAACACTTTTTTAAATTTTTTATTTTTTATGTATTTTTTTTTTTTTTGAGACAGGGTCTGTCTCTCACTCAGGCTGGAGTGCAGTGGTATGATCATGGCTCACTGCAGCCTCGAGTTCCTGGGGTCCAGTGATCCTCCTGCCTCAGCCTCCCAAGTAGCTGGGACTACAGGCATGCGCCACCGCACCTGGCTAATTTTTGTATTTTTGGTAGCCATGAGTTTTGCCATGTTGCCCAGGCTGGTCTTGAACTTCTGAGCTAAGTGATCCTCTCTCCTTGGCCTCCCAAAGTGCTGGCATTACAGGCATGAGCCACCTCTCCCAGCCATCCAACAATGCCTCAGTCTGTCTTTACTGGCTCAGCCAGGTGCTGGGATGGTGGTGAGCACATTGTAGAGAGCTCTCATTACTTGTTTTTATTTTCATAGTCTAGCTCATTTTCCTGATACGTGCTATTGTATTTATTTATTTATTAAAAAAAAATAAAAGACTGAGTCTCCCTATGTTGCCCAGGCTGGTCTTGAACTCCTGGCCTTAGGAGATTCACTTCGGCCTCCCACAGTGCTGGGATGATATGTGCTATTTTAAAAGTATACTTTAAAACTTTGTTTCTTTGAGGAATTTACTTTTTATTTTATAGTGAACTGGATCTTTCAAATCATCACAACAAAACATTACACCATTCATACTAAGTGGGGTCTAAGTAAAAGATCTAAAATGTAAACATTTTTCTGTTTAAGGTTTTAATTTTGAGGTCATTGTAGATTGACATACTGGTGTAAGAAAATAGAGTAATCCTGTGTATCTTTCCCCAGTCCTCTAAGGGTAACTTCTTGCAGAAATGGAGTACAATTACCACCAGAATATTGACATTGATACAGTCTATCTTCAATATAATCCACCATCTCATTCAGATTTCCCCGCTTTTACTTCTACTCATTTGTGTTTGTGTATTTAGTTCATTAACTACACTGCATACTTTATTCAGAACTCATTGGTTTTTATGTAATGTCCTTATTCTGTCTCAGAATCCCACATTACTTTGAGTCTTCACGTCCTCTTGGGCTCTTCTAGACAGTGACAGTTTCTCAGGCTGTCCTGTTTGGTGACCTTGAGAGTTTTGAGGAGTCCCGGTCATGTAGTTTGTAGAATGTCCCTCAGTTTTGGTTTTCTGATGTTTTTCTCATGATTCAGCTGTGGTTATGAGTTTTGGGAAGGAAGACCAGGGAGATGAAGTGCCCTTCTCATTCCCGTAAATTAAGGATGATGCTGTCAAGATGTCTTGGGTTGCTGGGCTTGACTGAATGGCCGAAGTCATGTTTGCCAGGTTTCTCCACTGTGGAGTGACTCTTTCCCTCCTTTATGTACTGTTTATAATAGAAGGGAGTCACTCTGCATAGGTACTCTACCGGGGTGGGGAGTTCTGTTCCTCCTCCTTGAGGATGGAGTAGCTACTTAAATTATTTGGAACGTTTATGTATGGAAGATTTGCTGATCCTCACTCGTGTGTTTATTCATTTGTGTATATCAACATGGACTTGTGGATATTGAATGTATGCTTTGGGTTATCATCCAGTGCTGTGTGGTTTGTTGTGTTGCTCCCATCATCTGGCTGTATCCACTGGGAGCTCTTTCAGCTGGCTCCGGTGTCCCTTTCACATAGCCACATTATTTTTTGTTCGTTGTTTTTGAGCACTTCCTTACTTTCTGGAACTACACGATGTTCTGGGATCATCTTATGTGTTTTCTGCCCCAGCCTTAGACTCCAGCATTTTCCAAGGATCCCTAGTTTCTTTTTTGGGAGAATGGAATTAGATCTCAAGATCTGGGCACTGGTGTGTTCATCATTACTGGGATATCCTGGCTTCTTGGCCCCCTCAAGGGACAGAGCTGGGAAACAGGTGTGTATATACAAATGCGTGCATATACACGTCTGTAATTTGATATATATTCATCAGCATCCCTATTAAGCTCTACATGAGTTCATGTTTATATCTCCAACTCTAATCCATTTCTATAGGGATTATTCTAGCCTTCCCCTCCAGTTTATCTGTAACTTCTCTGTCCAGCAGAGAAAATGCTGGCTCCCACTGTCGACAATCTACTTACTTACCTGTTGTGCTTTGGTATACATGAAGAGAGGTTTCAGAATTGTCCTGTACTCCCTTGGGAAATGACTTGACCCCCCCCCCCCTTACAGTACAGTGCTCAGTTACAGTTCCTTTTGCTTTTAGTCTTACACTCCCTCCTCATTTCCACATTACTTAGGTACTTCCCTCCCCACCCCTCTTGGCGGAGTTGTGTCCTATATGTGTAATACAATTGGTTTCTTCTGCCTCAGCCTGCATTCCATAGGGCCTCATCAGTTATTTTTAAAATCGCATATATTAAGGTTTGCTCTTTGTGCTTTAAAGCTCAGTGGATTTTGACAGAGGCATCCACAACTACAGTACTGTACAGAACAGTTGCACTGCCCCAAGAAATCCCTGTGCTTCACCTTCTAACTCTCCACAACCACTGGTCTCGTCTCCATCTCGGAGGTTTTTCCCTTTCCAGAATGTCATATCATTGGGTTCATACAGTCTGTAGCCTTTTCATACTGGCTTCTTTTGTCTAGCAATATCCATTGTATCCATTGAGTGGATTGAAAGTTCATTCCTTTTTTTTTTTTTTTTTTTTTTTTTGAGACGGAGTCTTGCTCTGTCGCCCAGGCTGGAGTGCAGTGGTGCGATCTCGGCTCACTGCAAGCTCCGCCTCCTGGGTTCACGCCATTCTCTTGCCTCAGCCTCCCGAGTAACTGGGACTACAGGCGCCTGCCACCACGCCCAGCTAATTTTTTTGTATTTTTAGTAGAGACTGGGTTTCACTGTGTTAGCCAGGATGGTCTCGATCTCCTGACCTTGTGATCTGTCTGCCTCAGCCTCCCGAAGTGCTGGGATTACAGGCGTGAGCCACCGCGCCCAGCCGAAAGTTCATTCCTTTTTCTTTTAATGGTATTTATCATGTGGCTATACTGGTAAGTCGTTTAAGTTTCTTAATCTGTAGGTTCTCTCTTCATTCCTTTCTTACAGTTTTTTGCTTCTACTTTATCTGTTGAAAAACTTGGGCCTTGTGACTTGTTGACTTCCCTATAGTCTGGATTTTGCTGTTTGCATACTCAACAGTGGAAGTTCAAAGTGTTGTGGTTTGTTTTTTTTTTGTCCTATTTCCTACAAATTGGTAGCAGGGTCTCCTATTAAGGCTTTTCCTGTATTTAGCACACAGACTTGATCACCTTGGTATTAAGCGGATGGAAGCTTAGGTAGGAAGTAAACTCAGTTTTCAAGGATTAAAATGACCCGCCTAATGGATATGTGAGTCTTTTTCTTGCCTCTTGTTTTATGTTGGCCAGTACCTGTAGCAGAGGGTGCTGAAGAGTAGAAATTGAGATAGAATTGAGTGTGAGTTTTATTATTATATGTTAGCAGCTCTGGTAAGAAACTCAGAGAATTAAGTGAGAATGGTAGATTAAAATGAGGCTTTAGGATAATGTGATTGCTCCCCATACATGTGTAATTGACAGTTGTGTGAGGTGAGCTCAATTTAAAGGAAGACTAGCCTAAGCTGGTCAGTACCAGGAGGATTTTGCCCCAGTTTGCTTCCGTCCAAGTGTGTGTCCCTCAGCACAGCATCTCTTGGGCTTCCTCATTTCCTGTTTATGATAATAGAGTACTCACCCCCATCCTTGAGGGATACATTCCAAGACCTCCGGTAGTTGTCTGAAACCACAGATAATACTGAACCCCATTTGTATTACGTGCAAACTTTTTTCCTTCATAATTTCATGGATAGATTTGTTCTTACTGTAGATCTTAGCAACCTTGTTATTTGATATTGTTTTCTTATTAAGAATTTTTACCTTTTCACGTAAAAGAAGCCCTTTATGGCTTTTCTTTGGCATATCCAAATTGCAGCATCAGTACTCTTGAGCTTTGGGGCCATATTAAGCCAAATAAAAGTGGCTTGTGTTCACTTTTATCCGTGATCACATCCGCAACAGTTGATGTGATCAGCAAGACAGCTACCAAGTGACTTAACGGGCAGGTGGCCTAGATGGCACGGAGAAGCTGGACAAAGGGATGGTCATGGGACAGAGCGGGATGTCACTCAGTTTCATCATGTTTCTCAGAACGGCGGGCAGTTTAAAGCTTATGAATTGTTTATTTCTGGCATTTCCATGTTACTATTTTCAGACTGAGGTTGACTGTGGGTAACTGAAACCACAGCAAGCGGAACTGTAGGTAAGGGAGGACTGCTGTGATATTTTATATTTCATACGTAATTTCCTTCTGGTTTTGGTAGTTGGGATACACTTTTTAGGTAGGCCTGGCAAGTAAGTCTCCTGACCTGTCCAAGGACATCACCGGCAACTGCTGGGTCCCAGCCTTGAAATGAGGTCAGTCTGAGGTCTTGCCTTTGCTGAATGAAATTACCCCTTCTGTAAATTGAAAGGTCTGGAGTCGCTGTACCCTTAGATTGATTTTGGCTCCGAGATTGAGGGGCCTGAGTCTGGAAGCTGAGGTTTTTGAGGTTGGGGAACTTAATTTGAGAAGATTATCTAATTTTGGCAAAGTCTTTAGCTTTTTAGTGCCGTATTTTTTTTTTCATATAAAGGATAGAATATTTAGGCCGGGCACGGTGGCTCATGCCTGTAATCCCAGCACTTTGGGAGGCTGAGGTGGGTGGATCACTTGAGGTCAGTAGTTCAAGACCATCCTGGCCAACATGGTGAAACCTCATCTGTACTAAAATACAAAAAGTTAGCCGAGCATGGTGGCACGCGCCCGTAGTCCCAGATACTCGGGAGGCTGAGGCAGGGGAATCACTTGAACCCGGGAGGCGGAGGTTGCAGTTAGCGGAGATTACGCCACTGCACTCCAGCCTGGTGACAGAGCAAGACTCCTTCTCAAAAAAAAAAAAAATTATACCTGTCCCTTCACTTATGTCAGTGTTTGAGTCCTTGAAAAAGTCACTGAAGAGAATGCACAAGAATTAAACTTACCTTCCTAAGATGCTCAGGTTTTAGACCAGTAGGAAGTCATGGGTAATGTGTGAAAAGTGCACTAGCTCTTAAGGTGGTGTGTCATGTTTGCACACTTTTAAAAGCTGGACTCAAAATTCAGTGTACTGTTGAGTCATCCCATAGGGTAAGTCTGGTTGACTACAAGGGCTCTGCCCCTCTTGCTCCTCCGCATCCTTCTTGGGGTGGGAGGTAGTGTGAGTGGGGAGATAAGAGGACAGGATATTCAGAGGAATATTCTTAATATCGGGACCAAATTAATGAATTTGGCAGGGTGTTTCTGTACTGCATAAGATCAACAACAATTAAATAATTGATCCTCTTCTAATTCCTGTCACATACAAATCCTAGTTATGTTTCAGGATTTGCTTGCAGTCTACTGAATCTACTTGAATTAATTTATAGGAGAAAAGGATTTAATTCAGAAATCATTGCAAGGGCTATGGAGTAGTAGATTCTAGGTTGAATTTCTAGGAAAACCCGCCAGCCTGGGGAATCCTGCCTCTGCAGGAGCCACCACACCAGAAAGTGGTGTGCTGGGCTGCTTAAACAGTGCCACCCCTCCACGGTCCATGTCAGCCTGTGGATGCCCCCACTGGGCCTCTCTCCTTAGCTTACTCACCAACCGCATCGTCTGCAAATGTGTCTCAAGATATGTTTGGAACATGAGCTGCAAGGGTGCCTGGGGAATGCATTTTCAACTTTTTTTTTTTTTTTTTTTTTTTTTTTTTTTGAGACAGGGTCTGGTTCTGTTGCTCAGGCTAGAGGGCAGTGGTGCGATCTTGGCTCACTGCAGCCTTGACCTCCTGGGCTCAAACCATCCTGAGTAACTGGGACTACAGGTGTGTGCCACCATGCCCAGCTAATTTTTGCATTTTTTGTAGAGATGAGGTTTCACCATTTGGCCCAGGCTGGTCTTGAACTCCTGGCCTCAAGCTGTCCTCCCACCTCGGCCTCCCAAAGTGCTGCATTCCTGGCGTGAGCCAACACGCCTGGCTGTGTTTTCTACTTTACAGTGCTGTGAAAGGAGATAGAATAAAAATGAATGTGAACCCCATGTGAGTGACCGGGCCTGCTGTAACAAACCACCACAAACCGATTAACTTAGAACAACAGAAATTTCATCTCAAATTATGAGACTGGACGTCCAAAATAAAGTGTTTGCAGGGTAGCCACTCCAGAGGCTATTCCTGGCCTCCTCCAGACACTGGAAGACATGTGCTACCTTACTCCTGTGTCTGCCTCTGTTACATTTAAATCTGATACAGTATTATCAATGGACGTGCTGTTCCACAGTGTAGATTGGGGAAAAATAATAATGCAGTGTTGGCATTGTTTAACAACAGGATACATTCTGAGAAATGCATTGTTAGGCGATTTTGTCTTTGTGTGAACATCATGGAGTGACTTAACACAAAGCTAGATGGTACAGCCTGCTGCACACCCAGGCTGTGTGAGATGGAGCCTGTTGCTCCTAGGCAGCAAACCTGTACAGCACGTACCGTACTGAACACTGTAGGCAGTTGAAAGACGGTTGTAAGCATTTGTGTTTCTATAGCTAAACATAGAGAAGGTTACAGTAAAAATATGATACTATAATCTTCTGGGACCGCCATTGTACATGCAGCCTGTCATTCACTGAAACATTGCTATGTGGTGTGTGACTATACCAGACATAAGATTGAGGTTTTATCAGTATGTCAGAGACAGCTGTTTTCTGTATTTAGCGCCAGTTGTCTTGTTGGTTGGCTGCTTGAATAATGTTGGAGAAGCTGTCTCTTAGCTGTGTTGGCTCCATAAGGCCTGTAAAATGTGTCTTCCCTGGTGATTGGTAAACCCGTGCAGGGGAGCATCCTAGGTTGTGTAGTAGAGATAGACCATAATGGAGTGTGTAGCACAGTCCTAGGTTGTGTAGTAGAGATAGACTATAATGGAGTGTGTAGCACAGTCCTAGGTTGTGTAGTAGAGAGAGACTATAATGGAGTGTGTAGCACAGTCCTAGGTTGTGTAGTAGAGAGAGACTATAATGGAGTGTGTAGCACAGTCCTAGGTTGTGTAGTAGAGAGAGACTATAATGGAGTGTGTAGCACAGTCCTAGGTTGTGTAGTAGAGATAGACTATAATGGAGTGTGTAGCATAGTCCTAGGTTGTGTAGTAGAGAGAGACTATAATGGAGTGTGTAGCACAGTCCTAGGTTGTGTAGTAGAGATAGACTATAATGGAGTGTGTAGCACAGCAGGAGCTTGTTGTGTTTAGTTGTTTTGTTCAGTGTTAGGTTTCTGAGATTCATCCACGCTGCTGAGTATATCATAAGTTCCTTTTCATTGCTGTGTACTTTACTCAATTAACTGTAGTATAGTTTATTCTTTTTACAAGTCATGAACATTTGTATTTTCAGCTCTGCGGTGTTGCAAGTAATAATGCTACAAAAGTCCTTGTACGTGTCTTTGGTTGCGTATAAACCTATGAATTGAAGCGTTAGGCTGTAGGGTACATGTGTTCAATTTAATAGTTGTCTTCTATCCATTTATTTGGAAAATAAGAAACCTACAACAAATAGCAAGAATGCTAAAATGAATATTGTATACATTTATATGGATTCATCAATTGTTAGCTTCTTGCTAACTGGTTTTATGTCTGTACCTTTTTCTGAATCATCTGAGGGCTGACTGTAGACATCATGGTAGTTTACCTCCTAAGAACTGGGACAGTCTCCTACATAAGCGCAATACAGTTATCACACTCAGTTTAATTTTTCAAATAGTACTATCTAACATACATTGTCCAACTTTAAATACCTGAATTGTTCCAATAATATCCTTTATGCCTTTAAAAATTGGCGTATAGGATTCAATCCAAGATCATGGATTGCATTTGATTTCATGTGTCTTTAGATTTGGTTCATCTAGAAATTCCTAGCCTATTTTTCTTTCATTACATTAATGTTTTTGAAGAGCTCAGGTCAGTCATTTTGCAGAAGTCCTTCAATTTGGACATACCTCCCTACTTCTCAGGAGCAGGTTCCAGATGGGTCGTGTTGGTCTGAGCACGCCACAGGCGCCGCCATGTTGTTCTCTGCACTTGCCTGCTCTGTGGTGGGGATAAGTTTGGTTAGGGTGGCGTTGGCCAGAGTTCTTTGTTGTAGAGGTAATCTTTTCCCGTTTAATTGACTGAAGTAGTCTCTGGAGTGATACTCTGAAACTGTATATATCTATTGCCTCAATACACAAGTACACGTGTGCATGCATACATACATACATACATACATACACACACACACACACACAAGCGGCCTGAGTTCCACCTCTGTGGGTTCAACCAACCACAAATCAAAGATATTTGGGGGAAAAAAGGGATAGGTGCATCAGTACTGAACATGTACAGACTTTTTCTCATGTCATTATTCCTGAAACAATATATTATAACCACTGTTTGCATAGCATCTACTTTGTATTAGGTATTGTAAGTAATCTAGAGATGATTGAAAGTTTATGGGAGGATGTGCATAGGTTATTTGCAAGTACATTTTGTATCAGGGACTTGAGTATCCATGGAGTTTGGTACCTGAGGGGATCCTGGAATCAATTCCTAGATACCGAGGGACAATTGTTTATGTAACTTAATATATTTTTTTAATCCAGGTGAAATTCACATAATACAGTTGACTGTTTTAGAGGAATCATTCAGCAACATTTCGTGGTTTACACTGCTGTGCAGTCACTGCCTTACCTGTATCAAATTTGAAAATGTTTTTATTTGTTCCTTGTTCTCCCTGTCCCCAGCCCCTGGCAACGTCCTGAGTTGTGTTGGTGGATTTATCTATCCTGAGTATTTCATGTAAATAGACTCATAGAATACGTGACCCTTTGTTTCTGGCTTCCTTCACTTAGCATGATATTTTCAAGGCTAGTCTGCACTGTAGCATGTGTCAGTACTTCACTCCTTTCTGTGGTGGAGTAATTAATATTCCATTGTGTATATGCTACAGTTTGTTCATCCACTCATCTGTTGATGACTATATGGACCTTTTCTACTATTTTCACAGTTGTGAATGACACAGTATTTTTTTACCCAGTGGTTCTAGCATCTACTGATGATTCTTGCCTGAATTAGTTACTACTATGATAAGCATAAAATGAAGATCTTGTATTTTTGTCTTTTTACGATATTTATTAGATGGAATTCTCCTGCGAAGAAGACTTTGTGTTTGTATAGTATTAATTTCTTTTTTAAAAAATCTGATGGGTACATAGTAGGTGTATATGTTTATCAATCTGGACTTACGGATTCTTTTAAAACTCAGTATAAATAATTCCTCTTACTCATTTCTGTGCTCGAATTGTGCAACTATTGCCAGTGGCGGCTGTCCCTGTTCACACGTCCCGTTAGTATTGTGAGTCAGTGGCACTCCTGGGTGGTTGGGGGTGTAACGGTTGTTTACCACTGTGCTCATCATTGCCGTGATTAACATTTCAGGTTTGTGAGGTCTGTTTCTTGGTAATGCCCTGCTCCTTTTTCTTTCTTCTGTACATTGCTTTGATTCATGTCTCCCTCCCTTTTTCTTGTTGGCTTCTAAATTTGCTGTGGTCCTGGAACCTGGATTTGCAAATCTGAAATGATGTCCAGGTTAAGGGTGACTAGGTGTGAGTTGCTGGCCTGCAGTGGGGATGGGAGCTGGGCTTGGGGTGCCCATCAGGATCAGGAGCAGGAGGTGGGGGAACATCCCCGTAGCTTACAGGGTTTTGGCAGTTGAAGTTGTGGACGGAGTTTTCCTATGGGGAGCTAGTTTTCATCTGAATGAAGTCCTGTTTGGGGGAACTGAAAGGATTAAACTGATCCTCTAGAGTAGTAAGCCTTGAAGATGGAATTCCCTGTCCTTTCTTCCAGTAGCTGTCTCGGGGGGATGCTTTGCTTGACTGTTTCCTCTGAGCACCCCTGTCTTATCACACAGCGTTCACTCCTCCTCTTCTCTGAATTTCAGGCCAAGTCCTGTATCTGCCATGTCTGTGGCGTCCACCTCAACAGGCTGCATTCCTGCCTCTACTGTGTCTTCTTCGGCTGTTTCACAAAGAAGCATATTCACGAGCATGCGAAGGCGAAGCGGCACAACCTGGGTGAGGCGAGCTTCTGGGATGGGGGGATAGTTGTGGCCCCCAAATTGCTACTCTTTGATTTTTTGATTTGCAGTTCCACTCTTCCAAAAGTCCACTTTGTCGTTTGTCTCAAGTAATGCGTGCCCCTCACTGGTGACACTTGGAAGTGAAAGGGACAAGCCGAGCTCAGCTGAATCGCGTCCTCAGTTTGCCTTCGCATCCGATGGTTCTGAGTGAATGGCCTGCTGTCTTATGTCCAGCTGACTTCCTGTGAAAAGTTGCACTGTCCCTGCTAATGAAACGTCAGACCCTTTGAAACACATAGGAATCACCTTAGGCAAACATTTATAAAGAAAGAGCTCCATGCAATATGAGGTCGCTGAGGCTGGCGTGGGGTTGGGTGGGCATAGGTGATTTTATGGCCTTCAGCAATGGGTTTCATTGTTTCCAGTCACACAGTTCTTGAAAAGGCTCCCTTAGCACTGTGTGTGGCCTCAAGATTAATTTACCTTTCACAGCCTTACAAAATCAAACTCATTCTACATTCTAGAAGTTACATAAAACTCAGTTTTGCTCTTGGCTTTTTCTTTTTTTTGAGATGGAGTCTCGCGCTGTCACCCAGGGTGGAGTGCGGTGGTGTGATCTTGGCTCACTGCAACCTCTGCTTCCTGGATTCAAGCAGTTCTCCTGCCTCAGCCTCCCATGTAACAGATTACAGGTGCCTGCTACCACGCCTGGCTAATTTTTGTATTTTTAGTAGAGATGGGGTTTCACTATGTTGGCCAGGTTGGTCTCAAAACTCCTGACCTCATGTGATCCTCCTGCCTTGGCCTCCCAAAGTGCAGGGATTACAGGCATGAACCATTGTGCCCGGCCTTGGCTTTGTTTTCTGACTTCGTGCATTAACTGTTTCTTCTACACAGTAGTGTTTTCCTTGGAATGCTCATGGAGTTGGCAGGATATCCTTCAGAACAGCATTTTCAAGCGGTCCAAGCTAGATACCTGTTTTAGGGAATAGTTCATGTGAGCCTAGCAATTCCAGGTAAAGATATTTTTAGGCTTTCCCGCCCTGAAGTTCTGTAATTTGATGCTCTTTTAAAAACATTAGCCTAGAAAGACCTATTGGAAACAACATGCGAGTCCATAAAGTCACTGCACCCACGTCCCTTACAGCTCTCTACAAGGAGTACTCGTAGTAAAGGATAAGACCCACGGCTTTAACTGAGGCTGACGACACAGATAGTGTGTCTGATTTTTTTTTTTTTTTTTTGGAGACAGGGTCTCGCTTTGTCTGGAGTCCAGGCTGGAGTGCAGTGGCGCGGTCATGGCTCGCTGCGGCCTTGACCTCCTGGGCTCAGGAGATCCTTCTGCCTCAGCCTCTCGTTGGGACCACAGGCACACACCACGACACCTGGAATCCCAGCACTTTGGGAGGCCGAGTGACTTCCTGTGTTGAAAAATTTTTTGTAGGCTGGGCGTGGTGGCTCATGTCTGTAATCCCAGCACTGTGGGAGACCAAGGTGGGCAGACTGGAGATCGAGACCATCCCGGCCAACATGGTGAAACCCCGTCTCTACTAAAAATAACAAAAAAGTTAGCTGGGTGCTGTGGCGCACGCCTGCAGTCCCAGCTACTCGGGAAGCTGAGGCAGGAGAATCGCTTGAACCCAGGAGGCGGAGGTTGCAGTGAGCCGAGATCGCACCACTGCACTCCAGCCTGGACAACACAGCGAGAATCTGTCTCAAAAAAAAAAAAAAAATTGTGGAGACAGGGTCTCACTATGTTGCGTAGGCTAGTCTTGAACTCCTGGGCTCAAGCGATCCTTCGGCTGTGGCCTCCCAAAGTGCTGGGATTATAGGAGTGAGCCACCATGCCTGGACACAGTGTGTCTGATTTTTTTTTTTCCTACTAATTTTTTTTTTTAAAGAAGTGAGATGAGGGAGGAGCGGTGTGGCTTGCACCTGTAATCCCAGCACTTCGGGAGGCTGAGGTTGGCAGATTACCTGAGCGCAGGAGCTCAAGACTAGTCTGGACAACATGGTGAAATCCTGTCTCTACAAAAAATTTAAAAATTAGCAGGGCGTGGTGGTGTGTGCCTGTGGTCCCAGCTACTCACTCAGGAGGTGGGAGGATCTCTTGAGCCTAGGAGGTCAAGGCTGTGGTGAGCTGTCATCAAGCCATTGCACTCCAACCTGGGTGATAGAGCAAGACTCAAAAAAATAAAGTAAAAAAGAAGTGAGACGATTTAAGGCAAAACATACCTGTATCTTCTATGATGTGTTTATGATCCAGCTGTTTTCTTATGGACATCTGGAAGCTGTCACCTCAATATCATGCTGTGCAATGGCACGGTCTCAGCTCACTGCAACCTCCGCCTCTCAGGTTCAAACAATTCTCCTGCCTCAGCCACCCGAGTAGCTGGGCTTACAGACGCACACCAACATGCCCAGCTAATTTTTGTATTTTTGTAGAGATGGGGTTTCACCATGTTGGCCAGGCTGGTCTTGAACTCCTGACCTCTGGTGATCGCCTGCCTCGGCCTCCCAAAGTGCTGGGATTACAGGCATGAGCCACCGCGCCTGGCCCTATTAACCATTTTTAAGTCTACAAGTCGGTGACATTTAGCACATTTACAATGTTGTGTGTCCTCCACCTCTCTAGTTCAAAACTTTTTTGCACCACAGAGGAATGCGTCGTTAACAGATCACTGCCTGTTGCTCTCTCTCCTGTCCCTTGGTGACTTGAATCTACCTTCTGTCTCTGTGGGTTCTCCTTTCCTGGATATTTCATATGTGTGGAATCATATAACATGTGGCCCTTCGTGTCTGGCTTCTTTCCGCAAGCATGCATTTGTGATTCATCTGAGTTGTATTATGGATTAGTATTTCATTCCTTTGTATGGCTCAGTCATGTTCCATTGTTTATGTAGACCACATTCTTCATCCGTTCATCTGCTGATGGACGTGTGGGTTGTTCCCATCGTCTTGGTGCTTAGGAATAGTGCCACTGTGGACATTGTGTGTAATTCTAGGGGGACATGTTTTCATTTCTCTTGGATGTATACCTAGAAGTGAGCTGGCAGGGTCATCAGGTCACTGCTTAACTTATGTGAAACACCATCTTTTTTTTGTGGCTGCACCATTTTAATTCTCACCAGTGATGGACAAGCTTTCCAGTTTGTTCACATCCTTGCCAACACTTTTATTTTTTAATACCCATAATAGTGTGAAATGGTATCTCATTGTGGCTTTGATTTTCATTTTCTTAATGACCAGTGATGTTGAATATTTGTTCATGTGCTTGTTGGGCCATTTGTATATGTTTGGAGAAATATCAGTTCATGTCCATTGCTTTTTTTAAATTGGGTTGTTTGGTTTTTGTTGTTGTTCTTTATATATACACATGCACAGTATACAGTGTGTGCGTGTGTTGGGGTGTGTGTGTATATTCTGGATACTGGACTCTGAGCAGATGTATGATTTGCAAATGTTTTCTCCCATTTTGTAGGTTCTTTTTAGTTTCTTGATAGTGTCCTTTGAAGCACAGGATCAGACGTTTTTAATTCTGATGAAGTCCAGTTTCTTTTTTCTTTTCAAGACACTATCTCCCTCTGTCACCCAGGCTGGAGTGCAGTGGCACAATCACAGCTCACTGCAGCCTCAACCTCCCAAGCTGAAGTGATCCTCCCAACCTCAGCCTCCTGAGTGGCTGGGACCACAGGTACGCGCCACCACGCTTGGCTGATTTTTTGTACTTTGTGTAGAGATGGGGTTTTACCATGTTTCCAAGGCTTATCTTGAACTCTGGGCTCAAGTGATCCTCCCATCTCTGCCTCCCAAAGTGCTGGGATTCCAGGTGTGAGCTGCTGCTGCCCAGCCTGGTTTTATTTTTTCTTTTGTTGCTGATGGTTTTGTGTCAGATCTAAGAATCCCTTACCAAATCCGAGGTCATGAAGACTTGCCCTTAAGTTTTCTTCTACGAGTTTTATATTTCTGGTTCTCATATTTAGGTCTCTGATCCATTCGAGTTAATTTTTTGTATACAGTATGAGGTAAGGATTTGTAGGTGAATATTCAGTTGTCCCAGCAGCATTTGTTACAGAGATACCCTATCCCCTCAAATGGTCCTGATGCCTTGTGGATGTCGGTTGGTTTTATGCAGTGGGAGCGTTGCAGTGTGAAGGCGTCTTAAAGAAGGCCTAAATCTAGAAGGATTTACATAGGCACTGGAATGGTGATCCGTCTTCCCAGGCTAGAGTTTTTGTTGTCAGCTACATGTGTGGGCTGTTTTTCACGGGATATCTTGGCCTTACTGTAAATTCTCATCACCCTTATTGTAAACTTGTCTCTGTCAGGATTTCTCTGTGACGTCCATGTGCTGGGGCTGTACTGCTGATGAACAGGAAGTGGCAAAGGTTGATGGCTGAGCTCTGCGACAGCTCCCACCAGGATTTTAACATCGTTGTTGGCATTTTGTGAATTTTTTGAGTAGGGCAGAAGGTAGCCCTGGGAATCTTAAACTGCTGTTTTGAGTTTCAACAGATCTGCTTTGGAAGACTTCAAAGATTTACCACAATATAAGTCGTAGTAGCTTAAGACCTGAAATAGAATAAAACTGTGGTGTTCCAAGACTTCCCTGTTTATCCGGGGATGCACTTAAGTTATATACTAACCTAATCATCACACAGCTCTGGGAAGCACTAGTACCGTTGCTATCAGCATCTTACCGCAGGGGAAACTGAGGCTCAGAGGTGTGGAGTAATTGATGAAAGGTGCACAGCTGGCAGGTGGCATAGTGAGGGCTGGTGCCAGTTACTCTCAATCCATGGTCTTTCCTCTGTGCTTCGCTGCCTCCCGGGTGTCTGACATCACGTGGATTTAAGCCCCACTCTCCCAATTTTTTTTTTTTTTTTTTTTTTGAGACATAGTCTGGCACTCTCGCCCAGGCTGGAGTGCAGTGGTGCAGTCTTGGCTCACTGCAGCCTCTGCCTTCCGGGCTCAAGCCATCCTTCCACCTAAGCCTCTTGAGTAGCTGGGACCTTAGACACACACCACCACACCCGGCTAATTTTTGTAGAGATGGGGGTTCACCATGTTGCCTAGGCTGGTCCTGGAACTCCTGAGCTCAAGTGATCCACTCACCTCAGCCTCCCAAAGTGCTGGGATTACAGGTGTGAGCCACCACGCCGGGTTTCTCTCCCAGTTTTTTAAAAAATATTTTAACTTTTATTTTAGTTTCAACGGTACATGTGCAGGTTTGTTATATAAACGTATTATTCAGTGGTTTGGTGTACAGTTTATTCCCTCACCTGGGTATGTACTGTAGTACCTGACAATTTTTTTTGTTTGTTTTTCCTGATCCTCTCCCTTCTCCCACTCTCCACCCTCAAGTAGGCCGCAGTGTCTGTTGTTCTCCTCTTGTGTCCATGTGTTCTAATGGTTTAGCTCCCACTTATAAGTGAGAACATGTGGTATTTGGTTTTTCTGTTCCTATGTTAGTTTTCTAAGGATAATGACCTCCAGCTCCATCCATGTTCCTGCAAACGACATGATCTCATTTCATTTTATGTATACATGGTATCCCATGGTATATATGTACATTTTCTTTATCCAGTCCACCATTGGTGAGCATTTAGGTTGATCTCATGTCTTTGCTATTGTGAATAGTGCTGCGATGAACACACGCATGCATGTGTCTTTATGGTAGAGCCATTTACCTTCCTTTGGGTAGGTAATCCTGGTTCATTTGGTTTTTTTTTTTTTTTGAGACGGAGTCTCGCTCTGTTGCCCAGGCTGGAGTGCAGTGGTGAGATCTCAGCTCATAGCAAGCTCCGCCTCCCAGGTTCACGCCATTCTCCTGCCTCAGCCTCCTGAGTAGCTGGGACTATAGGTGCCTGCCACCATGCCTGGCTAATTTTTTGTACTTTTAGTAGAGACGGGGTTTCACCATGTTAGCCAGGATGGTCTCAATCTCCTGACCTCGTGATCTGCCTGCCTCGGCCTCCCAAAGTGCTGGGATTACAGGCGTGAACCACCACACCCGGTTAACCCCAGTTGTTTATAAATTGTTGAATGGAGAGAGTACCTTTTTTCAGGCACTCAGAGGACTTTATCTTACTTACTTTTATGATAAAATAATTAAGAGCCCAAACTATTAGTCCTATTTTATTTTATTTTATTTTTTTGACTTTTTACAAATTATTACTTTTAACAAAGAAAGCAAAAGTGGATCTTATTTCCATAAAATAAAGGTTTATGTTGACAATTAAAAACTGGACATGCACACGATTAGAAAGTTCAAACGACACGAAAATGTATACTTCTCCCCAAAGGAAACGACTGTGAACAGTTTCTTGTGACTGTTTTAGAAAATTGAAATTTATACATACATATGTATCTCTTCTTATTTGTGAAAAGAATATACTAGTATTACTATAATTTTTTTATTTTTATTTTTATTTTTTGAGACAGAGTCTCACTCTGTTGCCCAGGCTGGAGTGCAGTGGCAAGATCTTGGCACACTGCAACCTCCCCTTCCCAGGTTTCAGCTGTTCTCACGCCTCAGCTCCCCGAATAGCTGGGGTTACAGGCGTGTGCCACCATGCCTGGCTAATTTTTTGTACTTTAGTAGAGATGGGGTTTCACCATGTTGACCAGGCTGGTCTTGAACTCCTGGCCTCAAATGATCTGCCTACATCGGCTTCCCAAAGTGCTGGGGTAACAGGCATAAGTCACAGCTCCTGGCCTATTAGTCCCATTTTTTAGAAGATGCAGTTGAGAAATTGTGGTAGAAGACCCACCTTCAGGCAGCTCTGGGTCAAGATGTCAATCAAAGTCATCCGATGAGAAACTATTTTCCCCCTGTACTTAAGGTAAGAGTAGCAAATGCCGCCAACCACAAAAGTCACAGCAAGTTGCTGCCACATTCTTTATGGTGATGGTGTCAGGAATTCTAGATGGAGGGAAGCATAGTCACTCCGTGTCAGGTGGCCAGGACTGAAAATATCCAATGCAGTTGTACCAGTTTTAAATACCACGCATTCAGAGAAGGTGGCAGAGGTCCTGATCCTGGAGTATTGGCTGCTTTGAAAAGTATGTATGGGTCGCCTCTGTTTTTTAAGACACCTCAGCCCTGGGCATGAGCTGCCAAACACAGTGCATGCCCCTCACCTGCTCAGGATAGGAGACTCCGCTGGACTGGCTTCCCTGCTTGTGAATAGGAAGGTGCTGTGAACAGTCAGTATCTACAGAACC
The DNA here is from genome assembly GCF_000001405.40 of Homo sapiens. Lineage (NCBI taxonomy): Eukaryota > Metazoa > Chordata > Mammalia > Primates > Hominidae > Homo > Homo sapiens. The sequence goes on along the minus strand of NC_000017.11, from coordinate 21,021,309 downwards.
TCACTGTGTTTAACTCTGCCCTCCAGCCTTCCATTGTGGTTTTTAATTCAACTTGGTTTCTCCTCCCTCCTTTCTCTCCTCAGCCATTGATCTGATGTACGGAGGCATCTACTGTTTTCTGTGCCAGGACTACATCTATGACAAAGACATGGAAATAATCGCCAAGGAGGAGCAGCGAAAAGCTTGGAAAATGCAAGGTTTGGTTCCACCTCAGTTTACCTGCTTGATCCTGCAGTTCCCTCATGTCCATCAAGGGCAGACCCAGTAGGAGAAAGAGAAGTACCTAGGTGGGAAGTGGCAGGCTGGTGGGAAGAGGCCGTCCCCACCTTCCCCTAAGGCCCACAGTGGAGTCAGCTGAAGCTCTGCATGACAGGGGAGGTGGCTAGTGTCGAGGCATGCATAGCTGCCCGTGTGCTTGGGACCACTTCCAGGGTGCTTCCCTTGCAGGTCCCCCATGGGCCTGCAGCTGGGCCAAGGGAACAACCCCAGCATTACTTAAGCTCTCCCAGGGCGCACCTGCAGATGTGGGGCTGAACGAGTGTGGCGAGGTCACACCTCTCGGGGACAGGTGACTCCGTATCTGGACATCCCTGAGTGGTTTGCCCTCAGCTCTGCCGAATTCTAGCAAGCGATCTCTTTGCAGTAATGTTATATGTAAACATACCTCCTTCCTCCCAGGAGAGCAGACTATTTTCGGATCAAGTTGTGGTAGAATCTCTTTTAAAACTCTGGACTGTTTGGGTGATGTTAAATCCATGTCAACAGCGTGCACCCACCAGATGGAAACTAGACCCACCAGATGGAAACTAGACCCACCAGAAGGAAACTAGGAGAGTCTCCCAGCAGCCCCACTGCACAGTCAGATCCTTGCCATCTTGTGAGCTGCCCTCACGGCTCTCGCACCAGTGTGGGTTTTGCACTTGCCGTCGCCACCGTGTGGCCACACACACTGGTTATTGGCTACACAGAGTGAGAGGAGCAAACATGCAGTCATTTTCTTTATTTTTTATTTCTTCTTGGCTTCCCTGAGTTTTTTTTCCTTTTTTTTTTTTTTTTTTTTTTTTTGGTTTTTGATTCTGACAGATGCTCATAGTGGTTGACAGTGATAGTGACATAGTGACAGGTGTGGTTTACCCCAGTTGACAGGTGAGCATCTGATCTCCCTGGTAGCAAAGCCATCACTGTTTGCAAAGGAAACATATGAACCTGACACCTGTTTTACATTCTTGCCTTGATTACTCTCCATTGAAAACACCCCAGTGTTTTGAGAAGGGAAGAATAGCAACAGGGGCTCTTTCAGTGAGCAGAATTATTTGTGTTTAACAAGTCTTCTCTGGAGAGCAATCTCTGACTTGTGTTCGCTGTTCTTTTCCCTCTCAGAAATTTAATAACATTGTGACTAAGTGTGGGTGTATTATTCTGTGCAGAGCACTTAAAGCACGGGCCTAAGAAATGTATGTCCAGGATTAAAATGGAATTCTTCTAGAATCATTTTATAATTCTGTCTATCCAACATGCTGTGTCTTTTAAAGTATTTTGAAGTATTCAGAAATGTTGGTTGGCATGGAACAAGTACTTCTGAGCGCATAGGGTGTGCGTTGAATGGAATACTATGCCAATTAGCATTTACCACCACTCTCTGAATATTTTGTGGCACACACGTTTTTAACTGTTGGATCTATCTTAGTTTGGTAACTCGACGCTGAGTTTATGCTATTTCAGTTTGCTGAAAAGTGCAAGCTCTCTCCTTCAATTTCACTTGTTTGCGGGAGAATCCTTCATGTAAGTTCCCATTGGTGCTGATGCTGCCATCTCTGTGCTGAAGGATGGAAGACATTTGAAAAACAACTGTTTTGGCATTGGCGTTGGGGTAGTTTTGACTGGAGGTGCTGCTTTTCTTGCAGGAAACGTAGCTCACATCCTCATACCCTCTGTGAGAAGCTCCTTTAAGTGTTGTGTGTAGCCCCTCTCAGCACAGTAGAGTTTGAGAAAGCCCTGGTGCTGTGGATGTTGCTCACTGAAATGCACCCTGACAGACAGCATAGCGCCACAGCTTTTATGTGTAAACACACTTGATGTGAAAATCTAGCTAATAGCGCTTGGAACTGTCCTTCATCTGCTTAGGCGTTGGAGAGAAGTTTTCAACTTGGGAACCAACCAAACGGGAGCTTGAACTGCTGAAGCACAACCCGAAAAGGAGAAAGATCACCTCGAACTGCACCATAGGTGGGTGGAGCGTGTCGTCACTCTCAGCTAGGCTTCTTTCCAGGGTTTAAAAGTAAATACAGAATTGTGGGTTTCTTAAGTCCACATGATTCTGTTGAAGCCCTGCATAACTGTCACTCATCAATGTGCTCAGCAACCAGCTCTTGAGCACCTGTTCTCTGCAGGGACCTGCAGTGGGCTTGGGGCGCAGAGTGATGCGTAGCAACAGCCCTGCCCTCACAGCCTTCAGCGTCTGTGTGGGTAAAGGGACTCAAGTTGATTTTGGCCAGGGTGAGGCTGGGCACAGTAATCTTCAGGGAGAGAAATGATGTGTGTGAGTGTAAGTGTTCGCTGAATTTTCTACAAATTGAGGGAATACCCTTTAAAACTTTTTCTTTTTCTTTTTTGAGACAGAGTCTTGCTCTGTTGCCCAGGCTGGAGCACAGTTCACTGCACCCTCTGTCTCCTGGGCCCAAGCGATCCTTCCACCTCAGCCTCCCAAGTAGCTGGGATTGCAGGTGCACACCACCATGTTTGGATAATTTTTGTGTTTTGCGTAGAGACATCTCACCATGTTGCCCAGGCTGGTCTCGAACTCCTGGGCTCCAGTGATCCTCATGCCTTGGCTTCCCAGAGTGCTGGGTTACAAGTATGAGCCCCTGCCCTGGCCCTAGAACATTTTTAAAAACCTGTTTTGTTTGTTCATTAGGCTTCACTCTGACCTGGCCTGTTGTCGTAGAAACTATATTTGTGTAATTCTGTCAAAGCATACAATGGCTGAAGTGGGAGGGGTCCATGGTGGTGGACATTCTTCAATACCGTTCATGTAAAAGTGGCATAAAAACTAGCAGAATGCGATATCTCATCGTGTTCTGGCTTGAATGAATGAATAAAAGAAAATGAGTATGTAGAGGTAGAGGAAGCCGCTGGGATCCAGCGACACCTGTGGTTCAGCACACAGGTAACTCCTGCTCTCTGGTGATTTGTGTCCAGGTCTGCGTGGGCTGATCAACCTTGGGAACACATGCTTCATGAACTGCATCGTGCAGGCCCTGACCCACACGCCACTTCTGCGGGACTTCTTCCTGTCTGACAGGCACCGCTGTGAGATGCAGAGCCCCAGCTCCTGTCTGGTCTGTGAGATGTCCTCACTGTTTCAGGAGGTGAGCGCCATTGACTTCTGCAGGGGAACATTTCTGTTACTTTGTTTTCACCTTCAAAAAAAAAATTTAAGGTGGACCATGATAAAGGAAGATACATTTAGAACCTTTTGTAGTAAGTTAATGTTTAATATACATGTCTATTATGGAAAACACAGTTTTCCAAAAAGGGAAGACCTGGCGTGATTTTTGGGGACGCACTGCTGACTCAGAACAAGGAGAAGCCCTTTGAGAGGCTTGTGGCAGAGACTTCCCTGGTGGGTGACATTTGTCTCTAAAGACGGGTGATTCTCCCCCTTCCTCTTCCTCCATGGTCTACCTTCCTGGCTCAGAAAGGCACGCATGTGTCACCCTCCTGTGTCCTCCTGGTATGCGAGTCTCCTCCACCGCCAGGTCTCTCTAAGCATGCCCCATCAGAGCCTCTGTCCTCATGAGCTACGCGCTGCACGTTGGCTGTTCCTGTGGGCTGCACGTGTGGCGTTCCTGTCCACTTCTGTCCCCGGCATCAGAGCATGGCAGCGTTCAGAGCAAGGCGTTCACGGCTGCCGCCTCAGCCCTCACCGGCTCCGTGACCTAGACATGCTTCTCAGAGCTGAAGCAGCTCAGTTACCTCAACTAATAAGCAGGCTGGTGCCTGTTCTTCAGGTGCCTTGCACAGGAGCCAGCCAACAGCCCTGGCCTGTTCCCATTCGTAACCTCTGCGAGAGATGCAGCCACGCCAGCTCACTCATGTCTGTCTGGTCACTGGTCGCTTTTGTGGGACAGCCACAGAGTTGAGCAGTTGGACAGAGGCTATCCAACCTGCAAAGCTGAAATTATTTACTGTCCAAGCCTTTCAAAAACAGATTGCCAGCCTCTGGTCGAGCCTAACCGATTTCCTCAAAGTACCTGCAATGTGCCATAACTGCTGGGGACACGGCCCAAATAGGAGAAAGGAGGGTGCAGCTGGGAAGTTGGTGGGTGGTTGTATCACTGACTTTAGTGATAAGCTCACTTGTGTTAGATTGTTTTTAGACTCCGGCTTGTTAAGGTGTAAATTACAGTCACACCCACCTTCTAGCCTATAGATAGATGAGTTTCGACGAATGCATAGTTGTGTAACTGCTGCTACTCAAGATGAAGAACTGTTACCTCTCCGAACTCCCTCGTGCCCCTCCGAAGTCAACCCCCAGTCCCCAGACCCTGGTAGCTGCCGATCTGTCTTCGGTCCCTTGAGTGTCCTTTACCAGCGCATCATACGGATGGATGCATGCAGGAAGTAGCCTTTCTGAATCTGGCTGTCCCTACTTAATGTAATACTGGGTGGATTCACCCGTGTCTTGCGTGCATCCATGATGTGTGCTTTCGATGTCTGAGTTGGGTTCCATTATGTAGATGGGTTATGGTTTAGTTGTCTGTTTCCCAGTTCAGACACATTTGGGTGGTCTGTGGTTTTGGGTTTTTTGATGAGAAATAAAACTGCCCTGAATTCTGTATTTGCACAGGCAAGACCCCTCTGTGGGTTCTGACCTGGGGAGGAAGCCGTGGGATGGAAGGTGTGCTGCTGGGTCTGCGGCTGGAGTTGAGCTGTTGGAGAGGACTGGCTGGCAAGCCCTCAGCTAATTGCCATTAGCCTCAGAGGCAGAGAATCCTGTGGCTGATGCTGGTGAATTCTGCATAATCACAGTGATGTGCTTCCCTTTGCGGAGGTGCTGGTGTCCATGGGCCTGAGTGGTTTGGCTAGTGCTTTGAGGAAACTAGTATTGGGCAAATCGAGTCACTTTTATTTGCATGTGATCTCATAGTAGCAAGTCATAATTCATTTTTTAGGCTTATATGTGGAAAACTAGATGGTAGAAAGGAAAAAATTCATATGAGGACTCGAAAAGTCCAGTGAGCCCAGATAAAAATAGACTTTGCAAAAAGTAGAAAAGTAAAATCCAAACATTTGTGTCAAATGAGCCACAGCCAATGGTAGGCATCTGATAAAGGTTTTGATTGTGTGTACTCTGTGTTCAGAGTCTACATTTATTCCTGACAAGGTTTCCTTCCCCGCCCTCTGGCAGTTTTACTCTGGACACCGGTCCCCTCACATCCCGTATAAGTTGCTGCACCTGGTGTGGACCCACGCGAGGCACCTAGCAGGCTACGAGCAGCAGGACGCCCACGAGTTCCTCATCGCGGCCCTGGACGTGCTCCACCGACACTGCAAAGGTGGGCCCTGGGCTCTGCACCCTCCACCAGGGCAGGATGTTTTCCTTGAAGGGGAAGGAAGCAAAGCGAGTGTATGCACTCGTGCAAAAAGGGGCACAGGTGACACATTCCATTGTTTTGTCATCATAGCCCTTGTCGTCATTTGTTTCTGAAGTCACCATAACTAATGACCTCAGAGAGGCTCCTCCTAGTTTATTTTTAAGAGGCGAGGAAGTAGTTCCAGCAGTATGACAGGTCCTCAGTGACCGATCACAGTGAACAGCAAACTCTTGGAGCCCTCTTGGGCCTGTGCTTTGAGGCCCCTGCCTGCCCTGGCATTTCTGGGACCCTGTGGGTTATCAGGCCTGAGGCTTCTGGACATCCCCCAAACACAACTTAATCACCCAACTGTCTCCTTCCCATTGGGGACTCTCCAAAAGGACTGATGGTTGCTCTGAAATAGCCAGAGAGCTGGGACACAGGACGAGCAAAGCTTCTCTTGGGGTCTCATTGGACCTGGGCCATCTCCCCCAACATAGTCCCACAGCCTGGCCCCAGGGTGGTACCCTGATGATTTTTCAGAGTTGTGTGGTGTTGGTAGTTGGCAGGGGCAGCTCTTAGCGCTGGAGGTGGGAGGCTGGGAATGAATGACTTGAGCCAAGATCGGCTCCTCCCCACTCCTCATGGTGGAGATCCCAGTGTGAGGGACCTGCAGCTGAAGTCTATCCATACAGGCAGAGAGACTGAGAGGTGATTCTCAGATGAGTGTGGGCTGGTCACTTGCAGGTCTTCCTAAAGCCCGTGCTGGCGTTTCTGATTCAGCAGATCTGTGGGGGGCAGGGGCTTCTTCACTCTTAATCAGTTCCCAGCTGATGTTGATGCCGCTGGTTCAGATGCCATACTCTGAGAACCCATGCGCTCAGGTCACAGGGCACCTGGCTGCTTGTGAGTTTCCTGTGGTCTCTGGGCTGGCACAGCTAGTTGTAGCCGATATCCTATCAGTTAATTTTAACTTGGAGTCTTTTAGAGAACAGAGTCCTGTTCTGACGGTTCACCGAGTTGAACAGCTTGGTGGGCTGGCCTTCCCATCGCTTCTCATCCGTCTCAAGGCTGTGCACCCGGGCCCTAGGCGCTTACGTACAACCTATGGGTTCTGAGATCACAGCCCAGAAACAACCCACAGTTGAGCTAAAATGGCTGGTTTTGGTCAAATGTGACTTTGGGTTCTGTTTTCTTTTGGTACTTACTTTTTTTCCTCTGAAAAACTACGTGATCCTTTTAATTCTTACCTAGAAATCAAAGGAAAGTTACTTAGTAGCTTAGGTAGAATTTCATGTCCTAGTATGATTTATAAGAGAGGAAAGAGCCACTGTGGAAGTGACTATGCTGTTACCCCAAGCACCTAGTGAGAATAACGAAGAGCCTTCTGTAAGCAGCAGAAAGATGTTCTAAAAATCACTTGTTCAAAAATGCATTGCTGTTAAATGTTCACATGACAAAATGTGACCTCTGACGTGCTTCTGACAGAATTCCCTTGGAAATGTCTGAAAAGAAATGTAAGGTTCTTCTGTTTAGAAACCTGGTTGCCAGAGCTGTTCAGCGAGGTGGCCTGGCCACATGGCCTTGGTTACGTGCATTTTGTCCTTGTGGCCTTCACGGCATCTTTCTGTTCATCTTTTGTTTTGTTTTGTTTTGTTTTTGAGTCAGAGTCTCGCTCTGTCGCCAGGCTGGAGTGCAGTGGTGCGATCTCAGCTCACTGCAACCTCCGCCTCCCAGGTTCAAGTGATTCTTCTGCCTCAGCCTCCTGAGTAGCTGGGACTACAGGCGCCCGCCACCATGCCCAGCTAATTTTTTGTATTTTTAGTAGAGACGGGGTTTCACCGTGTTAGCCAGGATGGTCTCGGTCTCCTAACCTCGTGATCCGCCCGCCTTGGCCTCCCAAAGTGCTGGGATTACAGGCGTGAGCCACCGCGCCTGGCCATTCTGTTCATCATTCTTTGCGCCTTCCTGTATGGATATTCTTGTCCTCTGAATTTTGTCCCATGAATTTGAGATCCCTCTGGGAAGCATTTTTCTCTCTAATCTTAAACCTTCTGCTCTCAGAAGACTTAGTGGCCCTTCTCTATTCCTCTGTCATGATTCAACGTCTTTGAACTGTGATGTATATACAGGTGTCCTCGTGCCCTGTCCCCACTGTCTAGTGAAGTTATGTAGAATATGTATTCCACACACGAATTAAGTTCTGCTACTTAAGTTTCTTTTTCACAGATCTGCACACATGGATATGAATGAAGTGTGTATTGAATAGAGAGGGTGGGAGTGGCACTTCCAGATGCAACTGACTGGAAGACACGCTGTCCCCTGGGGGCTCTAGCTGATGAGGACAGCCTGTGTCCTGCGGTGTCACTTTCTGAACTTGGGGCACCATGATACCTACTCAGGGAGGGAGGTTGCTGGGGCTTCCCCGGGTGTACCTGGCCCACCATATGTTCAGCTGTCTCACTGGAACAATATTGATTCAGTCATTCTTTATATGATAATGGGAATCGATTATTCTGCTCAGTCACTGGGCATTAGGTGGGTTTTCTTGGCAAGACTGAAGCTGTGGGGCTCTTGTTAGGGAATGAGAAAAAGGAGCATTGAAAATCCAAGTGCTGTGATTTCTCGTCATATTAAAATAACAAGGACACCCTCTGCTAAAATGAGGAGTGTCCTCACATGGCCTTTTAAAGCGTTGGCCCTGGCTCCCCCAGGCTTCTGCAGGGTGAACTGCTCTTCCCTTAGAGACTCCCCATATTTGGGGAGACACTAATCCCAGAGCCGTGGTCTGTCTCCAGGTGATGACAATGGGAAGAAGGCCAACAACCCCAACCACTGCAACTGCATCATAGACCAGATCTTCACAGGCGGGTTGCAGTCAGACGTCACCTGCCAAGTCTGCCAGTAAGTGAGAGGCTGCGTGCTCGGCAATATCAAACCCTCTGGGGCCGTACTGACATCCTCCCAGTCTCCAGAGCTGTGTGTGCTCTGAGAGGTCTTTAAGGAGGCTATGAGATAAATGATTAATAGACGCCATGAGAGCGAAGGTTGTGGGGTGGGGGTGCTTCCTCTTGGGGAGGTCGTAGGGCAGGTGTCCCCTCGGGATGCGAGCCCTTCGTGTTGAGGTCTTGGCTGTTGTCTACAGCCAGCAGTGTGTTCTTGGAAGCTTCCCCTACCATTTTGCATCTTACAGTCCTTGACCAGGGACCAAGTGAAAGAGCCCTCTTCAAGAAGGCGTGGATCATGCATGGTGGATTGTTTTTCTACGTGCTTCGAAGTGTGTTAGTTTTCATTATTTTATGGTTTCTGGTTCCATTTTCTGATGTAGTGGCCCTAATTCTTCTCAGATGTGGTCTCTGCTTAGAGCCTCAAGTGTTGAGTGCAGGGAGAATCCATTGCTTTGTTAGGTCAGGGGACCCTCTCACCCAACCTCAGTGCATGCTACAGGTTTTTTGTTTTTGTTTTTGTTTTTTTCAGGCATGGGGTCTTGTGTATGTTGCCCAGGCTGGCCTTGAACCCATGGGCTCAAGCGATCCTCCCTCCTTAGCCTCCCAAGTAGCTGGGACTACAGGCATGGGCCACCGTGCCTGGCTCTGTTCTTTACTTCAGTTGAAGTTTAAAAACCCTGGACATGATCCACCGAAATTATTTCAGAACCCGAAATGGACTGTCACTTCTAAACTGCATAAGACGAGCAAATATCGGGAAAGGCCAGTGCTGCCTGTGTCACGGGGGCCATTTTCTATAAGGAGCATAGACCGTTTGGGGCCTTGTCTCTGAGTATTAGAAACCGAGTTTGCTCTGAGCAATTTGGACCTCCTCGCTGTCCCTTAACTACTGAATTCCATTAGTAGGAGATTGTCTCAAGATTTAAATCCTGTATAAATATCGAGAGTAAATTTCCCAGTCTGCAAGTTTTCATTTTTTATATTGTTAAATAAATTTCTAGCAAGGAACTGGCCTTGTGAAATGCAGCATTGACTGTCCAGTGCAGGCCACCGGGCCTGGCCTGGGCACGCTCTGTGAAATGTGCAGGGGTCTCCAGTGTTGCCTAGGGTCACAGGCCCCAAGTTCTAGATGCAGCTGAGATAGACCTGTGGATTCAGAGCCTCTGACAGGGCCCATGAGTTTATCCTCCTCCCAAGTCCCTCAGTGACTGTGATGGTCTCCAGACTGGGAAGTCCTTGCTTGAGGAGCGCCCCTCGCCTTCCGAGTTCACACACACCCCTCCCCAGGGCCACCTTGGGAGCCAGGACACGTTGGGTGTGAGCACTGCTGCTCTTGCTCCTGCCCCATCCCACCTGAGTGTCACTGTGACAAAGGGCACAGCGGGGAAGGGATGTGGGAACGGCTTCCACCCCGGGTTGCCTCTGGAGCTGGGTGGGTGTCAGTCCTCACAGCCATTGTTTTCCCTCTGCTTCCAGTGGAGTCTCCACCACCATCGACCCCTTCTGGGACATCAGCTTGGATCTCCCCGGCTCTTCCACCCCATTCTGGCCCCTGAGCCCAGGGAGCGAGGGCAACGTGGTAAACGGGGAAAGCCACGTGTCGGGAACCACCACGCTCACGGACTGCCTGCGACGGTGAGAGGCCTGCACCCACACGGCGGGGGCGTGTCTCCTGGCCAGAAGGCTGTGCTCCATCAGGACCAAAGCAGGGCTCTTTCACATGCCCAGGACAGAGCCTGGGCAAAGGTGCAGCATGAGCCTGGATTGGCTGCAGTCTCTTGTGCTAGTTTGTCCTTTGTTTTGGCCAGATGACTCAATATTTCTGTCCCCCAGCTTCGCACAGCACCAGGTGTCAGTGTCAGCAGCTGCTACTCCAACCTCCGCATGTAAATGAACCCAGAGCCAAACTGGCTGCTCCCTTAGCCCTTGCACTAATCACCTACCCCGGAGTGTGAGCTGAGATGCGCCCGGGCCTCTCCCCATGGTCCACGGCCTTCTCTGCACATGATTAAAACTTAGTTGTGATGTTCTGTACTCTTAGGGCTGTTTTTGAAATTGTGCATGTACTGCTTCATTTGGGATAAGTAATAATATTTACAAAGTGATTTTTTTTTTTTTTTTTGAGACAGAGTTGTGCTCTGTCGACCAGGCTGGAATGCAGTGGTGCGATTTCTGCTCACTGCAGCCTCTGCCTTTCAGGTTCAAGTGATTCTCCTGAGTAGCTGGGACTACAGGTGTGCACCACCACGCCTGGCTAATTTTTGTATTTTTAGTAGAGCGGGGGTTTTACCATGTTGGCCAGGCTAGTCTCGAACTCGTGATATCAGGTGATTCACCCACCTCGGCCTCCCAAAGTGCTCACAGGCATGAGCCACCACACCTGTGAGTGATTTTTAAAAAAAAATGTATTTAAGTAGCTGTAGCATACAATTGTAAAGACAGCAGAAAACCTTCCTAAAATTTGTCTATTATTTTATAGCCTTTGTTTTATTTGCATCAATTAAAGGTAATGCAGAAGAGTCCTTGTTGAGTGGAAGTATCCCTTAGAAGAGGTACGAGCCTTTGGTTTCTGTCTGGCTGCATAGTCAGCACGACCAAAGTTGCATGTTTATTTTGTTTTTTGAGATAGGGTCTTGCTCTTTCATGCAGGCTGGAGTGCAGTGGTGCCATCATAGCTCACTGCAACCTCGATCTCCTGGGCTCAGCCTCAGTGTCCAGGGCTCAGCCTTGGTCTCCTGTCTCGGCCTCCTGAGTAGTTGGGACTATAGGTGTGTGCCACCATGCCCAGCTGATTTTGTGATTTTTTTTTTTTTAATTTTTTTTTTTTGAGACGGAGTCTCGCTCTTTCTAGAGTGCAGGCTGGAGTGCAGTGGCGCGATCTTGGCTCACTGCAACCTCCACCTCCCAGGTTCACGTGATTCTCCGGCCTCAACCTCCCGAGTGGCTGGGATTACAGGTGCTTGCTACCATATCCGGCTAACTTTTGTATTTTTAGTAGAGACTAGGTTTCGCCACATTGGCCAGGGTAGTCCCAAACTCCTGACCTTAGGTGATCCGCCTGCCTTGGCCTCCCAAAGTGCTGGGATTACAGGTGTGAGCCAGCATGCCCGGCCAACCAAAACCTTTTTAAAGAAAGTCTTTGCAGCTAAATTAAATTTAATCATAAATTCCAATAAAATGAAAGCTTTGCCAAAACAGCAGGCCATGAGGTAGAAACCACACTTCACAAACTACAATGTGTGGGAAGCCTGTGTTGTTAGGAGAGACATGATGTGGTGCTGACTCCCGGGAAGGTGGAGGAGAGGTAGAGTGCACCCGGGTCCCCACTTTGTATTGCAAGCAAAGGCTCCTTTTCGAGTCCTTTGGAGAGCAGATCACAAAGCTAGCAACGAAACAGGTGCAGCTTTGCCCAGAGGCCCCCTCGTCTTGCCCTAGTTAAGATGGCAGAATTTCCAGAGCATAAATAAGGGCTTTCCATACCTGCTTGTGAAAAGAGTGAATTTTTTGCTGGTGTTTCAGCTTCAAAATTTGGCGTGTGCTTTGTTGAATCATCTGTTCTGCAGGTTTTGTCAGTGGCAGCTGACACCTGTGCCAGACACGCTTCTGATGCAGCCCTCCTACCTCCTGCCTCTGCACGGTCAGGAAATTACCTTTCCCAGTCCTCTTGCCTTTTTTTTTTTTTTTTTTTTTTTTTGAAATGGAGTCTTGCTCTTGTTGCCCAGGCTGGAGTGCAGTGGCACAATCTCGGCTCACTGCAACCTCCATCTCCCAGGTTCAAGCGGTTCTCCTGCCTCAGCCTCCTGAGTAGCTGGGATTATAGGCATGCACCACCTCGCCCGGCTAATTTTGTATTTTTAGTACAGACGGAATTTCTCTTATGTTGGTCAGGTTGGTCTTGAACTTCCAACCTCAGGTGATCCACCTGCCTCAGCCTCCCAAAGTGGTGGGATTACAGGTGTGAGCTGCCGCACCTGGCCGACCTCTCACCTCTCTACATTAAACTGCTTATGTTGAGATCATTGTAGATTCACATGCAGTTGTAAGAAGCCTTTAGGTACCCTTTACCCCGGTCCCCCGATGGTGACCTCCTCAGCACTGTGGTGCGACGCCCTGGCCAGGATTCAGACATTCATGCGGAAAGTACCCAGCATCTCCAGTGCCTCCTCCCTCACCACCCACTCTGTAACCGCAGTCACCCTGGACTCCTGCATTTCCATACGCCTGACAATTCCAGAATGTCATGTCAACTGAATGATATAACGGAACCCTTTGAGATTGGCTTTTCTTGCACATCCTAATTCTCTGGGGACGCATCCAGGGTACAGCTTGGGATCAGTAGTTCCTTCCTTTTTTGCTGCTGTCTCATACTCCATGGTACAGTGTTCCACAGTTTCTTTAATTATTCAGCCATGGGAAGAAACGGGGTGTTTCCAGTTTTGTGACTCTCGTGAGTAACATTCTGGTGCACATTTGTGGACAGTTTGTGTGTGAACATTAGTTTTCATTTCTCTGGCTCAAATTCAACTGCTGGGTCATATGGTACTTAGAAAATTATTACCATTTCCCCAGGCCTTTCCTGGAAAAAAAATATTTAAGATAAATATTCTGTAGAGACAGGCAGCAAAGGTGGACAACATTTTCTCTTTTTTTCATTGTTTCATTTTTAGTTGTAAGTGTATGTTTTTGGTAGGGAAATCAACCCAATGAAAGAGATAAAATACCTCTTTCCTCTCATTTTTCTGTCTCTTGCATCTCCCTTACCGCTCCTGTCTTTTTTGAACGCCTGTAGATTCACCAGACCAGAGCACTTGGGCAGCAGCGCCAAGATCAAGTGCAGCGGTTGCCATAGCTACCAGGAGTCCACAAAGCAGCTCACTATGAAGAAACTGCCCATCGTAGCCTGTTTTCATCTCAAAGTAAGTTTTCCAGAAAGCCAACTCTAATGGCAGACTTAGTTTTTAGTCCACAGTACGGTCCTCAGCCTTTTGGTTTGCTGTGCAGTTACATTTTTTATAATTGCAGCAAGCAGGAAGAACACCGAGGAAGGGAGGGTGTGAGGGAATTGTCCTCCCATCTGTGAATTGTCCTTTTGTCTGTGCTGCGGTAAACAAAATCAGTGGCTTCGCAGTGAAAGTAGAATGTGAGTTTTCTTGGGAGCAGAGTGGTTGTGAAGTTTTTATTACTTCTACCATTCCTCCAGCTACCCCCTCCTCAGGTTTTCTGTTTTATTTTAAGACAAAGGCCCTCAGCATGCAGATCTGGTCCAGGAGTTGGCAAGCTCTTTCTCTAAAGGCCCAGATAACTGAAGATGTCGAGCTCCACAGGCTGCGTGCGATCATACGATTCTCTGTTACATGTTCTTTGTTTCATTTCACCACCCTTTAAACATGGAAAACGCCCATTCCTAGCTTGCTGGCTGGAATGGGTGACTCCTGATCTAGGCAAAGGACTGTCTTCTGTCTGGTGAAAGGAACAATTTGTTCATTTTTGCTGCCATGGGCCACGGATCTTTGTTTTGTTTTCTGTGCTTTGCTGGGTTTGCTGTAAGATTACTTTTTGTACCCTTGGTGTTACCACTGAACAGTCCCATCATTTGAAGACTTGAACCCTGTAAATGAGGACTTGGGTGGATTGCCACTGTGTTTTTGAATCTGTAATTCTAGATGTAGCTACAAGGCAGTTCAATAAAATACAAAAGAGATAACACAGACACCTGTCATCAGAAGAAGGCCCTGAAGCTTCCAGTGACATTTCTGATCTTCTTTCCTCTTCCCTCTGTCCCCTTCCTATTTCTGCAGCGATTTGAACACTCAGCCAAGCTGCGGCGGAAGATCACCACGTATGTGTCCTTCCCCCTGGAGCTGGACATGACCCCTTTCATGGCCTCCAGGTATGTGGGGTTGTAGGCCCGTTCTGTGTCCTGAGGGGCTGTGATCCTATCAGGACAGGAATCCAGCTCGGAGCTCCTATTAAGATGACTGTTGGCCGGGTGCAGTGGCTCCCGCCTGTAATCCCAGCACTTCAGGAGGTCGAAGCGGGCAGATCATGAGGTCAACAGATTGAGACCATCATGGCCAACATGGTGAAACCCCGTCTCTACTAAAAATACAAAAATTAGCTGGGTGTGGTGGCAGGCACCTGTAGTCCCAGCTATTTGGGAGGCTGAGGCAGGAGAATCGCTTGAACCCAGGAGGTGGAGGTTGCAGTGAGCCAAGATCGCGCCACTGCACTCCAGCCTGGTGACAGAACGAGACTACGTCTAAAAAAAAAAAAAAAAATGACTGTCGATACTAATATAAACCCCACCTTCCCCAAATCTGTTTATCCTGATCTTAAGATACAGCACATGTTAATGAGTTGTTTTTCATCAGATACCCTGTTTTTGTTTTGAATTTCTCAACAATTATCAATCCACTTTCAAACCGGCAAAGTCCTCAAGGTGGGATCACAGCGAGAAGGCAACATTTTAGTTCGTGGAACAGATGTTGAAGTACAGGCAGACATAGTTGGTTTTGCAGTTGTAGATTGCATTTTCCTTTTCAAATCTGCCTATTCTGGGGTACTTGGAATTCAGCTGCTTACTAATGCATGAGACACATAGGAGTTTCCTGTGGTTCTGTGACAAATGACCAAAAACCTGGCGGCTTAAAATTAATTTCCTCACAGTTCTAGAGGTTGGAAATCTGAAATCAAGGTGTTGGCAGGGCTCCATGTCCTACAAGGGTCTTGGGGATTCCATTCCTCACCGCCTCCAGCTGCTGGTGGTTCCACGTGTTCCTTCTGTGGCTGTCACTCCCCTGGCTTCCGGGTCACATGGCCAGCTCCCCTGACTCTGTGTCCAGTTCCCTCTGCTTCTCTGTCATGACCGTGGTCATTGGCTTTAGGACCTAGGCAGATCATCCAGGAGGATCTCATCTCAACATCTTTACTTTGAGTCTCTGCAAAGACTGGTTTTACAAATGAGGTCCCAGTCTCAGGTTCTGAGGGTTGAGACGTGGATGTTGTTATTTGCAGGGTGTTATTTTTTGGTGGCCACAGTCCCAGCCCCAGCACCGTGGAAAGCATGTTGCTTTTTGGTAGTTAGCGGCCTCTTCCTGGTGTCCTCTCATGGCTGTCCCACCCCTGTGGCACACAGATGACCTCCTGAATAAAACAAGACCAGAGTCAGAGCTCCATATCATCAGTCTGACCACGATGGTCACGTACTGAGGGAGGTGACAGTACTGTTCTAAGGTCAGGGTCTCAAAGATCTTGGTGTTTCCTGCCAAACACAGCTGTAGGAAAATGCAGTAAATAATGTGCATGGCTTCCTGTTCCCAGCACTCCTCTCCCCCATCTCACCAGGGGAGGTGCTGGTCATGAAATAATGAGCAGCAATCTTTGTCCCTTTTGAGGAGGCACCTGCCTAGGTTGTAGAATGGATTCAGCGTACCCTTTCAAGCTAACCCTTTACATGTGGGAGGAAGAGCACCTTCACCATCTGCTTTGTCACAAACCAAACTCACATTCCTCCAGATCCAGCTCCCATTACCAGCCCTATTCAGGACCCACCTTGGAAGAACCAGGGGCCACGCCAGGTGGCCTCAGGACCCAGGTGTGCTCTGAGGCAGGGGCCTCCACAGCTTGAGCGTCAGTGTCCTCACGAAACATGGGGAGATTTCTGCCTGAAGCATAAAGTGCACCTCGGTGCAGCATCTGCATGGTCAAGCTTGGATAAGTGTTGGTTTCACGAGAGCCTTGTGTCTCTGGGCCTGATGATTTTAATGATGCTGAATCCTGCCGTTGTCTGTTACAGCAAAGAGAGCAGGATGAATGGACAGTACCAGCAGCCCACGGACAGTCTCAACAATGACAACAAGTAAGTGGTGCTTAGCGGTGTGGGTGTCCAGGGCCTCTGGCCAAGAGCTGGGGGTGGGCTCCTGTCTGCCTTGTAGGGCGCCCAGCGGATCCCCCGCCACTGACCTGCTTCCCGCTTGGCTGCCCGCAGCTCCACTATTGGCTGCCCGCAGCTCCACTAGGAAAGGCCGCTCCACGTGGTGCCACAAATGCTCCCTCCTGTTGGAGGAGCCCAGCCCCACTCTTGGCCTCTGGCAGGAGGGAGGTTCCATCTGGAAAGCTCGGTGTTCATTCTTCTTGCCTTGGGGTTGTAGAAAGTATGAAAGGCTGGGGTGTTCCAGGATCCCCACTGCTGACTGCAGTCACCACTCCCACTAGATGGAGTTCCAGGAAGCGCCTGGACCCGGGCTAGAGCCAAGGGGGGTGACCAGGCTCCCTTAGTTCCTGCAGCCTCCTGTGCATCAGCCTGAGGCCCTGGGGGTTGACAGGCCCACAGGCCTCCCGCTCCCTGCCTGGGCTGCCTGGTTTCTGATGGTGATGACCTCAAGTGACGGCATCAAGTCACCTGCGCCCTCCCTCTCCTTTGCTCCTGCACTAGGTATTCCCTGTTTGCTGTTGTTAACCATCAAGGGACCTTGGAGAGTGGCCACTACACCAGCTTTATCCGGCAGCACAAAGACCAGTGGTTCAAGTGTGACGATGCCATCATCACCAAGGCCAGCATCAAGGACGTCCTGGACAGCGAAGGGTGCGTCCTGTGGGGTGGGAGGAAGGCCCTACGGTGGCTACGGTGCTTCCCCTCCGGTATAGCTGAGACTAGCCCATGTCTGAGCCTAGAACCACTCGAAGGTGTTGACCTTCATTTGCCGAAGTAATGAAGCCTGTTCTGGATAGGATGCCAGCCTCGATGGGTGCTCAGGTGGGAGAAGAGGTGCCTGAGCAAAGGCCCTCTCTGGAGGCATTCCCTTAGCACAGAGAACGTCAGAGCAGTTGTTTTTTAACTGCGTGAACTGAACACATCAGTTCTTTTTTTTTTTTTTTTTTTTTTTGAGACGGAGTTTCGCTCTTGTTGCCCAGGCTGGAGTGCAATGGCATGATCTCAGCTCACTGCACCCTCTGCCTCCCAGGTTCAAGTCAGTCTCCTGCCTCAGCCTCCCAAGTAGCTGGGATTATAGGCATGCACCATCACGCCTGCCTACTTTTGTATTTTAGTAGAGATGGGGTTTCACCATGTTGACCAGGCTGGTTTCAAACTCCTGACTTCAGGCAATCCTCCTGCCTTGGCCTCCCAAAGTGTTAGAATTACAGGCATGAGCCACCGGGCCCGGCCCACATCAGTTCTTTATCAGCTCCTCTCCTTTCCAGTTTCATTCCTTCATGGCATAGAGAAACCTGTTGACCCTCCAGGGGTCAGGGGGACCCCAGCTGCCATGAACTCCCTGAGGGCTTTGCACTTCACATTCTGAGCAACACGGAAGCCAAGCCCTCTTGAGAGGTTTTATTTGGAAGAATCTGGGATAAAGGACAGCCTTCAGGGCGATGAGGTGGATCTGGACGGAGCCACTTGAAAACAGTGGGCTCTGCACAAGGGTGGGGCTGTCACAAGTGGGGGAGAGGCTGTGGGAGGTTGGGTGAGGCAATGGGTGACCTCGTGGCAGGTGGGGGTGGTGGTCGGGCTGCAGAGATGGGCAGGGCCAGTGCCACCAGCCAGTGAAGCACTCTTTCCTCCTTGCGGACTAAAAAGCCAAAACCATCAACTCGGGCCTGGCCGACCTGTGCAGAGCGCAGAGCACGTAGGCTTTTGTGTAGGGTGGGTTGTTCTGGCTCCTGTCTTAGGAGTTAGAGGTGAGCCTCCTCCCTCTCTCTGCCTCCACAGGTACTTGCTGTTCTATCACAAACAGTTCCTGGAATACGAGTAGCCTTATCTGCAGCTGGTCAGAAAAACAAAGGCAATGCATTGGCAAGCCTCACAAAGTGATCCTCCCTGGCCCCCCCCTCCCCCAAGTCTCCCGCCGCCTCCCCGGCCTGGTGACACCACCTCCCATGCAGATGTGGCCCCTCTGCACCTGGGACCCATCGGGTCGGGATGGACCACACGGACGGGGAGGCTCCTGGAGCTGCTTTGAAGATGGATGAGATGAGGGGTGTGCTCTGGGTGGGAGGAGCAGCGTACACCCGTCACCAGAACATCTCTTGTGTCATGACATGGGGGTGCAACGGGGGCCTCACAGCACAGAGTGACCGCTGCCTGGCGTTCCCCAGCACTCGGTGTGGAAAGGCCCCTACCTGCTGTAAGATTATGGGTCCATGAAAGCAGTAAGCTGGACACAGAGGTGTAGTGTGCGGGACAGAGGGCCTTGCAGATGCCTTTCTGTTGGTGTTTTAGTGTTAAAATACGGAGAGTATGGAACTCTTCACCTCCATTTTCTCAGCGGCTGTGAAGCAGCCTCCTAGCTTCGGAAGTACGGACACTACGTCGCGTTTTCAAGCGTGTCTGTTCTGCAGGTAACAGCATCAAGCTGCACGTGGAAGCATCTCGCGGTTTTCTAGAAACAGGCATTTTCTTATCCCTCTCCCGCTCCTTTTTCCACAAAGGTGAATTTCATAAATGTAATACTAGTAAAGTGAATGAATTACTGAGTTTATACAGAAATTTAGGTAACTTCTCCTTTAGTCTCAAGAGCGAGTCTTGCTTTTTAATGGGTGCCGTTTATGTTGCTGCCCGCCCTGTGTGCCTGGCTCCTCTGGGTGCCTTGGTGTCTGCTGGTGGCTGGCAGTGGGCGCAGCGGAGGAGAGTTGTGCTGCAGCTCATACGGTGTGTCTGTCATCTCAGTCTGGAGTAAATGCAGTGTCTGCCGGTGTCTGATGGGTTCTGTCCCTCGTATTTTCTTTGCCTTCTATCCCATTGCCTGGCTACCGCTGCCTGGCAGCCAAGGGTGTTGGTCGCGAAGCTGGAGTGGCCTCTGGTGGAGCCTGCATCTTGTCTCGTCTGCCTCTGCTTTACATTTGGTGTACTTTCGGGCGTGGTGGCAGTAAAATGACACCGTGATTGAGCTTGTCAGCAGAGCTGAAAGAGAAAGTAGAAGGATGTGCATTGTTTCTTGTAAGATATCTTGCATGTATCTGTGTATTCAAATTCAAACAGAGATGGTTTGTCCATTTGTCCACTGAGAAATTAGAAACTAGGGACAAGGGGGAGGAAAAGTACTGAAATACAGTTTATGAAGCAAGTGTGTCTCGGGCTGTGCTTGTCCCAGGAGCCCCAGCAGCATCTGAACTGAGGCTTCTTCAGTCCTGCAGGAACAGGATCATCTGTCTCAGCGGTGGGCAGATGTTTTCATAGACAGCCAGGGAGTAAACACTGTTGGCTCTGTGGGCTGTATGGTCTCTGCCATAAATAGTACAGAGATGTGGCTGTGTCTAGTACAACTTTTAGACACAGAAATCTGAATGACATATATTGTTCTGTGTCAAGAAACTTAGATTTTTTTTTTAACTATTTAAAAACGTGAAACCTATTCTTAG
Source organism: Homo sapiens (assembly GCF_000001405.40). Lineage (NCBI taxonomy): Eukaryota > Metazoa > Chordata > Mammalia > Primates > Hominidae > Homo > Homo sapiens. The sequence continues at coordinate 21,001,424 of NC_000017.11, read as the reverse complement.
CTCACAGGCCATGGAGAAGCTGGTGGGGACCAGACCCAGCTCCTTAGCTGGCTGGGCTGGGGAGGGGGTAGTGACAGTGGCAGCTGCTACTCACTGCTCAGTGTGGAAAACACAGGACTTGGCAATCACAGCCCGCAGAACCATCATGTGTGGCAGAAGCCTGAGGGATGCGGTTTCTTGCCCACGTGCTCTGTTCATTTTCTGTTGTTTTTCTGCACTTAAAGAATTCACATGGAAGCATGTTTTATAAAATGAATTACCAGAGAAACAGAGATGGGCCGAGATTTTCAGAAATGGTCCCATGTGACCAAGTTCTGCTGTTTGGGTGACAGTGCTTTGAAGATCTCCTTTGAGGATGTGCAGTCTTTTTTTTTTTTTTTTTGAGATGGAGTTTGTTGCCCAGGCTGGAGTGAGTGGCACAGTCTCGGCTCACTGCAACCTCCACCTCCTGGGTTCAAGCAGTTCTCGTGCCGCAGCCTCCCAAGTAGCTGGGACTACAGGCATGCACCACCACGCCAGGCTAATTTTTGTATTTTTAGTAGAGATGGGGTTTCACCATGTCTCAAACTCCTGACCTCAGGCGATCCACCCACCTCAGCGTCCCAAAGTGCTGGGATTATAGGCGTGAGCCACCGCACCTGGCCTATGAGTGGTCTTTTAATTAGGAACAAATCTAATGGAAAGGAGAGTTGACTGAAGTTGGCCCACAGGATTGTGAGCTGGGCAGTGCCTTCATGAAGGCTTGCCACCTTGGGACGCCCCAGTTTACTGGGGTGTCTTGCGGAGTGCAGAAGGCTTTCTGGCAGCTGCCTGGGTTTGGCCAGACCCTGCCTCCCCTCCCGCCGGCCAACCCCTAGTCCCCTTCCTGTCTCCACTTGCATTCAGGGGTGGCTGCTGTTCTGAGAACATTAGAACTGGGAAGAGAGATGGAGTCACATGGATTTTTGGTGGGCATTATTCTAAACTTTCGTATCCAAGTTAGTCCCCCTTATTCCACTGTGGCATTGCCGTTCTAAGCAGTTACCTGATGCCTGCTGCTGAAGAGCTGCTCACAGGAGGCGGCGGCGGCCCTGGCACTGCCCCTTGCATTAGGTCTTGTGTTTGATGTGTTCTTGTGAATTTACTTTGTCAGAACAAAATATTTACGCGTTGGGTTCAGGAATTTCTTTTAGCTCCCCATCTGGCTGTGAAATTCAGGAAACCTCCCGTTGCCTAGTAATCACCCCATGTAGGTGTACATTGTGACAAAGTGCATCTGACCACTAAGGGGCCCCCTTGGTGACCCCAGCACATTCACAGCAGTGTTAAAATGGCCTGCATTTTGGAGATGCTGGCTGGCCTTTCAGTGCCTCCCAGGAAGACACATGGCCTTTCCCTCTTCAGATGCCTGAAGGGAGTGCTTTGAGGCAGGTGATGTGCTGGGAGTGTGGGCGGCCTCCCTCTGGCCCCGGGGCCCTCTGTGGACCTTGGCTCCCTCCGTGGACCTGGGCTTCGTGGTGAGCACTGCAGCCTCCCTGGGCATTCCCTCCAGCGCCAGCACCACTGCAACATATAGACCTGAGTGCTATTGTATTTTGGCTTGGTGTGTATGCTCTTCATTGTGTAAAATTGCTGTTCTTTTGACAATTTAAGTGATTGTTTTGTTTACTGTAAGTTTGAAAATAAAAATGAAGAAAAAAATTCCAATGACTGTGCTGTGGTTGGAGACTTTATTTACCAAGATGTTTACTCTTCCTTTCCCCTTCCATTTTGAGGAGCTGTGTCACTCCTCCTCCCCCCCAGTGCTTTGTAGTCTCTCCTATGTCATAATAAAGCTACATTTTCTCTGAGAACTGGCCAGTTTTCCTTTTATTGACACAAGCAGCCGAAGAGAGGGTGGCAGGAGGGAGAAGAGCGGCCAGGGGACACCGGCCTGCATGGGGGCGTCCCTGGTCTGAGTCAGTGGCCAGAGCTGCAGCCTGGCTTTGGGCCCAAAGTCTTGTCTGGGTGTCAGGGAGGCCACGCACTCAACGTTTCGTCCCTTTCTGTGAGTGGCCTGCTGCGGTTTGAGCCTCGTCCCTCCTTTTTTGGGCAAGAAGGTGATATCCAGGATTCAGGACAGCCATGGACCTTCAGACCTGAAGCCCTTGACATGCTGAATCCTTGCCAGGCTTGGATTGCAAGACCCGGGCTGTGGTTATGTGCATTTTGTAGCAAGCTCCCTGTGTGGAGAGTAGCAAAGGCAAAGAAATACTATAATCAGTGCAGAGAAGATGTGCACAGCTATTAAAGTGCACGGTTCTGTGACAGGTCACGAGGCCATGGCGGACTCTATAACATCCTCTCCCAGCCGCCCCCACATACTTCCCTTGCCCTCAGCGGGTCAGGAATCTTCTCGGCCTCATCTTTGGTTCTGAAACCTCTGAGTTCTGAATAGTTCTGCCCCCTCCTTTTTCAGATGCTTCTGTGGCAAAGCTTTGTGGCAAGTTACTTGACTTCCTTTACATGGAAACACTCAAGAACACCAGAGAATGCCCCGAGGTTTCAGACTTAGTCCTGTCTCCTCATATTAAATAGAACCATTGTTGTGTTCCCCTGGGGGAAGCTTCACTCTTCCTGGGTCCTAAGACCTTCCAACCAGCAAAGTTCCATTTCTCCAGGACAGGCAATAGGAAAACTTTGTGACTGAGACATTCGGTGCAACACTGAACATCGTCCACTTTCACACCTTCACTCAGAACTACACCTTCTGGTTGTGGGGGAGTCATCACCATACACTGGCTTCCAGTAGAAAGGATAAAATTCATCTTGTAAGACAACCTCACCACTTCAGCATAACAGCGATCCTAAGTCCAGTTGCTTCCAGGCGGTGGGTGACGTAGCGAGAAGAGTTAGTTCCCTAGTCAAGGGCCACTGCTGCATGTCCGTCACTGTGAATGGGGTACCCTGGTCACAAGCAATGCCATGTGGGCTGCTGTGATGGCAACAGGCAGGGCTGGCGAGTCTATGTCCAGGTAGGGGCTCCCCGTAGTGAAGGCCGATCTCAGCCCTCTCCACAGTGTGGGCAGCCTGCCCACAGGTAGCCAGCCGCTCCTCCTGGGAAATGGTGCCAGTCCAGGGATCGACACCAAATCTCTCATCAGCAGATGGGGCACTCGGCAGTGGTGTCGGTCTGGTCAGGGAACAAGCAGGATTGCTTAGGCTCTTCCCCAACATGCCTGTCTGATGGCTGCTTTGTGGGCCCATCCAGCAATCATGGTGGCCAGGGAAAGGAGCTGAGTCCACCTAGTGTGCTGTTTTCCCCACCGCAGGATCAAGAGCACCCTCTGCAGGGATTCTCTTTGGTGGGAACATGGGAATGTGGATGAAACTATCTTCACAGTGTGAGCTGCTGAGGCAATGACTGCAGGATGCCTCTGTCCTCTGGGAAGCCCGGCTGGAAGGCACTTGGCAGTGGTGCCTGCTGTGGCTGCGGCAGGGGCTAGGCTGCAGAACAAGGCCTCCAGGAGGCGGGTGGTGCAGCAGGCAGGGCCTCGAAGCCTCCGGGTACCATGTTGGCATAGTGGACTAGGGCACTCGGGGCGCTGTTGGGCCAGGCTCCGGGGTGCAGACTGCCTGCACTGCAACAATGAGGCCGGGAAGAGGCAGCAGTGTTCACAGCTGTTGACCCCCTTGAGCCAGCCCTCCACATCCTCATCACTGCACGGGCTCAGCGTCTCTGGCCTGGCTTGCCCAGGTTCTCTGATGTGAATCCTTACAGCATCAGGGCTTGCAGTGCCCTGGTGCCCTGCGTGGTCACCTGGAGATCTGCAGTGCCCCTGTCCTCCTAGGACAACTCGAGTTGAAGCCAGGTCCCTCTGGGCCTGGGACTCAGGCCCTGGGGGACAGGCTCTGACCCACAGGTGGGGTCAGAGGCCTCAGGGGCCTCTCCAGGGCTGGGCCCACAGCCCTGGGCCTCTGGAGTCCTGGGGTCCCCGGGTGTCCTCTGGCCTGACACTGAGGACACCTCTGCAAGCTGCTGATCCCAGGGTGAGGGCTGTGTGCAGCCTGGGGTGGGGGAGCTTTCAGGGAACCTCAGGTCGGTCCTGAAACGGCTCCCAGGCTTCAGGCTGGCTCAGGGCTTCCTGCCTCACGCCCTCCCTCACCTCAGGGCTGTTCAGCAGCCCTGACTCAGAACTCAGGTGAAAGGGACCTTCACTGTCACCCAGCCCCCTTGCCACCTCGCATGGGGTCTGTCTCCACAGTGGGTGAGAAGTGAAGGGCACGGGTTTCCCTCTGCCCTCCAGGCCGTCCACCCCATGCCAGGGCTGGACAAATCCCATGCCCGGCTGAACTCTTGGTTCTGGCTCTGGGTCAGGGCTTCCCCCCGTGCCCTCTGCCCAAATCCTCTCTGGATCTGGGACACTGATTCTCTCTTGTCCTCCTGGCTTGTTGTCTTGACAGGCTTGGAGGGGCACTCAAGAATGAGGGATCCTGCTGCTTGGAGGCAGGGGTGGGGTCTTCCACACCTGGATCTGACTGCCCCAGTGCCCTTCAGGGCCCTTTGAGGGGGTGATGGGGACAATGTGGAAAGAGGGGGAGGGAAGTTGGGGGGTCCTGCCCACAGCCCCTGCCTGTCTGCACCTCATGTCCCGCACACACACGCTCAGTGCCTGCCCTGAGGAGTGGCAGACCCATTTTACTTTCTTAGAGTAGAGGAGGAAGAGGTGCAGGAGGAAGGCCAGGTAGGAGGGCTGGTAGGGCCAGGGCACTCCCCACCACTGACTGCCCCAGAGGGTGACTTGGGAGGAGACTTGGTGCTGGAGCCCACCTGGGGGTGGCAGGTCCCAGTGTTTCCTTGTGAGTTCCTTCACGGAGGTTTGAAGGTTCCTGAGGACCACGTTGTCCTCCGGGGCCCAGCTCTGAAAAAGTCGCTCCTGAAACTCCCAGATGGTGCTCCAGGAAAGCTTCATGAGGCACTCTAGGGACAGGGCGGGTATCAGGCCAGGAGGATTCCCTTGTGGGGGGATCAGTGCCTGCACCCCATTTCCACCAGGCCCACCTCCCACTGGGTGGTGTGTGGTCCTTCTTGGCCACCCTGGGGTCCAGCTGTGCACAGGAGGCCACAGCTGGGGAAGGCCAGGCAGGGAAGTGCTCACCACACTCCTGACTTTCATCTGGGTCATGTGGGGGGTGGGCTCAGTGTCATCGTGCCTTGCCCAGCCCACCAGACCAGAACCCCCTTCAAGACAGAGCAGAGAGTCATAGGGACAGTGTAAGGACACTTCCCTCAGGCCAGCCGGGGTCTGTCCTGTGTATTCCCCCTGGCACCCTCGGGCACACAGGACTTACCCATGTATTTTGAATGATGCATGCGCCATGCCCAACAGTACCTGCTCGCCCTCCAAGATGAGCATATCCCACAGTTGCAGGGTGAGCCCGAAGGATTTTGTGGGGACAGGAAGTGTGGGAGGACCTGCCTTTCTGGGCTGGGCTCAGAGGCCTGAGCAGGGCCGCCTGGGGTTTCAGTCTCCTGGAATGCTGGGAACACCTCTCCATGGGATGAGAGCCCCCTATAAAGCAGGGTCAGACAAGGTCCTGCAGCTCCTCATGGGGGACCCACCTCAGCAGCGCTGTTGCTTCTGGAAGGAGGGGCTTCCTGAGGACTTTGGGCTTCCTTGGGCCCTCCCAAGTCGGGTCCTGGTCCAGTCTGCCCATAAAGCTGGGCCTAAGCCCTGGCCTCTGCCATGGGATACCCCCTCTCAAACAGGGCCTGGTTTGTGTGTCATGCAGGGACCTGCCTGTGCCTCCTACGGGCTGGGGGTGAGCCACGTCCTCCTGGTGGAGCTGGACCCCTGAGCTGGGGCAGCCGGGCACTGTGTCCATGGGCTGGGGTCTCCCTGTGCCTCCTTACCCCATCAATGAAACACTGGAGGAGCCACCGCAGCATGAAACACTCAATGCACAGTCCTTCCTTGCCCTGCAGGGAGAGGCAGAGGTACTCAGGGCCTCCTGAGCTGCCCTGCAATCCCCCTTTTCAGGCCCCTCTGCAGACCCTTCCTCAAGGAGCAGAACCCTGGGTGGTGGCCAGGGGTCTCCCAACACGTCCGTGCACGACGCCCGGTGGACACACTCCCTTAGCCCTGCTTAGCCAGAGCTCAGCCCTGGTCCCAGCGTCTCTGGATCCTCTGGGGCAAGAAAAGGAAACCCAACTTCCAACTCATGGAGAATCCCCATCCCAGGTCAGGCCATGGCTGGGACGCGGCCTCTTGCCAGCCCCAGGAGGGGCTCGAGTCTCCCCTGGCCCATGGGACCCAGGGTTTCGTTCACTCACCAGGTGTCTCATGATCTTCAGAAAGCACTTATGCAACACCTGCTCCTGGTACAATAGGAGCCTCCGGAGCTGGGCAGTATTGGACTGTAGAACACTGAGAAGCCCCCAACCCATCACCAATCAGACCCAACTCCAAAGATGTGGAGGCATCAGCTGGAATTGCTGGGTAGTGGCAGGGTACTCCGGGCCCCAAGGCCTCCCTCCCTCCCATCCAGTGACCCCACCACACAGCCTCAGCCCAGGGGAGGAGGGCCCTGGCTGGAGGCGCTGCCCAGCAGCTTCCTGGGTCGAGGTGCCAGGAGGATAGGCCTGCCTCTGACACCACGAAGCAGGGCTGAGGCAGGTGGGTGCCAGCAGAACAGGGTGGGTGCTGGGATGCTGGATATGGGGTCAGGCTGGGGGATATGTGATGGGCAGACATTGCTATCTGGACTTCGTTGGCCCATTCATGTGCAGGGAGGGTGGCTGGGAGCACAGCCAGCTGGGAGGCAGGTGGACCCTCAGGAAGGTGAGTGGCGCCTGCACAAAGTCAGGGCTGGCTTCGGGCGACAGAGGGTAGCCAGGGGGAGGTATCAGTCCCTCTGCTGTTGGGGATGAAAGGTGTCTGACTTGAGGTGAGAGGGTCCCTGTCCAGACCCAGGCTCCTGTGGGACCCTCAGTAGGGATGTCCTGGAGGCTCCAAACAAGCTGGGATGCAAGGAAGGCGCCTTGCCTGGAAGTCGGGCTCACCGGCCAGGGTGGCCGTCCCCTGGCCTTGCTGTGTAAGGCCCTGGGGGCAGCCGTCCACCTACCCTGCAGGGAGTGCCTCTCACCGTCCAGCAGCTGATCCACCACGCCCAGAGCACGGTCACCCAACATCACACCCTTGTGGACTATCTGGGACTCATTCCAGGAGAGTGCCGTGGGGGTGAGGCTGTGCCACTCTGGGCCTCCGCCTCAAGAAGGCCTGACAGCCTCGGTGTTTGCTCCCTTGGGAGCTTTGAGCACCACTCAAGTCGTCCAGGTGGAGAGGCCCCATGGAGAGGGACAGGCCCTGAGATCACCTGGAGGAGAAGCGAGGCCTGACCATCACAGCATCAGAGCCAAGCCTCCAATGGCTTCATCCCCAGGACCATCTTCTCAAGAGACCCCAAGCAAGAGCAGCAGAAGACCCACCCAGCTGAGCCCCGCCACCCCACAGAGCCATGCAAGGTCACATAATGGTCATTTTTAGGGCACTGAGTTTGAATGACCAGAACAGAGACTTGCTGCTCTTGAGGACATGAAGAAGGTGCCCCAGCTTCTCATTCCTCTCTGCCCAGGCCAGTGATCTGAGGCTTTCTGTGGGAAATGAAACATAGCTCCTGCCTGGCCCTTAGGATACACACGTCATTCAAAATCCCTAGCCTAAGAAAATCAATGCAAATTAGAACTAGGAAAAATATCAGTTTCTACCTGTCACGTCGGGGGCGGGGGGAGCACAGGCACCTCACATATTCGTGGTGGAGTGTACTCTCGAGAGCCATTTGGAACCACCCGCCACCATTTACAATGTGCCTCCCTGGCTCCCCTTGCTGCATCAGCTTCACTTCTAGGGCTGCGTCTCCCCCAGCACACAAATGGTATCTCTCCAACATTGTTCAGGTTGCAAAAGACGGGATCCAGCCTAACCTTCCATCCACAGGGGATGAAGGGTTAAATGCATCATGACACACTCATGAGACGGAATACCACGCAGTCACTCCAGCCAATGAGGCAAGGCCATGTGTCCTAAGAGGGAACGATCTCCAAGAGATGTGGGGTGAGAATAGCCAGGGAGGCACTCCAGTGCCACCCCGGTGGAAGGCAGACAAGGAGCTGTAAATAAGCCTCACTTGAGATTATGTGAGAAAGGACAAGCGGGAATTCACGGCATGGAGAGGCCCTGCCCTGCGGCTCACTGTCTGCTGTTTCCTGGGAACAAAGGGGCCTAGTCACAAGCTTTTGTCAAAAAAAAAAAAAAAAAAAAAAAAGCTCATTCTCTAGCCTTGTCTGAAAATCAAGCCTGGGGGAAGGGTCCCAGAGGTGCAGTTTGTAGGCCTTACCACCAGGAGGCAGCACCCACAGCTTCTGAGGCCTTAGGACCAGGCAGGCTGGCATAAAGTTTATTTCTACGCTTTTTCTTTTGTTTTTCAAACTGTTTTCAAAGCCATCTCTCACCCAAAAATACTTGCCCCAGCCTGCTGCATTTCCCAGCGCAGGCTCGGGCCAGCCTGCTAGGCAGCACTGGGACTTGTCATTTAGGGGTGGGCCTGGCGGGGGAGAGGGAGGGGGCAGGAGGGCAGGGGGCTATGGTTCTGGATGTTTCATTCAGTCGCCTTGGCCCTCAGTGTCTGCATCTGCAGAGTGGGGCCTGATACCCCTCTCTCTCCACAGAGGGGCTTGGCATTAGCAAGGGTCCCTGCAAACATGCAGGAGGCAGAGAACCTGGGTAGAAAGTTCCAGCCCGTGGCCATGCACTCACACCTTGGGGGCCCAGCCAGCAAGGGGAGCCTGGAGGCAACGTGGGCACGGGCGGGCAGGGGCTGCCGGATCTCTCGCCCGGCCAAGGTTTCTGCCACCCTCCTCGGGGGTCCCAGGCTGCAGGTCCCCGTGGTGGTCCCCACTTCCTGGTCCTTCTGCTCTGCAAGCATCTCTCCTTCCCTCCCTGTGGTCTTGGCGCCATGAACGTTTCAGGTGTGTCCCTGACACATGGTGGGCTGCCAATATTTAAGAGGGGCTTTTCTATGTGAGGTACAGCCTTCCTGTGAGATCATTACAACCTCCAAATGTGCACACCTTCAGGCCTTCCCTGCAGAGGACCCTATGTCCTCCGGGTGTCTGCGTATGTGCATGCACGTGTGTGTACACGTGCATATGTGTGCGCATCTGCATGTGTGTGCGTGATGCACACGTGTATTAAGTTCGGGAAAAGGCAGGAGGGCAGGCTGGGCGTAAGTCTCCCATTCCGTGTGTGGCCTTTGACTGAAGTGGTTTCCAGAGTGTCACCTCCTTTCTTCCTTTGGGCCTGGGGTCCCTGGGTCTTTCTGGGGCCACCTCTCTAAGGCGACCCTCCATCCTGCTGGTGGTAGGAGGCCGTCTGTGTACACCAGGAGGGACACACAGACTTCAGCCCGTTCCCAGCACCCAGATCATGCCCATCAAAAAAAAGTCTCCCTGGACCCCCCATCTTGTGCAGCATCTCATTAGGGTGGCCCTTCACCCCTGTGACACTGGCCCACCCTCTCCCCTGTGGTTCTGTCCCTGCCTTTGCAGGTCCCTGGACCTTGGCTTCAACCCCGGGAAGCAAAACCGGAGCGTCCTGCTTCTCCCTTGTGAGGGCACATGGTGCAGTCGGGACAAAAGAAAAAGCACCCTTCCAACCCAAGACACACAGATGAAATGCAAACCAGGAGACCTGCAGCCAGGGCCACCCCATCTAGTTCTAGCACCTAAAATAAGTGACATCTTGAGCAGTTCCTGGAGCAAAAACAGTGTGACTCCATCCCTCAACTCCCAGCCCGGCAGAGCTGAGCTAAGGTCTCAGCGGAGCATTGACTTGAAGCTGCCATCCAGGCGGGCTCCTGGGACCCCTGCTCCTACCGGCGACAGCGCTGCCTCTGCTTTCAAGGCTACCATGACTCCATGTCACGCCGGCGCTCCCTGGCACGTCCTTCCTCCCCGTGAGCATGGGGCTCACGCTCACCCCATGTCTGGCCTGACCCTAGTGTGCACTGGCTTCCAACCCCCAGGCATCAGCTTGACCATTTCTGATTTCTTCCAGATGGGGGTCCTGTCCACCCACACCCCACCCCTGCCACATTTGTATCTGATGAGGTTCCCATGAGCCAGAGTGAAGGGACGGACAAATGATGCGTCTAAGAAAAAAGCAGGGCAGAGGAAGGGTCCAGTTTGTCAGCCTTTCCCAGCCTCCCAGCAGTGACACAGGGCTCCGAGCTCACAGCTCCCACCATGCCCCTGGCCAGAGCCACCAAGGGCAACCTCAACTTGGGGGCACCTGAAAATGGCCCTTTATAGCATCCTCTGACCTCCTTGTGGCAGAGCTGGGGACATATGTAGGTGTCTTATGATGTCCTTTCTCTGTGCTGTTAAGTACGGCCTTCTAGAACTTTCTTTGTGGACACAGCCCTGCTGGAGCTGCTCTGACCTCCCCACCTGCTCTTTCTCCATGTCTCTGTGGGACCCTCTTCCTCTTCTGACCCCTCAAATGCAGATTCCCCCACATAGGACCTTCTTTTCTATCCCTTTCTCTCCTTACACCTCCCAGTCCCTGCACAACCTTTTCCATTTCTGTGACTTCAACTGCCACCTTCTAGGCCAACACAATGTAAACTCTCCAGGTGAAAGGCTCCACAGAACTCTGAACCCACATGGGGGCCCTGGCTGACCCCAAGGCCGGTATCACCCTCACATGGGGGCGGGGTCCTAACTCAGAGCTGGTTTCTATGAAGTACCTGCCCTGGCAGGCAGCCCTGTCCCTCACCCTATGTAGTAAGCTGAATGGTGCCCCCCCTCACCCGAAGGGTATGCCCCCTGCACATGTGACCTTATTTGGATAAAAGATTCTTTGCAGACATATGAATACAAGGATCTGGAAATGAGATCATCCTGGATTAGGGTGGGCCCCAGATCCAGTGACAAGTGTCCTATACGAGAAGAGAAGGCAAGAGACACAGGCACAGGAAAGAAGCCATGTGAAGACAGAGACAGAGATGGGAGTGAAGTGGCCACCAGCCCAGGAGGCCTGGGGCAGCCACCAGAAGCTGGAGGAGGCAGGGAAGGATCCTCCCCTGGACTTTCAGAGGGAGTGGGGCCCTGCTGACCGTGGAATCTCAGACTTCTGGCCTCCAGTCCCGAGAGAATCAATCAGTGTTATTTTAAGCACCCAGCATGTGGACCCTGTCACAGCAGCCCCAGGAAGCAAATACAGCCTGTCCTAGGATGGCACCCATCCAGCCAGGGTGGTGGACCTTTCAGTCCTGGGCATGGTTCTGTACTTGGCAAACCCCAAGTCACTGAGGCCCCACAAGAGCCCTGTGAGATGACAGCCATTATGATCACTACAGGGCCTCTCCCTCCAGTTCTAATCTCATGCCAATGCACTGTTCCTCTGTCCCCCTTCCAGGTCCTTGTCATCTCTGGTTCCCATTATTGCCAGAAACAGCCTTTCATAGGACCCCTGCTGCCATCACCATCATCCAGGAGCAACAAGGGGCTCTCCCCACAGCCCTGCTCTGACCCCTCTTCCAGTGGCTGCCCCTCCCCCCAGCAGGACATCGGCCTCCCAGCCTCACACATGGAGCCATCACCTGGTCCCTCCTGGTGCCATCTCCAGCCACCCATGAATCCTTGCTCTTCCCAACTCAGTCCTTAGCAACCCTCACGTGGAGGAACAGTGTTGTGCCCTTGGTGCTCCTCCTCCTCCTCTGCCGGGCAAATGAGCAGCCCCCAGTCGCTGAGGCAGGCTCCCTGTCCCCTTAGGGAGACACAGATGCTCCCTGCACCTACCCCCAAGCCTGGACAGGGAGCTCCTCGCGTCAGCCTGGAGTCGTCACAACAGAACCCCAGGCCAGTCTCCTCTCCTGATCAACATCTCAAGCCATTTTCAGTCCAGCTTGGGAGCCTGCCCCTGCTCTCCCCACGAAGCCCAATGTGTGAACAGCAGGTGGGTTTTATTAAATGTTCATATGTATGAATCCCTCATAAATATTTGGAAATAACAGCAACAGGTGGGTTTTATTAAGTGTTCATAATATGTGTGAATCCCTCATAAAAATTTGGGAATAACTAAAAAAAAATTGATTCTACCCATCCATGAGCATGGGATGTGTCTCCCTTTGCTGGTGTCATCTGTGATTTCTTTCAGCAGTGTTTTGCAGTTTTCCTTGTAGAGGTCTTTCACAGCCCTCTTGCTGTGTGCGTGGAAGGTCTTTCTGTGCCCTCTTGGTGAGCGTGTGGAAGTGTCTCCACCTTCAAAGGAGATCTGGGGTGGGGTCCCTCCTGCTTCTGTATGTAGAGTGAACCCCACACTCCCACAGGCTGGGAGCCCCAGAGGAAGGGATTTAGCCCAGCCTTCAGCACAGAGCCCCTCACAGCCTTCCCTGCTCCTAGCAGCACCTGTAAGTGCTGTTGCCTCTGCCTGGAACCCCCTGTCCCCACTGTGTGGTTTCAATATGGTTGCTTTTTTTTTTTTTTTTTTTTCAGACGGAGTTTTATTCATCACCCAGGCTGGAACGCAATGGCCTGATCTTGGCTCACTGCAACCTTCGCCTCCTGGGTTCAAGTGATTCTCTTGCCTCAGTCTCCCAAGTAGCTGGGATTTCAAGTACCTACCACCACGCCTGGCTAATTTTGGTATTTTTAGTAGAGACGGGGTTTCGCCATGTTGGCTAGGCTGGTCTCAAACTCCTGACCTCAGGTGATCCACATGGCGCAACCTCCCAAAGTGCTGGGATTACTGGTGTGAGCCACCGCGCCTGGCCCATGGTTGCTTTTTGAATGAGCAGTTCCAGTGCACAGAGCACGTGATCCCCTCAAAATGTATTCTCCCAGATTATCCTCACAGCGACTGCATGAGGTGAACAACCTCAGCCTCACAGAACCGACAGTCACTTGCTCCAGGCTACACACCTTGTAAGGGACATAACTAGGGGCCTGGCTCCACACTCCACACCCCTGCCACAGCCTGCCCTGTCCTCCTTGGGGAAGCCTTCCCCTTCCCCATCTCACCTGCAGCTGGGTTATGTGGCCTCCGTGCACTGAGAGGAATGTGTCACCTGCGTAACTCGTCCACTGCTTGGCCTTCCACAAGGTGGTGAACTCCACCAGTCTGGGACAGGACCTGCCTTACTGTCTTCCCTCCCCACGCACAACAAGCCCACCACAGTTCCAGGTCTCACTAAGGAGTGGCAGTTCTCAGTGGGAAACCTGGAGTCGGGGTGAGGTGGGGTCTGGCAGGGCTGGAGACGGGACAGCAGAATTCAGGGAGCCCACGAAGGGGCCAGAGGAACAGGTCAGCCCTTCCAGCGTGTGCAGCTAGACAACTTGGTCACATGGTGTTCTCTGCTCCCTGTCCTCAAATAGGTCTACCTCTGGGTCCCCTCCCCTGGCCATGTAGCTCTGTACTTCGTGTCTGCAATCCACAGCAAGCTCCCCTCCTGCCCCACCAGCCCATGCAGGCATCAGAGGTCAGAACAGACCTTAGCCCTGGGCCCCTGGAGAAACACAGGGCTGGGCAGTGACAGTCACAGAGCCACCAAAATCCACGCCATGGCACAAGTGTGGCAGCTGATGTGGGGTGAGGTGTGGTAATGCCGACCCTACTGGCACCAACATGTCCTCACACAGCCCCCACGCTCACAGCCTGGGGCTCCATCCCTGAAGCCAAGATGAGGATCTGATGTTCTGCCCAGTGCCCTCTGGGAAGGGGGCTTGACTGGGGGTCACACACAGGAAGTGGCTAACCTTGTCCCAGGGGCAACAGCTCACGCCCAAGGAACACTAGCCCTGTGGATGCCACTGGGTCATTTTGCGGTTGCAGAGGGGACAAACTTTGGAACCCACAGACTGTGCTCAAATCCCAACTCAGCTGTGCATTCTCTGTGACTGTCAGCGAGTCACTCCAAATTTGAGACTCAAGTCTCTTGATCTGTGAGGTGGGTAAGGATGAACCAAAGGGGAATCCATTGCACTGCAGGTGAGAAAGGTTCCAAGTTTGGCGGGAAGTTTCAAATGCATCACTGGATGCAGGGAAGGTGTGCAGGTGGCCAGACACCAGGGCGGCAGGCATGGCCCCTCGCATCTGTGGCTGGGCTCAGCCCCTCTGTATCCACACCCCCTCTGTGTGAATCTGTGCTTCCTCTCAGGAGAGGCTGTGTTAGAGCAAAATCCAGGTAGTGAGCATAATACCTGATTGGTAGTTTTTCAGCCTTTGGCCCCTCCCTGCCTCCCCCCAAGTAGGCCCCAGTGTCTGTTGTTCCTGTCTTTATGTCCATCTGTACACAATGCTTACGGTTCCATTTGTAAGTGAGAACATGCGGTATTTGGTTTTCTGTTCTTGCATTAATTCACTTGGGATAATGGCCTCCAGCTGCATCCATGTTGCTGCAAGGAACATGATTTTTCTTTTCATGGCTGTGTAGTATTCCATTGTGTGTATGTACCACATTTTCTTTATCCAATCCACCACTGATGGGCACCTAGGTTGATTCCATGTCTTTGCTATTGTGAACAGTGCTGTGACAAACATACGTGTGTATGTGTCCTTTTGGTAGGATGTATTATTTTCCTTTGGGTCATACACACCCAGTGATGGGATTGCTGTGCTGAATGGTAACTGTTTTAAATTCTTTGAGGAATCTCCAAATTGCTTTCTTGTGGCTGAACTAATTTACATTCCACCAACGGTGTATAAAGTGTTCATTTTTCTCTGTAGCCTCACCAGCATCTGTTGTTTTTTGACTAACAATAGCCATTCTTTTTTTTTTTTTTCACTGTAAAGGACATATCATATTTATTCATACACATGCTGGAATTATTGGTGCAGACATTTAAATACATTTTCTTTGAGAAAGTCCTTTTTTTTTTTTTTTTTTTTGATGGAGTTTCCCTCTTGTTGCCCAGGCTGGAGTGCAATGGTGCAATCTCAGCTCACAACAACCTCTGCCTCCTGGGTTCAAGCAATTCTCCTGCCTCAGCCTCCCAAGTAGCTGGGACTACAGGCATGCACCACCACGCCCAGCCAATTTTTTTTATTTTTAGTAGAGACGGGGTTTCTCCGTGTTGGTCAGGCTGGTCTTGAACTCCTGATCTCAGGTGATCTGCCCGCCTTGGCCTGCCACAGTGCTGGGATTACAGTCGTGAGCCACCACAGCTGGCCTGGGAAAGTCCATTCTTTTTTTTTTTTTAATTTATTTTTTTATTGATAATTCTTGGGTGTTTCTCACAGAGGGGGATTTGGCAGGGTCATAGGACAATAGTGGAGGGAAGGTCAGCAGATAAACAAGTGAACAAAGGTCTCTGGTTTTCCTAGGCAGAGGACCCTGCGGCCTTCCGCAGTGTTTGTGTCCCTGATTACTTGAGATTAGGGATTGGTGATGACTCTTAACGAGCATGCTGCCTTCAAGCATCTGTTTAACAAAGCACATCTTGCACTGCCCTTAATCCATTTAACCCTGAGTGGACACAGCACATGTTTCAGAGAGCACAGGGTTGGGGGTAAGGTCACAGATCAACAGGATCCCAAGGCAGAGGAATTTTTCTTAGTGCAGAACAAAATGAAAAGTCTCCCATGTCTACTTCTTTCTACACAGACACGGCAACCATCCGATTTCTCAATCTTTTCCCCACCTTTCCCGCCTTTCTATTCCACAAAGCCGCCATTGTCATCCTGGCCCGTTCTCAATGAGCTGTTGGGCACACCTCCCAGACGGGGTGGTGGCCGGGCAGAGGGGCTCCTCACTTCCCAGTAGGGGCGGCCGGGCAGAGGCGCCCCTCACCTCCCGGACGGGGCGGCTGGCCGGGCAGGGGGACTGACCCCCCCCACCTCCCTCCCGGACGGGGCGGCTGGCTGGGCGGGGGGCTGACCCCCCAACCTCCCTCCCGGACGGGGCGGCTGGCCGGGCGGGGGGCTGACCCCCCAACCTCCCTCCCGGACGGGGCGGCTGGCCGGGCGGGGGGCTGACCCCCCCACCTCCCTCCCGGACGGGGCGGCTGGCCGGGCAGAGGGGCTCCTCACTTCCCAGTAGGGGCAGCCGGGCAGAGGCGCCCCTCACCTCCCGGACGGGGCGGCTGGCCGGGCAGGGGGGCCGACCCCCCCCCACCTCCCTCCCGGACGGGGCGGCTGGCCGGGCGGGGGGCCGACCCCCCCACCTCCCTCCCGGACGGGGCGGCTGGCCGGGCAGAGGGGCTCCTCACTTCCCAGTAGGGGCGGCCGGGCAGAGGCGCCCCTCACCTCCCGGACGGGGCGGCTGGCCGGGCAGGGGGGCCGACCCCCCCCCACCTCCCTCCCGGACAGGGCGGCTGGCTGGGCGGGGGGCTGACCCCCCCACCTCCTCCCGGACGGGGCGGCTGGCCGGGCAGAGGGGCTCCTCACTTCCCAGTAGGGGCGGCTGGGCAGAGGCGCCCCTCACCTCCCAGACGGGGCGGCTGGCCGGGCGGAGGGCTGACCCCCCCACCTCCCTCCCGGACGGGGCGGCTGGCCAGGCGGGGGGCTGACCCCCCTACCTCCCTACCGGACGGGGCGGCTGGCCGGGTGGGGGGGCTGACCCCCCCATCTCCCTCCCGGACGGGGTGGCTGGCCGGGCTGAGGGCGGCCGGGCAGAGGCGCCCCTCACCTCCCGGACGGGGCGGCTGGCCGGGCGGGGGGCTGACCCCCCCACCTCCCTCCCGGATGGCACGGCTGGCCAGGCGGGGGGCTGACCCCCCCCACCTCCCTCCCGGATGGCACGGCTGGCCGGGCGGGGGGGCTGACCCCCCACCTCCCTCCCAGATGGGGCGGCTGGCCGGGCGGGGGGCTGACCCCCCCCACCTCCCTCCCGGACGGGGTGGCTGCCGGGCGGAGACGCTCCTCACTTCCCAGATGGGGTGGCTGCCGGGCGGAGAGGCTCCTCACTTCTCAGACGGGGCAGCTGCCGGGCAGAGGGGCTCCTCACTTCTCAGACGGGGTGGTTGCCAGGCAGAGGGTCTCCTCACTTCTCAGACGGGGCGGCCGGGCAGAGACGCTCCTCACCTCCCAGACGGGGTCTCGGCCGGGCAGAGGCGCTCCTCACATCCCAGATGGGGCGGCGGGGCAGAGGCGCTCCCCACATCTCAGACGATGGGCGGCCGGGCAGAGACGCTCCTCACTTCCTAGATGTGATGGCGGCTGGGAAGAGGCGCTCCTCACTTCCTAGATGGGATGGCGGCCGGGCGGAGACGCTCCTCACTTTCCAGACTGGGCAGCCAGGCAGAGGGGCTCCTCACATCCCAGACGATGGGCGGCCAGGCAGAGACACTCCTCACTTCCCAGACGGGGTGGCAGCCGGGCAGAGGCTGCAATCTTGGCACTTTGGGAGGCCAAGGCAGGCGGCTGCTCCTTGCCCTCGGGCCCCGCGGGGCCCGTCCGCTCCTCCAGCCGCTGCCTCCCGGGCGGCGCTCGCCGGCGCGGCGGCAAAGACTGAGACAGCTCCGCTGCCCGCTGAACTCCATCCTCCCGGCGGTCGGGCGGCGGCGGCTGCCAATAGCCATTCTTAATTGTAGGAGATGGTCCCTCTGTGGCTCACAGAGATATTTTAAGGACACATTTCAGAGGCATTGCAGGAGAGTGGATAAGAACCCACATTTCAGAGCCTACCTTGGCTGTACCACTTGCAGGCAGTGTGGTCATAGCCTCTCCATGCCTCAGTTTCCTCATTTCCAATAAAGGGAAAATAACAGTACTGACTTCTTAGGGTCGTTGGCAGAGTTGAAGTGCCCAGCACAGCACCTGGCACATACTAAATGTCCACTTAATGGAAGGCTTGAGTAGAATACTCATTTGAGCCTCTTCACAAAGTAAATACACACCTGTCCTTGTGTCTTTGACAGAGTAAAGGACGGACCTAAAAGACCACGGAGTTGGAACCTCGAAGAAAACTCAGATGGCCCACATGGGGCCTCCCCTACTCTGGCCCTGCCCTATCCCAGGGCTCAGTGAACTGCACAGAAACTGATACCTCCACTCCTGGCACACTCAGCCCAGCAGTGGTGTCCTTGAGGCTTTCTGTGACCTCCTCCCCTCCTCAGTGGTCCCAGTATGGCTGTTGCAGGTGGTGCCTGAGCGCCCCAGACCGCTGACCCTCCCTGCCTGACCTCACACCCCACCCCGCCCCCACCCAGGACTCAGTCTTCCCCGCTATGTTTCCCACCTCTGCTCATGCTGTCCTCTCTTCCAGGCACCCTTCCCCTTCAACTGATTTCTGCATTCTGTGGCCTCTTAACAATCTGCCTCTGATGGTGCTTCCTCCAGGGACACCTCCCTGCTACCCCCCGCCGCCAGCTGAAGGTGGTCTCTCCCAACTGTGGCTTTTTTTTTTTTTTTTTTGAGACGGAGTTTCACTGTTGTTGCCCAGGCCGGAGTGCAATGGCGTGATCTTGGCTCACCATAACCTCTGCCTCCTGGGTTCAAGAGATTCTCCTGCCTCAGCCTCCCCAGTAGCTGGGATTATAAGCATGTGCCACCACGCCTGGCTAATTTTGTATATTTTTTTTTTTTTTAGTAGAGACAGGGTTTCTCCTTGTTGGTCAGGATGGTCTCGAACTTTCGACCTCAGGTGATCCGCCCGCCTTGGCCTCCTGAAGTGCTGGGATTACAGGCATGAGCCACCACGCCCGGCCCCAACTATGGCTTTCTACCTTGACACACAATCATTTCTCCCATTAGATGATACTGTCCTTGAAGGGCCACACCAGATTCCTATTTCCATGGGGCTGGAGCACTCCATCTATGTTTGTGGGATGAATCAATGAATGTTCTAATTCATTAATGGGTAACGGTTCAGGGTATGATTTAGGAGTCAGAGTCCTGGGTTCAAACCCTGACATCTTCACTTTTAAGCTGTGTGATCTTGGGTAAGTCACTCAGCCTCTCTGAGTTCCCCTCAGCAAGTATTCATGAAGGACTTACTATGTGTCAGGCACTGTGCTAGGTTCAAGTCAGACATGGTTCCTCCCCTCAGGGAGCACCCAGTCCAGTGGCTGAGTAGATGTGAAACACATACACACAAAAGAACAAAACAGCAAATTGTGGTAAGTTCTATCAAGGAAAAAGACAGATTATGAAAAAGAACAGCAAGCAATGGATAGTTTTCAAGACAATCAGGGAAAATTGGATATGGCCTGAATATTAGATGATGTTAATAAATTATTGCTGGCAGTGATAGGATATTTGGGTTATGTTTTACAGATCTTTATGGCCCAGTATCTGCAGGTAAAATGATATGAGGTCTTGGCTTTGCTTTAAAATACACAAGCCAAAACAACTGGTTGGGAAAGTACAAGGCAGAATTTAAATGATTTGTGAAGCTGGTAATGGATGAGGAGGGCATCATTGTGCAGTCCTCTCTATGTATATGTGTGGTAAGTTCTGTAATTAAAAGTTTCAAAAGAAAGTAACACTAGCAGTACAAAGGAGGGCCCAGTACTACTGTGTGGTCAGAGGAGACCCCCGATGTTTGGGCCGAGACCTGAAAGTTGGGTAGGAGGGAGCTGAGGGAAGATGATAGAGAGCATGCATTCCAGGCAGCGGGAACAACATGTGCAAAGAACCCGAGGCAGGGAAGAACATGGCATGTTCGACACTGAAAGGAGGCAGTGTGGCCAGAGCAGGAAGGTGGAGGGATAAGAGGTGCCACACTGTACATCTCCTCCTGCCATCCTCTCCTCAGCCACCTGACTGTGGGGCCAGAGGGTGCTCTGGGGACAGGCGTTGGGGGTGATCACACTGTCCCCTGGGCTCAGGTCCCAGAACTCACCGCAGGAGGCTGCACAGGTGCGCTGGCTCTGATGGTTGCAGATGGCTTTGCAGGACATGCAGGTGCCTAGCAGAGCAGCCCAGTACTGCTCTTCAGGGCAGGATCTCATAGCCAGCCCTGCTCACAGGCCCTGTGGAGCTGAGAGACCAGAAGCGTGAGGGCAGCTGGCAGGTGGTCGCAGCCCAGCCTCTTGCTGTCCACTTTCCCATAGACATAAGTGCTGTCTCAGGAGCAGAGAGGGCAGAGAAAGCTGGCTTCCAACTCCCACTGTGCTGGCTGGAGGCCTAGGGCAGCCACCTCCCCTCTCCAGCCTCAGTTTCCCTATCTGCAAATGGTTTGCAGGCCCCCTGCTCTCTCACATCAATAGTGCCCTGCTGGGCCCTGCCCCTTGCCCTCCTTAACGTGCCGCTCCTCTCCCTGCCACAGGGTCTTTGCACCTGCTGTTCCCTCGCATGACGTGCCCTTCTCCCCAGCCCCTGCCCCTCAGCTGCTTATTCCTTCTCAACCTGAGACCTCTGTCTAAACCTGATCTCCCAGGGAAGCCTTTCTGACTTGCCCCCTAGACTAGGACACGGTCCTTCTTCTACACACTCGCACTGCCCTTTACCTGTTGCTGTGGTCACTTTCCTTCTGTGCGTGTGGTTATTTGATGCTGGCTCCTACACTAACTGTGAGCACCATCTGGCAGGGACTGTGCCTAATTTTTCTTATTAATTGCTGAGTCCTCAGAACCTAGATAGTACTTAGGACACAGCACCTGCTCATTAAGTGAATGGTTTCTTTAAGTGCGGACCAAGTCAGTGCCTAGCACACAGCAAGAACCAAGAAATGTCAATTTCCTTTCCATTTTCTTTTTTACTAAAGTATGAAACAACCACAATGATGTGTGTAAGGTGCACAAAAAGCTGAAGAATACAGCTTGGTGAAATTTGATGTATGTATGCACCTGTGTCTTTACAGCCCACATGGAGACGTAGGACATTTCCTCACCCCGAAGACTCCCTGGGGTCCCCTCCTACCCAATGCCCACTCCTAGAGGCAGCTACTGTTCTGTTGTTACCCCCATAGGTTAATATTGCCCCTTCTGGAACTTCCGTGTCTGGTTTTGTCCCTCCACGTGGTGCCTGAGACTCATCCATGTGGGTGCTCTCTGTGTGTCTGGTTTTGTGTTACTGTGAGTCTTCCACTGTGTGCATGCATCACCTTCTCCATCCTTTTCTGATTTCATGACATTTGCTTCCCCCAACAACTTCTCCTTAAAAATGTTTAAAAGCATTTTGCAAGGCATGTGTTTGTCCTTTAATGAAAGCAAACTGAGGGAAGACCAGAGGTGGCTGGGCACCATGGCTCTTGCCTGTAATCTTAGCACTTTGGGAGGTTGTGGGAGAATTCCTTGAGGCCAGGGGTTCAAGACCAGCCTGGGCAACATAGTGAGATCCTGTCGCTACAGAAAGATTTTAAAATTGGCCAGGTGCTATAATCCCAGCAATTCAGGAGGCTGAGGCTGGAGGATCGCTTGAGCCTGAGAGTTCAAGGCTGAGGTGAGCTATGATCACATCACTGCACTGCAGCTTGGATAACAGAGCGAGACCCAGTCTTTAAAAAAGAAAAAGAAAAAAGACCAGGTGCCTCCCATTTAACACGGCAGCTTAAACACAGGGGTTTATCTTCCTTTCCTCCTGAAACCAAGCTAAGCTGACAGTCAAGTCCATCTGTCTTCAGAGATAAAGGGAATGGCAGAGGTTTCTACAGCAGGGAACACAGGTCTCCAACATTGTGGGAGATGGAAGGACTGGAGTGCCTGATCGCATCTGAAGATCTCTCATTGTTGATGCCCACAGGGGAAGGAAGTTGTTTTGAGTCACAGAACTCAAGGAAGTCTCCAGAACTGGAAGCACCAAGTATCTCTGACAGCAGGGGCTGGGCAGGAGGCAGGAAGCTCTGAAAGAGGATTGGTTGAAAACTTACATAAAGAGGGCGTGACCACAGCACATCCCCATTCCAAGGCAGGTGCCAGTCCCTCCACCCGCCCGGGCATAACAGTGGGGTCTCCTTGGACACAGCTGAGGGTAGCAACGTGGTCCTTCCTGGCAACAGGGAGACTGTGAAAATCTTCCTCTTGGATGGTCAGTCTCCCCTCTCTTCACTCACCCCAGCCCCTACCTAAGGAGTACGGCAACCAGGTTTTTAAAGACACCTGCCTTCCTACCCTGAAACTGGCAGGAAATCAGAAGTCTCTGCTCTGGGAAAACAGACCCAAAGGAAAAGACCCAGAGGCACTGACAGCGGGAGATTCTCTCCAGAAAATGTCCAAGTCCCTGCCTGATCCCACTGGAGCAAAGCTTCTACACGAGTGAGCCCATCTGCTTACCCAGAACTTCCAGGCAGCTGTCAGTGCCTCAGTCTGACTTGTGAACCAATGGCCAAGGGTCACCTGATATGGGAGCACTGCCTCTAGCAGGAAAGCAAACTCAAACCAAACAGAAGGCAGACACCTGGTGCCAACGAAGACACGCAGGAAACAGAAGAGCATTTTAAAACAAGAGCAGCAAGAGTTGAGATCCCCAGAAATATAAGAGAGGATTGTGTATCTAAGAAACAAAACAGCAGACTATTGTAAAGGACGTTCGTAGAACAAATGAGAATTATAAGAAATTATTTTATAGCCAGAATAAAAATATCAGTAGAAAAGCTCAAAGATGTAATTGAATAATTGTTCAGAAAACAGGAGACAAAAGATACGAAATTATGGAATCATTTCAGGAACTCCAAAGGTTGACTAATGATGTGAAGGACATTGGCTTCCAGACTGAAAGAGTCAATCAAGCATCATTGCAATACAGTCTCAAATACTAGCATACATTATCATGCAATTTAGGAGCACGTAATCCCAGCACTTTGGGAGGCCGAGGTGGGAGGATCATGAGGTCAAGAGATTGAGACCATCCTGGCCAACATGGTGAAACCCCGTCTCTACTAAAAATACAAAAATTAGCTGGGCGTGGTGGCATGCACCTGTAGTCCCAGCTACTCGGGAGGCGAGGCAGCAGAATCAGTTGAACTCGGGAGGCAGAGGTTGCAGTGAGCTGAGATCGTGCCGCGGCACTCCAGCCTGGAGATAGAACAAGACTCCATCTCAAAACAAAAACACAAAAGCAAAAAAAAAAAAAAACCCCACACTCTTAAAACTCAACAACAAAAATCCAAACAACACAAGTCAAAACTACCCAAAAGGCAGCCGGGTGTGGTGGCTCACACCTGTAATCCTAGCGCTTTGGGAGGCCGAGGCAGGTGGATCACAAGGTCAGGAGCTCGAGACCATCCTGGCTAACATGGTGATACCCTGTCTCTACTAAAAATACAAAAAAATTAGCTGGGCATGGTGGCGGGCGCCTGTAGTACCAGCTACTAGGGAGGCTAAGGCAGGAGAATGGCGTGAACCTGGGAGGTGGAGCTTGCGGTGAGCTGAGATCGCGCCACCTCACTCCAGCCTGGGCTACAAAGCGAGACTCCATCTAAAAACAACAACAACAACAACAACAACAACAAAACTGGGCAAAAGGCTTGAATCAGCATTTCTCCAAATAAAACATTCAAGTGGTCAATAAGCACATGAACAGATGCTCAATGTCATTATTCATTAGGGAAATGCAAATTGAAACCACAATGAGATATCAGTTCACACCCATTAGGATGGCTATTATAAAAAAATGGAAAATAAGCAGCTTCAGCGATGTGAAGAAAGTGGATGTGAAGGCACTGCTCATGGGAATGTATAACAGAGCAACAGCTGTGGAAAAGTCTGGCAGTTCCTCAAAAAGACAAACATAAAACTACCACATGACCCAGTAATCCCACGCCTAAGTAAATATCTAAAGGAACTGAAACAGGGATGTGAACAGATACTTGTGCCCCAACATTCAGAACAGCATATTCACAACAGCCAAAGGTGGAAACAGCCCAATCGTTTATCAGCGCATGAATGGATAAACAAAATGTGTTACAGGTACGCGGAGGGATACTATTCAGTTGTTAAAATGAATGGAATACTTACACATGCTACGACATGGATGAACTTGAAGATATTATGCTAAGTGAAATAAGACAATCATATAGAGACAAATATTGTACAATTCCATTTACATGAAGAAAGTAGAAGAAGCAAATTCATAGAGTTAGAGAGTAGAACAGAGATTACCACAGGCAGAAGTTATTAATGCGTACAGAATTTCTGTCTGGGGCGATAGAAAAGTCTTTGGTATCGATAGTGGTACTTGTTCATGTACTTAATGCCACTTTACTGTACACATCATAACGATTAAAATGGTAAAAGTACAGCTCAGGTGTGGGCAGTATTTACATCATCATAAATAAGTGAGCTATCTGTGGAATTATTTCTTCTGTAAAATTGTTTACTCACTGTATGAGCCATTAGGCCACCGTCAATGAACGAAGGCAAAAACAGGCTTTCTAGGAGAGAGGAAGGAGAGGGAAGAGAACTAAACTGCAGAGGAGTTGACATTCTGGAGCAGAGCTGGCAGCCAGCAGGTCTGCCTTGACTCCAGCTGAACACGCACCCCTCCTTCACTGGGGGCCTGGGGAAGGGAGGCTGCATGCATGCAGATAGTGACGTCCAAGTCCTCACCTTAGAAAGTAGGAAATCAATCCAGAGCGTCTAAAATGGACAAGTGAAGGACCAGCATGGGGAGTGGACCAGTTTCTGAGCCTTTGGGGATGAGCCTGGGGAAAGCCATGGGGCAGCCCTGCTTGGGAACCCTGGACTGTGCATCACGTGCCTGGTACTCCTGTGTGTGTGACCCTGGGCACAACTTCCCCTCTTGGAGACCCAGCATCCTCCCCTGTAAAATGAGGATGCTGTTGCTTACTGCACAGGGTCATTGTGAGTAGCATATGCATGGCAGGTGCCTAGCATGGTACTAAGCATGTTAGTAAAGGTTTAACCTCCTGAGCTGCTACCCTTATCAATACTGCCACTCTCTGTGATACAGAATGCTGTGCTGGACAAGGCCCACACCTGCACTGAGGAAACAAAAATTTAGGGGCCAATTCCTGTTGGCGTGAGCCAACTCCATCTTTTCCTCCTTGGTGGGGAGGGGTCTGTGCAGGAGTTTGGAGCAGGGTTGGGGGGAGACGTCAGCTCCTTGTTCTTGCCCTTTACAATTTCACCAAGAAAACCTGCAGATGTGACTGGAAAAAGACAGTAAAGCTTGGCAGATAGGAGGAATTTCTCACTCAATCCTTCAAGCAAACACTGAGTGCAAACTTGGGTTGGGGGCTATGAGCTGAGCTCATCAATGAGGTGGGCACAGGAGAGCATTCCAGTGTGACGACACGGCATGTGTGCCTGGATGAGGCTGCAGCCTGAGACCTGGGCGACGTGCATGGGAATAGATGACGACTTTACAATCTGGTTTCTGTTAATCAGGAAGGAGAGGAAGGAGGAAAAAGAGGAGAAGGAGAAGGATGAAGAGGAGGAGACACAAGGGTGGAAGAAGGAAA
Organism: Homo sapiens; assembly: GCF_000001405.40. Lineage (NCBI taxonomy): Eukaryota > Metazoa > Chordata > Mammalia > Primates > Hominidae > Homo > Homo sapiens. The sequence goes on along the minus strand of NC_000017.11, from coordinate 20,976,104 downwards.
AAAGAGGAGGACAGATGAGGAGGGGGAAGAGGATGATGGAGGAGGAGGAAAAGATGCTTTTGGTTTCTGTGAGCTGTATATGATTTCTCACCTGGCTATTTTGAAATATTGAAAATGGCACTAAGACCCACCCCTGCCTGCTCCTATCTCCACCCAGAATGAACCTTCAGAGATTTTCAGGGTTGAGAGCCCACCATCCCCATGCTAGTTCTAAAGGAAGAACTACTTAATTAGGTCCTGGGTGAACTGGTCAAGTCACCTTCTTAGTTTTCTGTTTGTGAAATGGGGACAACCACTTCTACCCATCATAATTTTTGACTCCTGTCAGCTCATGTTGAAAATGGATTCACCATGGATGAGTAACCCAGAGTGTGCCGGAGTGAAGTGCCTGTGGTGGGGAAAGGACAGCTGAGTCATCCTGGGAAGAACCTGGGCCAAGCAAAACCTCAGTTTTCTTGACCTGTAAAATGGGAATTCTAGGCTTCCTTTTCTAGCTCTTCTCAAGGGTGTGTATATGACAAGCATGTAACTGGCCCAAGACACGGCTGCTACTACTGGTAGTTGTTACTGTGATATAAATAGTATGAAATATAATGGGTCAATAGTTATAATCTTATAATAATATAAAATAATTATAATATTAACGATAATTTTTTGTAGAGACAGGGTGTTGCTCTGTCTCTACAAAACTGCAGGGGTGTAATCACAGCTCACTGCAGCCTTGAACTCCTGGGTTCAAGCGATTGTCCCCACTCAGCCTCCTAAGTAGCTAAGACCACAGGTGTGAGCCCCCGTGCCCAGCCAATGATGATTATTAATAATAGTAGCATCAAATTAGTGCTCCTGGTGGGAGGGAACTACTCCCAGAACCTGAACTACTCCCAGAACCTGAATTCCCAGCACCCACTGCTGGGTGACATTTCTTATTGGTGACATTTCAGGGTGTAGCCATTCTGCCTCCTCCTACTGTCTCATTTGTCTCTGAATCCAGTGCCTTCCATGATAGCATGCACACAGCAGTTGCTGGATAAATGCTAATCAGTAACTGGATTCCTTGTATATAGTTGTCCTCAGTAAAGGCTTGTGGAAGGAAAAGCAAGCCACATTCTTGCACTGTGCTGATAGACAGCTGGGCAGGGATCATACGGAGTTTCATCAGCAGCTCCCTCCCTGCCTGCATCTCCTCCATCCTCCATCCAGGGAGGACTCCATCCAGAGAGGTGCCCTGGTGGGGAAATGGGAAAGTCCTGGCTGTTGCTTTCAACACTTCAGAGAAAGGATTCTTGGCACAAAGTGACTGGGCCAGAAACAGGCACAGGAAATAACTTCCCTCAGATCAAGACCCAACCCAATAAAATATTTAAATGTGAAAAGAATAAAAATATGTAAAGTTAATAGAGAAGAAACCATTTGATAATTTCTTTACATTATTGGAATATGAAACGCCTTTCTAATTATGACCCAAAATCCATAAAAGAAAAGATGCATAATATAGAATCCACAAAACAAGCAAACAAAAAAACTTCTTCATGACAACAAACACCTAAGTCCAAAGACATATGAAAAACAGGCACAAAACCTTTGCAACTCAAATCTAAAGAATAAACGGAAAAATAAAGACCAGCTACCCAAGAGAAAAATGGGCAAAGTGCATGAATACACAGTTCATAGACAGGAAAATACAACATAAGGATGCTTTGCCTCATTCAAAAGAGACGGCAAATTCAAACTACACTGATACCATCTTCACCCTAAGAGATTGTTAAAACTCCAAAAGTTTAGTAACACCTTCTTTTGGCAGAGCCATGGGGAGAGTGGCATTCTTATTCCTCATGAAAGGAGAGTAAACAGAAATAACCCCCATGGGGGTAATTTGGCAACATTTGTCAAAATTACTGAGGGATTTACCCACTGACCCAGTGATTAAACTTTGCAATTTATCCTGAAGTGTGAAATGATAAATTCATTGCAGTAACATTTGTAATAGCAGAAGACTAAAAGTAACCCAACAACCATCGGCAGGGAATTGACTGAGTAAATTACAGTATATTTATACACTAGATTTTTATGTAGCTATCGAAGTAATGAGGAAGCTCTTTATATGTTGCTATGGAAAGAACAGCAAGACATATTGACTAAAAAAATAAAAATAAAAACAAAATAAGGTATATAACAGCATGGCTCATAGGCTCTGTTTTTATTTCGGGGGTTGTTTTTGCAAAAAGGGGGAAGCTCTGATCTGTATTTTGTGAATGATCATATACGCATAAAGAAATCCTGTTGAAAAATAAGAAACCAAAAACACCGTTTTAAATAAAACATTTAAGAAGAAATTTAATAAAAGAAGTGCAAGACGTGAAAACTATACAACATTGCTGAAGTAAATTAAAAATTTCAATAAATGGAAAGACATCCCATGTTCATGAATCGAAAGAAAAAATACATGAAGACTCATGGTTCCCCACCTCAACACTTATTGCAAGGCAACACTAATTAAGGCAGGGTGGTCTGGCATGAAGACAGACATAGATCAACAGAATATAATTAGAGTAACAGTTGTGATCAATGGATTTTCAACAAGGGTACCAAGACAAGTCAATGAGAGAAACAATAGTCTTTTCAATAAATGCTGCTGGGTTAACTGTATATTAACATACAAAAGAATGAACTTGGGCCCCTTTCTCACACCACACACAAACGTGAGCTCAAAGTAGGTCACAGACTTACATGTAAGAGCTAAAACTATAGAACTCTTAGAAGAAAACATGGAATTAAATCTTTATGATTTGGGGTTAGGCAATGACGCCAAATGTGCATGATAGACGAGAAGATGGATAAAAATTGGACTTCATCAAAATGAAAACCTTTCGTGTTCCAAAGAACATCATGAAGAAAGTAAAAAGACAATCTACAAACCTGGAGGAAATAGTTACAAATCTTGTATCTGATAAGGAGTTTGTATCCAGAATATATAAAAAATGCTTATAACAGAATACTGAAAAAAGACAAATAATCCAATTTTTATATGGGCTAGAGATTTCAATAGACATTTTCCCAAAAAAAGACATACAAATGGCCAAAAAGCACATGAAAAGATGCTCAACATCATTTGTCATTAGGGAAATGCAAATCCAAACCACACTGACATACCACCTCACACCCCCTAGGGTGGCTACAATGAGAAAGACAGTCAATGACAAGTGTCAGTGAAGATGTGGAGAAATCAGAACCCTCATGCATGAAATGAGCTATAAAACAGTGCGCAGCCGGCCAGACACAGTGGCCCATGCCTGTAATCCCAGCACTTTGGGAGGCCGAGGTGGGTGGATCACCTCAAGTCAGGAGTTCGAGACCAGCCTGGCCAACATGGTAAAACCCCATCTCTACTAAAAATACAAAATTAGTCAGGCATGGTAGTGGGCATCTGTAATTCCAGCTACTTGGGAGGCTGAGGCAGCAGAATCTTATGAACTAGGGAAGCAGAGGTTGCAGCAAGCCAGATTGTGCCACTGCACTCCAGCCTGGGCAACAAGAGTGAGACTCTATCTAAAACAAAAAACAAAAAACAAAAATTAAAATAAATAAAATAAAATAATTAAATTTAAAAAATAAAATAGGCCAGGTGCAGTGGCTCATGCCTGTAATCCCAGCACTTTGGGAGCCCAAGGTGGGCGGACCACAAGGTCAGGAGATTGAAATCATCCTGGCTAACATGGTGAAACCCTGTCTCTACTAAAAATACAAAAAATTAGCTGGGTGTGGTGGCGGGCGCCTGCAGTCCCAGCTACTCGGGAGGCTGAGGCAGGAGAATGGCGTGAACCTGGGAGATGGAGCTTGCAGTGAGCCAAGATCGCGCCACTGCACTCCAGCCTGGGCGACACAGTGAGATTCCGTCTCAATAAATAAATAAATAAATAAATAAATAAATAAATAAATAAATAAAATAAAAATAAAAATAAAATAAAATAAAATAGCACAGCCACTTTGGAAAGCAGTTTGCAGGTCCTTAAAATGCTAAATGTAGAATTACCATATGATCCAGCAATTCCACTTCTAGGTATCCATCTACTCAAAAGAAATGAAAACACGTCCACCCAAAATCTTAACACAAAAGTTCATGGAAGCATTGTTAATAATCAAAGTGGCCAAAAAGTAGAAACAACCCAAATGTCCATCCACCGATGACTGGAAAAGCCATATGACATATCCATAAAGTGGAATGTTACTTAGCCACAAAACTGAAGCAAGTACTGATACCTGCTACAACATGGATGGCCCTTGAAAACATTATGCCAAGTGGAAGCAGCTAGTCACAATACGCCACATATGATTCCATTTATGGAAAATGTCCAAAACAGGCAAATCTACAGAGACAGAGAGTAGTGGTAGCCTGGGGTTGGGGAGGAATGAAGACTGACAAAGTTTCTTTTTGGGGTCATCAAAATGTTCTAAAATTAGCTTATGGTGATGGCTGCACAACTCTAAAACACTGACTTGTACACTTTACACAGGTGAATTTCATGGCATGTAAATTATACCTCAATAATGTTGCTTATTCTAGAGGAGGTGGGAACTGGGCAGATGGAGGACAAGGTGGGAAAGAGACTTTCCATTATACATCTTCCAATACTTTCTGGGTTTCAAACCATCTGACTCTACTGTATATTTAAAAGCAAATGTAAAATCAAAGGATCAAACAAAATTAAAGACAGACCCCTGATTCTTCCCCCTTTTGGGTGGGGGGAGCAAAGAGGGAGAAAGCCACCACCCACCACATATCACCGTGAAGGGATGGTTGAGTGGAACGTGGGCAGCAGGTTCTATGTGACAAGGGCAGCCTTGGAGAGGTTCCAAGACCCATTCATGGCCTAGAAGCCACCAAAGCCACCGGACCTATGGAGAGACAGTGCCTGACTGACCAGATGGCAGATGCCAAGCTGACCAGAGGGCCTGTCCCTGCCCCCTCCTCCACCACCATCAAAATCCCAGAACCACCATCAAGTGTCAAAGGAGGGCAGGAAAACCCCAAGATTGACACCAGCCAGGCAGAATAGAAGCTTGAGAGAGAAGCTCCATTGATGGAAAGGGAAGAAAGGGAACTCCTCTTGGACACTAGCTCTGTGGGCTGGGCTCATACTCCAGGCTGCTGCAGACTCGGATGCAGGACAGAGACTCTCCCCTGCACCCTGAAACCAGAGAGCAGCCAAAGAGGGTGATTCTCTGAGCCCTCTGCTTGTGCCTCCACACGTTTGGCTAGTTAACAGCTGCTGCACCAAGAAAGTTCTCTGTGGTCAAATTACCTTGAAAAATCTCTGGGTTAAAGGAAGCCAAAGGATTTTTTTAACTGCAAGTCTTCTCAGAGCCTTTCCTTGTGACTCTTTAACAGGGGATCTGACAGGTTCAAAGCACTTTTGTTTTTTTTGAGGGATATCTGGTAGGAAAGACAGTCTTCTTCATTTTACACTGAGGGGAAGTGGCTCAGCCAAGGTCTCAGAGTGGGTCACTGAACAACTGGCCAGGGGTGATTCTGCAGCACCAGGCGGCCTCTGCTAGTGCCAGGTCACAGTTCTAGCTGGGTCTTGACTCCCGGCCCCAGGGCTCTGGGCAATTTCATCCTGTGTCAAGGCAGCCTCTGGTCACTGCCTTGTCTAACTCTCTCAGAAAGAGAAACATTACGTATTTGAGCCCCTGGCTGGGTAGATTCTGGGGATGTGGTCGCAGGACACAAAAGAGGATGAGAGAACAGATTTGTTCTCTGCCTGGAGTGTGGGGACAGAGCTGCAGGGAGAGGCTGTGAATCTAGGCTATGCCCTAGGTCCATCCAGCCTTGGATTCTGTCTGCACAGTGAAGGATCTGGAGCCCTTTCATAAAGCCTTAGAAACCTACCCTGATAAAAATGTTGCAGTATAAATAGTCCAGTATCTTTACCAACCAACCAAGAAAAAAACAAGTGGAAACTGTTATAGATTAAAACATAGCCAAATGTCTAATGTGGGCTATGCTGGGATCCTGATTTGAACAAATCAACTGAGAAAGACATTGAAGAGATAGTCAGAGCAGTTTGAACCCTGGCGGGTTATGTGATGATGTTTAGGAATTGTTTTAGCAGGAATTGTATGATGCTTAGTTTTTTGTTTTTAGTTTGTGTTCTTAAGGAATAAATCCTGCAGTCTCAGCAACTCAAAACAATCTGGTATTTGAGATTAGCATTAAAATGGTCCAGCGGGCATGTAAGGGGGAAAATGGAGGCTGTGCGGGGGCCATGGTGACAAAGGGAATTCCTGCCGGTGTGGCCAACCCTGTAGCCTCAGTGGCTTCTCTCCCAGAAGGCAAGCCCCACATCCCAGAGGCATCCAGACTTGGGGCTCTCCATGTGCAGGGGCTTGGGGAGGCTGGGACTGCCCCAGTGTGTGGATCTGCTGTGGGCCTTGCACCTACTGGACCCTGCCAACCCCCACGGCACTCAGACCCAACCCTCCTCACACCTCCCACCTGCCCTCCTGCCTGGCTACTCACACGGCTCCTCCTGGTCCATCCACTCTGGCCAGCTTGCCCACTCCAGCCCAGGCCACTCACTACTCAGGATGCTTATTATTAGTCTTAGATTTGATTATTGCCTGGGCTGCACTTCCTGGGTTTTCCCCTCAACCTGTTGGATGTAAATCAGCCACACCCACTCCCGCCCCCATGCCTGTGCATTGGGTCTCAGGGGCCCAGGTGGGTGGCCGCGGCCCAGGCTCCTGGTGTCCCATGGGGTACAAACAGAGCAGTGGAAGGCCTGCCTGGCCTTGCGATGAGGTATTGACTATGGGATGGCCCAAGTCTTCTAGATCTGACCCTGGCCACCCCTTAGTCCTGATCTCCTGCCCCCTGGCACACAACCCGAGCCAGGCCAGCTCTCCAGCCTCCCAGCATCACTCAGGCATTTCACTCTTCCTGGACATTCAAAGCCTGGTCAGCTCCTCCTTGAAGGCTCCACTGAGGTGTCACCTCCTCCAGGAAGCCATCCCTGACTGCCCCAGCCCAAGTCAGGTGGTGCTCCTTCTCTGTGTCTCCTTGGCCCTATCTGACACCTAACAGAGGAAACCCAGAGCCAGACAGCCTGGGTTTGAATCTTGACTCTGCCGCACACCAGTGGACGGCCTTAGTGGCAATTTATGAAACTCCTTTGTGCCTCCATGTTCTCTGTGTGAAAGGGGATGAGAACATTGCCTGTCTCACAGGTGGTTATGAGCATGAAGGGAGGGAGCACAGTTAAGTTCTCAGAGCAGGTTCTTGGCACACAGTAAGTCCTCAATAAAGGCCGTGGAGGATTAACATTACAGCCCATATTGCACTGCATGGTGACTGCACTCCTGTGTCTTCCCCATCCTCTGAAACCTCCCAGGGGATGGGAGGCCCAGCAACAGCCAAAGGCGGAGTGAGAAGAACGTAAAAGCCAAAGAAAGCCCATGGGCCCTTAGGAAGAAACTGAAGGAGAAAGAGGACGCGGGCAGGTGGAGAGGAAGGAGGGAGGCTCCAGGAAGCAGCTGGAGCAGGGTGATGGTGCACAGAGCAGGAGAGGAGATGCAGACGGTCAGCAAACACAGAAAACGCCAGGTCCCTCAGATCAGAAAAAAACAACTAAACAATGAAAAAGTAACTCACCAATCAGGTTGCAAAGTTTTAACGTTTGCTAACATCAGGGGCAGGGGGTGATCTACAGAAACATAAACTCATGCCCTGCTGGAGGGAGGGAGCTGGCAGCAGCATTCTGGAGGGCAACTGGCCAGGGTCAGTTAAATGTAGACCCCAAACCTAACCCACCCGCCAAGAAATTCTCCTCCTCAGTGAGTCCCCTAATGACAGCCAGAAACTGGAAGCAATGTAAATGTCCATGCAACAGAGGATGCCTGAATCCGCAGGGTGCACAGGCCAGAGTCAGAAGTCTGTGCCACAGTTAACGAGACAGATCTGGAAGCTCTTAGGACAGATGCTAAGTGAATAAAAGTAGTTTATAGCATGAGCCTTACAGTATGATCCCTTTTAGTAAAACAATACCAAAACCAAACAGATCACACACACACACACACACACAGTACAGTGCTGTGTTGTCTGTGAACACACACACTGAGTGTGAAGCATAAGAAGCCTGCAAGGACTTGCATGACGTCACCAGCTCTCACCAAGTGAGGCAAGAGGGAACCAGGACTGCATCAAAGAGGCCTTTAGCTGTATTTGTAACATTTAAATTTCATTACTCCTGTCAATGAATAGTAACAAAACCACAGCTGGGATCTGGCAGGTGGGTTTCTAAGAGCGATATAATAAAGAGATCCCATTGCTAGGAATTTTCTGTCTGCGGAAATGAGCAAGCCTAAAGTCACTACGGGATGCCCTCATTGTGTCCCTCCTTACCTCCTGTTTTCACACCCCCAGGGTCAGGACTCTCACCACCTCACGGAGCAGCTGGCTCTAATGCTACAGTACTGCTCTAATAATATTCTAATTCCACTCAGGAAACCAGCGGCCTTTAAAACTCTTAAACATCCCATTACAACTTGCTAAGGGTTATGGATTCCAACTTTGGAGATACAGGTGAGATGTAGGGACTCAATCCATGCCCTTGCCTGATTCACCAGTGTCCAAGGGTCCAGTGGTATGGCAGGGACCAAGGAATGCAGCCAAGGTGCCACCCATGGAAGTGTAGGGTGGCTGTGCCTCATCATGCTTCTTGGGAGGTGACAGAGAACTTAGGAGAGACTTAGAGTTGAATTCCACACATTCATCAGACTGACTTCCAGCCCAAGATCCCCCAGCTGAGGGAAAGCAGAAGGCAAAGCAAACTGAGCATCCTTGGCTTTGCTGAGGTCTGAGGGCATCAGGACAGAGGAGGAGACAAAGGACCTGGTGGCACCACACTTGGAGTTGTCAACCTCAAAACTCCAGAGCACTGACATGGTAATTTCTGGGCATTGCTAGGACCTCAGCACTAATGTTTTCGTGCTAGAAAGTCCCTGTTTCCTGCTGGCTGTCAGCCAGGGGCCCTTCTCGGCTCCTCACATGCCCCTCCCTCTTCAAGCCACCAAGAACATGCAGAGTCCTTCTCATGCTTTGAATTTCCCCAACTTCTGCCACAAGCCAGAGACATCACTTGGCTTTTACAGGGCTCTGTGATTAGGTGGGGCACATCCAGACCATCTCCCTGTGTCATATAAAGGGGAGGACATTCTACCAGGGAGAGTCATGGGGGTTATCTTTAGAATTCTTTCTGACATATTCCCATCTCAGCTTTCTGTCCCTTCAGAATTCTTACTGGAAATTACATTAGAGATGGAAATTTCCCCATCAGAACACAAAACTAGGAGCCCAAAGTAGACTTTTAGGTGAAAGAAAAGGAGGAGTATGAGTTCCCTGGGTCAGGGCTGCCCACTTGGCTTGGAAAATGGCTGAGTTGAGCAGAATGTGAGGAAGGGCCTCCTAGGAGCGCCATTTTGAGCTCAGTGAGGGCCTCACTTCATAGCAAGGGCAGACTCACATCCTTTCACTGGGTCTCAATCCTGGGCCACTCAAGACGTCACACAGCTGGCCCGGGGCTTGGCAGGTGGGTCTGGCTGTGGTGCTCACTTCCCAGTGCTGCTGACCTGAGGCTCCCACCGTGTGTCACTTTAGATCCTATCGGCACAGTCACGGCAGTGAAGACCTCCTTACTCTGACCCTCCACACCTAGGCCTTGGTGGGAAATAAACCTTCATGCAGACACCAAAGCCCTTCAAGAGAGGGGAGCAAGTGCTTGAATGTCATCTCCCTGACCACTGTGTATAAATTGTACCATTCACCCAATATTCCCAACCCTCCTTCCCTGCTTTATTTCTCTCCACAGCAATACAACCTTCAAATAGGGTACATATGTTACCTTTTATTTCAGTTAACTGCCAGACCCCATGAGGATGTTTAAGTTCCATGAGAGCAGGGACTGCTGCCTGTTTCATTCACTGTGGAATCCCCAGCACCTACAATATTACCTGGAGCTGAACATGTCCCTGAACACAAGTTCATTACTGAGTTAACATATGGAAGGGGGCTGAAAGAAACCAGAGATGACACAAATAAATGAAAAAACATTTCATGGTCATGGATTGGAAGCATCACTATCATTAAAATGGCCATACTGCCCAATGCAATTTACAGAATCAATGTTATTCCCACCAAACTACCAACTGCACTTCTTAAAGATTTAGAAGAAACTATTCTGAAATTCATATAGAACCAGCAAAGACCCTGAATAGCCAAAGCAGTCCTAAAAAAGAAGAACAAAGCTGAAGGCATCACATTACTGGCATTCAAATTATGCTACAACTCTACAGTAATGAAAACAGCATGGTACCGATATAAAAGCAAACACACAGATCAATGGAAGAGAAGATAAAGCTGCATACCTACTATTATCTGATCTTCAACAAAAACAAACAATGGAGAAAGAACTCCCTGTTCAGTAAATGATGCTGAGATACCTGGCTAGCCATATAGAGTAGAATGAAACTAGAGGCCTACCTTTTACCACATACAAAAATTAACTGAAGATTTAAATGGAAGAACTCAAAATATAAAAATCCTAGAAGAAAACCCAGGAAATACCATTGACATTGACCTTGGTGAATAATTTTTGGCTAAGTCCCCAAAAGCAACTGCAACAAAACCAAAAATTGACAAGTGGGATCTAATTAAACTAAAGAGCTTCTGCACAGCAAAAGAAACTATCAATGGAGTAAACAACTTTCAGAATGGGAGAAAGTATTTGCAAACTATGTATCTAATATCCAGAATTGATAAAGAAAATCAACAAGCAAAAAACAACCCCATTAACAAATTGGCAAAGGACATGTACAGACACTTCTCAAAAGAGGACATACAAGTGGCCAACAAACATACAAACAATTCTGATCATCACTAATCATCAGAGAAATGCAAATGAAAACTTCGTTGAGATAACATACCATCTCACACCAGTCAGAACAGCTACTATTAAAAAGGCAAAAAATAATAGCTGCTGGTGAGGCTGTGGAGAAAAGGGAACACTTATACACTATTGGGAGTGTAAATTATTTCAGCCACTGTGGAAAGTGGTTTTGAGATTTCTCAAAGAACCTCAGAGTTACCATTCAACCTAGCAATCTTATTACTGGGTATGTACTCAAAGGAAAAGTCTACCAAAAAAACACGTGCACGTGTATATTCATCACATTATTCACAATAGCAAAAACATGGAATCAACCTAGATGCCCATCGATGGTGGAATGGATAAAGAAAATATGGTACATATACACCATGGAATACTATGCACCCATAAAAAGGAAACCATGTCCTCTGCAGTAGGATGGACACTGCTGGAGGCCATTATTCTAAGTGACCAATGCAGGAACAGAAAACCTTACCACACTTTCTCGCTTATAAATGGGAGCTTAATATTGAGTATACAGAGACACAAAGATAGGAACAGACACTGGGGACTCCAAAAGGGGTGAGGAAGGGTGGAGGGCAGGGCCTGAAAAGCTAACCATTGGGTACTATGCTCACTAGCTGGGTAATGGAATCAACTGTATCCCAAACCTCAGCATCACACAATATACCACTGTAACAAACCCGCACATGTACCCCTTGAATCTAAAACTTGTGTGTATGTGTGTGTGTGTGTGTGTGTTGTGTATGGGGAGGAGAGAGAAAGAGAGAGAGGGAAAGACATAACCTACCATGGTGTATTTTGGTGAGGTAGAAATAAAGTTATTTTAAGTAAAATGCACATGGCTACTGGTTTTCAAAAAGACTATGAACCATCTGACTTTCACCAGTTTTTTTCTTCTTTTTTTTCTTTTGGCTTCTAATTCTGAGAGAACAAGCCTATGACAATCAGATCTAGACACATACTATTTTGTGAAGAGTAAGTAAAGCAGACACACACTTATATTTGTAATTTTACAGATTTAACGATGAAAGAATATAACTCTTCAGGCAAAATGAGTTTTGGATTTCTTCAAATGTAAAATGTTTTGCAAACTAATCCAGGATGTTCATAAAAACAAACCAAAAAATCACTCCAGCAGGAAATACTATTCTTGTGATCATGACTGGAAACTTTGTGTCTCTTCCCTGCAATCTCAGTACAACAAGGTTACACCATAGAAGGCCACCCCTTCTGAAAATGTTAATTGCTTTTTCATATCCCCTCTGGCAGCTGCCTCAGTCCATTTCTGTCAGATGGGGGACAGCACAGGTGGCATCAGGGGTGTCATACTTGAATGACAGCTCTTTTTAAATGTTTTCTTCAATTTCAAATTACCATTCCTATTTCCTTTATGCTAAACCTCCTGCAGGCAGCCGCCTCCCTCTGGCTTCTTATTCTTTCCCGTGTCCTCGGCAGCGTGGCTGACGGGCTCGGGGAGGCTGTAACCGAGGAGCCTTCCTTCATGGCATGGTCCAGCTTTGAAACAGGGTAGAGGCAGAGTGGACAGGAAGAACAAACAGGGATCTGAGGTGAGTTTACACCTTGAGAGCCTCTATTGTTGGTCAGTAGCGTTGACAGGTTTTTTTTTTTTTTAATTTTTTTGGAGACAGGGTCTCCCTCTGTCACCCAGACCAGAGTGCAGTGGTGCTATCACAGCTCACGGCAGCCTCAAACTCCTGGGCTCAAGCAATCCTCCCACCTCAGCCTCCCAAAGTGCTGGGATTCTTTTTCTTCTTTAACATAAAGTGAAAAGAACGTTATGGAAAAGATACAAGATACATATACTCTGGGTAGATTCTGGTTTTAAGACATCTGACTGCTGATATGGCAGAAACTCCCAGCCCCGCTAATTTACTCTCTGTGCTGGGTCCTGGCTGAGGCGGGGTTTTTCTTTTATCTTTCCTTTCCTTTCCTTTTCTTCTCTTTCTTTCTTTTTTTTCTCTGAGATGGAGTCTCGCTCAGCCACCCAGTCTGGAGTGCAGTGGCACGATCTCGGCTCACTGCAACCTCCACCTCCCGGGTTCAAGCGATTCTCCTGCCTCAGCCTCCTGAATGGCTAGGATCACAGGCATGCACCACCACATCCAGCTAACTTTTGTATTTTTAGTAGAGACGGGGTTTCACCATGCTAGCCAGGATGGTCTCGATCTCCTGACCTCATGATCCGCCCACCTCGGCCTCCCAAAGTGCTGGGATTACAGGTGTGAGCCACTGAGCCCGGCCAAGCCTGGGTTTTTCTTGCCAGCTTCTTTCATTTTCCATCCCCACCTCCCAAAAAGCTTCAGCCTGGGAAGGGAGTGTTGTGGCACTGGAATTGTCGGAAGTTTTAGCAAAATGTTGTAAGGATGCAGTAGGAGTTGGCAATTTTAAAGAACGTATCTATTTAATGTGAAATATACAACAATAAAGCTTTTACAGGAAAACACAGGACAATATCTTCACGATCTTGGAATAAACAATGTCTTACACAGAATACAAAAAGCACTAACCATTAGAGAAAAGACTGATGAATTAGACTTAATTAAATTAAGAACTTTGTTCATCAAAAGAAGATAATTTAAGGCACACTGGGAGAAGGTATTTGCCACATATTTGTTTGACAAGGGACTTATATGGAGACTACATAAAGAACTCTTTAAAGCAATAAGGAAAACAACGAGAATCTGATTTTATAAATGGGCAAAAGCTCATATCCTGCTTACAGAGCCAATAAATCCCACCCCCCAAACAAACAAAATGGGCAAAAAAACCTGAACAGGTGCATCCCAAAAGGCACTATCCACATGGTCAATTTGCATATGAAAAGGTGTTCAGCCAGTGGGGGGGGCGGTGGCTCATGCCTGTAATCCCAGCACTTTGGGAGTCCGAGGTGGGTGAATCGCGAGGTCAGGGAGTTTGAGACCAGCCTGGCCAACATGGTAAAACCCCTGTCTCTACTAAAAATACAATACATCAGCCAGGCGTAGTGGCAGGTGCCTGTAATCCCAGCTACTCAGGAGGCTGAGGCAGGAGAATCGCTTGAGCCTGGGAGGCAGAGGTTGCAGCGAGCTGAGATCGCACCTCTGCACTGCAGCCCAGGCGACAGAGTGAGACTCCGTCTCAAAAAAAAAAAAGAAAAGAAAAAAAGAAAAAGTGTTCAGCCTCCCCAGCCAAAAGAAAAACGCAAATCAAAACCACAGTGAGACACTACTACACATCACCCACATGACCGCCAGTAAAAAGACTAACACACTACTAAGTATTGATGAGAATGCAGAGAAACAGACCTCTCATAAATTGCTGAAAAGACATGAGTTATACAAATACTTCAGTCATCTGTTTGGCACTATCCTAGAATGTATGCATACCCTAAGGCCCAGGAATTCCATTCCTAAGTATGTAACCAACAGGAACGAGCACATACATGTCTCAAGAGACATCGATAAGAACGTAACAGTTCTATTCACAATAGCCCCAAACTGTACATGACTCAACTGTCCATTAATGACAGAATGGATAAAGGTATACTCATACAATGGCCTTTAATTGAAGAAAATGAACAAATTACGGTATACGTAACAACATGGATACATCTCACTAACTTAATAATGTGTAAAAAAAACTAGATGTAAATATTACATAGTTTTTAAATTCCATTTGTGATAAAATTCAGATGTAAGGAAAAGTAACATAATGTTTAGGGCTGCATAGTTTTGTAAAGATCTGTTAAAGAGAAGAATTGTGAGGCAACGGTTACCTTTGGGAGTAGTGAGGGTTACGATGGGAAAATCGTAGGAGAGGTCTAGGGGAGCTGGCGCTGCTCCTCTTCTGGACGGGAGTGGTGACTGCATGACTTTTCATGTTCTAATCATTCAAGAAACTGTCATTTACATTTTGTTCGCTTTTATCTTTGTGTATGGCATTTCACAAAAAGGCTTAAACGTATCAGGTATCAATTCCTTATCTGACCTTTATAGAAAAAAAAAAAAAGCTTGCTCTTTGGTGCTCTCATAATGCTTAACCTTGCCTTTTACTTAAAGAATTCCAGGAACTGGCCGTAGGCGAGCCAAAATATCCAACCAAAGTTGTGACTGTCCCACCTCAGGAAGGAAAACTGAACTGGTTCATACAGCCTTGCTGCCACTGGTCAGAGCACCGGGTGGCCCATGACTCAAGACAGCCATCGCCAGCAGATATGGTGACCTGCAGCCCCCCACCCCTCCACGTGCTCTACACAGCCCAGCCCACATTCCCTACCTTGGTATCCATTCCTGCATTTTGCCTAATAAAAAACATCCCTACCCATGTTCTCACTTATAGGTGGGAGCTAAATGATAAGAACACATGGACACATAGAGGGGAATAACAGACACTGGGGCCTACCTGAGGGTGGAGGGTGGGATGAGGGATCAAACCAGGAAAAATAACTAATCGGTACGAGGCTTAATACCGAGTTGATGAAATAATGTGTACAACAGACCTCCACGACACGAATGTACCTATATGACAAACCTGCACATGTACCCCTGAACTGAAAAGTTTTTAAAAAGGGAAGAAAGAAGATGAATACAGAAACTCATTCTATTTTGTGTACAGTAATAAAAATAAAACATGGCTATAATTTGAGGTTCTAGGTGATGTAATATTCCTCCAGAGTATCCATTTGATTCCAGAAGACAGTCAAGATAGGAGAAGATCATCAAAATCCAAAGCCCATGTTTCTATGGGTTTTAAGACTGAACAAATAAAAGGCTTTTTAAAGATGCTAAGGAAGAATATTTTAATAAACTAATAGCTAGAAAGACATTTTAAGGAAGGAAACAAAACACTTAAAATCAAAGAAAAACAACACAAAAAGGCAACATTTCTCTTCAGTAAAATATAACTATAAACAAAGTTAAAAGATGACTAAGAAATAATAGCACTACATATGAAAAAAAGTTAAAAAGCACAATATATCAAGATTTCTTATAAACAGGAAAAAGATGGCCGGGCATGGTGGCTCATACCTGTAATCCCAGCAATTTGGGAGGCTGAGGCGGGCGGATCACGAGGTCAGGAGATCCAGACCATCCTGGCTAACACAGTGAAACCCGGTCTCTACTAAAAATACAAAAAATTAGCCGGGCGTGGTGGCGGGCGCCTGTAGTCCCAGCTGCTCAGGAGGCTGAGGCAGGAGAATGGTGTGAACCCAGGAGGCAGAGCTTGAACTGAGCTGAGATCGCGCCACTGCACTCCAGCCTGGGGGACAGAGCGAGACTCCATCTCAAAAAAATTAAAATAATAAAAAAAAAAAAACCCCAGGAAACAGACTAACACCTCAAAAGAAATACAAGCCAAGTATATGAGTTTCCATAGACACATACAAAAGATACATAAATGGCCTCTAAACATATGAAGAAGTGCTCAACCTTACTGATGAACAAAGCAAAACAAGTTATCATTGTTCATTTACTTAATCTTTAAAATTATTTACAGAGTGTGAAAATTCTGGGAAAACAGTACCTTGCATGCTGTGAGTGGGAGGGCAAACTGAAGGGCAATGTGTCTATCAAGTTTTTCAACATGCCGGGACAGGTCAATCTACTTCCTTCTCTAGGACTCCATTTTCCTTTTCTAGGAATCAATGTGTGGAAGATCTCAGCAAAGGCTCACTCGACTCCATCCTCATCTCTTTGTAGGGTGATTTACTGAATCATAAGAGACTAGGATGTATTTGCCTGAAGGGTGTATTTGCCAAAGTCTTAAAAGCTTGGCTCATCAAGTGGCCTAGTTTCTGTCGAAGAGGCCCCCTCTTAGAGGATCTGGAAGGTGCAAGGGAGTGTAAGGCTGCCCGTCTGCAGCTTCTCCTGGCAAGCATGGCTGGAAAGGCATTTGCTGTTCTGTGGCAGGGGAGCAGAGGTTCTGGGGTCTGTTTCACCATCATCTGGGCAGTGTGAGGCAGGCACAGAGCCTGTTTTGCAGGTACGGACTGCACCTGTGCCTGTGTGATCCCGAGGCTTATCCTATATCTTGGCAGCACTGGTGGTCCTAAGCAAGCACCTACAGAAAGACTTCCTGATTCTGGCAGAAACAGAAGGTCTTTTAATGGGTCAGCATTGAGATGCTCTGGGAACCCTTCCTGGAAGCTCAGTGGAGCCTACTGCCTTCTCCAGCCCTTCTAGTACCAAATGCCCTGGATTAAATTCCTTTCTGCTTAATTACAGTGATCTCTGATATTTGCAAATGAATCCTGATATATACCCTTATACAGAAATAGCCCCTTTAACCATCAAAAATTTGTACAAGGATCTTCCCTGTATTGTTTCTGTAATAAGTTAAACTCAAAACAACCTAAATGTCTATCAGTAGAATAGTGGCTAAATAAATCACCATATATTACGTAACTTTCTTTAAAAAATGAATCATTTCTCCAAATATTGAAATCTGAAGATGTCTTGGACGTATTTTTTCATTCATTCAACAAATATTTATTGAGCTTCTACTATGATGTGACCATGTGCCAGCCACTGTTACAGACAAGAGCTCTAACAGCAAGTGCAATAAACAAAAGTCTCTGCCCTCACAGAGCTTACGTTCCAACGGTAAAGTGAAATGGATTTCGGAATAAATGCGCAGTGTAATCAAATTTACAGAACACATACACACTCTCTCTCCACACTCACTAATATGTGTAAAGAAAAACATCTAGAGGAATACACAGCAAACCACAAGCAGCGGTTATTTCTGAGGCTCATCTACCTGCATTGGAGAGACAGCAGCTGCTGGTGAGGTCCTCACTGGTATCCCACTTTGGGGGATTCTAATAGTCTTATGGACAGAAATATTCAGTCCAGCTTCACCTGCCAAGAAAAGAGATGGGAACATTTATATGTTGATCCAGTTCAAAATAGCAAATAATACTTCTTAATTTGTTGTTACTTTTTTGGTGACTTAAGAAGTATCCCATGATGTTTAGTGTAACATTTACTCTATTATCCTTTTCTCCTCTGGACTAAAGCTGAATTGGAGAAATGAGAGGGCAGGAGGAGTTGGCTGAGTGGAGATCAGTCTTAGATGTAGGATAACTGAGTAAAATGCAAATGTTTAAATAATGAGGTGCCTCGGGGAGGAAGGAACAGGAAAGTTCTTGCACAAACTGTTACTGTTAATTCATTTCCCACCTTCACAGACTCACTCACTGGGCTTTCGGCTTCATATCTTTCTTTTTTTCTTTTTTTGAGATGGAGTCTCAGTCTTGTTGCCCAGGCTGGAGTGCAATGGCACAATCTCGGCTCATTGCAACCTCCACCTCTGGGGTTCCAGCAATTCTCCTGTCTCAGCCTCCTGAGTAGCTGGGATTACAGGTGTGCACCACCACGCCCACATAATTTTTTTTGTATTTTTAGTAGAGACAGGGTTTTACCATGTTGACCAGGCTGGTCTTGACCTCAGGTGATCCACCAGCCTCGACCTCCCGAAGTGCTGGGATTACAGGCATGAGCCACCACGCCCAGCCCTTCCATGTCTTTCAATATGCACAGTCTAATCATCTAATTTAGCTGCAAACTATTTTAGCAGAGACAACTAGGTACATCCTAGGATTAACTTTTACAACAGTCTTCCAATTCAATGGCATATTTGTTGCAGTCCAGGGAAGAAATATATGTTACTGTAGAGAGATGCACATTCTGTTTCTTCTATTTGCTATGTTTATGTGTACAGTATATGTATGAAGTATAGCTACGTATCTTTCTCATATATAAAGATAAGCATGACTAAAGTGGAATTGTGAGTCCATCAGACAATTCCAGGAAAAGCTGGGAATGTACCAAGATCAGGAGTGACAGATTAGCACAGGTGCTCAGGTACAAGACCAGGTAGAAAAACATCTAGCAGGTTCAAGATGGGGATGGCCAGGGGTGCCTACAAGAGGGCCAGGTGCACAGATGTGATGCCTCATTTCCTAGGAGGTGAAGTCTCCAGCTGACCCTTGTAATTCTCATGAGACGACAAAAAGGCAAATAGTAGTGACCTGAATTTAATGGCTATGAGAGGCAGAAAAGAAAGGTGACAAGGCAGGAACTGGATGGAAGGAAGAGGTAGAGAGGAAGAGGCTGCATTTGTGTTATTCATGGGCCAGGCTCTCCATCAGCGCCTCCCTGGAGCCTCAGCCAGGCTCCTGTAGGCAGTGGCTGCACCTGGTAGGACCTGGAAAGCACCCTTGTGATTGTAACAGCCAACGTGGAGCCAGGGTGGAGTAGAGACAGTTGACATATCAAATGTTGGGCCAAAGTTTGAATTTGGAGCTTTGCTTATAGAAAAAAAGTGATCAAATACCTGGGCATCCCAAGTCAAATGACTTGATAAGTGACTTAATGGTGGTTGTGGACTCTGAGGGCGTTGGAGATGTTCAGTTAACACAGACACCAGGCCACTGGCCAGGAGCATTTACCTTGGAGGACTCTGGCTCTTCATCCACAGGTCTGCATGGCAAAGAGCAAATCAGATTGAAAAGGTGGAGGACATCCCTATGGAAAAAAAAGACAGAAGAAAACAGAACTGACATGGAGAAGATAAAGCTGAAAGGAAAATTCAAAATTCAACATCCTGTTTTCTCTATCAGCTTTGGCTCTTTAGGAAATAATGTAGATATTGCTCTCAATTTTAAAAAAGCTGTTTTCTTCCAAAATGGTCAGAAATAATATTGTTATCTGTAGAGTGACTTGATACTAGCTCTAAATAAAATGTACAGCTATACTGTAAATTGTGAAAAATGCAAATGTTATTGATCATAAATATCTCACTTACTGTCAATGGTGGTTGCAAGGCTTGTCAGCAAGTGCTCCAACCCCCACGTAGCACACAGAGGTTGGAAAGATGAAATCTCAGAGCTCTCCTGCAGCTGGAATTTTGGGTGTGATTTAAGTCCCACCAATCAGAAAGACTTGGGCAAGACCTGGAATGGGACCTGAGTCAGGGAGAGAGAGGCAGGGCACAGGGTATTCACTATGTCGACAGAGACTTAGCAGAGACAAGATCCTTCTGGTGCTGGTAATTGCGGTGGCAGGTTTCCAAGTCCTGTCCTGGTGGAGGGAGCAGGTTCCCTGGTGGTCCAGTTGTGTGTGGAGACTTTGGGAGCTGCTCCTGGAAGCTTAGCCTTCCCAACAATTCTGCAAACCATTTAACACCTTTCTGCCTAAGCCAACGAGAGTGGGATCCATTAAACACGACAGAATCCTAACTGAAGACACTCTGCCTTCTAAGCATAAGAATGGTAACAGCACTCTAAAATCACACTGCAATTCTGCATGAGGTGAAGCTCCTGCTTGCACCAAATTCCCCAGTGTGTTCTTTGTGAGGTTTCTAAGTTTAAGCACAGACTCATAGAAAGTATTCTATGATAGATCATTGACCCAATCCTCAATCCTCTCAATGCATGGCTTCCTCATCTAGGGGACTTTGGCATGTCATGTGATCTCCCTGTGAATGAGCCAAGACAAGGACTCCCAGCCTTCTCATTGCTAAATCACTGCTCTCTTCATTATATCATATTGTCACAGCTGTTTTGCAAGATGACTAATTTACAAGAATAGTTCAAACAGAATGTTTCTGGAAGTGTATTTTAATAAGGTCAGTAGAAGTTTAAAATATTATTTACTGATCGTTTTGAAGTTAATCTAGCTACTCAAGCTTGTGTGATTAAATTTATGTGTACTTAATTCTCTAAGCTTTCTTCTGTTGCTTTGTAAACATGAATAGAATACATTTAACAGAAACAGAACTTAAAACACTTAAACCACACTGCCTTAAAATTGTTGACTTCACAGCCCCTTCTGAGTGAAAAAAAAAATCAGTAAACTGAAAACTCCACTGAAAAAAATTACCAGGAACTTTGGAAATTGTAGGAGGCTGGGCTTTTAAATAATGTTTTAAAAGGTTTACTGAGAGGAACTGGTTTTCATATTTTCCCCTTTATGTTACATAATACAATTCATATGCTTAAATGACAAGGTAAGATATAGAGAAGTCAGACCGGTGTTCATACTTTACAGAATAAAATCAGGCGGTGAATGCAGAAAGATAATGAAATCGGGTTAGGTCTGAGCAGAAAAATATCTCCTCTGTCTGTGCCAGCCACTCTCAGGAAGGTGAAATCAACAAACAAAATGGGCCACCTCCTTACCAGTCCATTCAAATGACTCAGTACCCAAGACCTCCAAGGACGATTATTTTAAATAATTCATATTCATTTCCTTCTTTGATAATTTAATAAGAACAAAATAGAGAAGCCTACACTCTGCTGAGGTATTCCCTTCAGTTATCTAAGTTTCTCTGGAATTCAAAATATCAAATGATAAATAGACTAATTTAGACTCTTCACAAGAAAAAAGCAAGGACACAAGAAATCAGTTTCCAGTACCCCTGCCTTCTTGCTTCAAACAGAGTCTCCTTGGCTAGAACAGTAAGAGTCAGTATGAGAAAACCCTGTCTTATTTAAGCACATTAGAGAAATGCCCACTACATACCCACCGTCTTATACAACAGCGATGTGTGTGTGTGTGTGTGTGTGTGTGTGTGTGTGTGTGTGTGTAGGGGGATTCACAAAACAAAGCCTGAATTGAATAACCAAAGAAAATGGTTATTAATAATGCTACTGTGTTCATTAGTATGTACTTTAATCATAAATAAGATTGAAATTCCTTGCAGAAGCCTATCATAGAATTGTTTAGAATCAATAACAGCCCTAGCAATAAATGAAGTTATTACATTTCCTCTGTTCCAATGAAGAAAACTCTGTATTCTATAAAGAATATTAATAAACAAATCTTTTTAAAGAATTTCAAAATAATTTAAAAAAATATTTTGCAAAATCTTTAAGCATATAGCCAGATATATCTTAGCAAATTCATTAAATAAAGGAAAAACTGCAAGATACCACTACTGGCTAAACATTTGTTCAAGGCTACCTACTGCCTGTAAGGCTGAGGTTAGGTTCTAAACTCAACCTGTAAAGTAACAATCACACATGTGGTCAAATAAGCCTTGAAAATCCCTCCAGTCACTCAGAAATATGTGCTTTTGTAAACACGATTGTTTATAAACACACCATCTCTCAGTAAGTCTCACACATTCACTTTCCCTCCAGCATTTCAGAGTTGGCTCCTTCTTTTTTTTTAGACGGAGTCTTGCTCTGTTGCCCAGGCTGGAGTGCAGTGGCACAACCTCAGAACCACGGCTCACTGCAAGCTCCGCCTCCCGGGTTCACGCCATTCTCCTGCCTCAGCCTCCCGAGTAGCTGGGACTACAGGTGCCCACCACCACGCCCAGCTAATTTTTTGTATTTTTAGTAGAGACAGGGTTTCACCATGTTAGCCAGGATGGTCTCAATCTCCTGACCTTGTGATCCGCCCGCCTCGGCCTCCCCAAATGCTGGGATTACAGGCGTGAGCCACCGCACCTGGCCTGGCTCCTTCTTTAGTTACATCCCAGATGAAATAGCTCCTTTGTGTTTAGGGGCCACATTTAAAAGAAAAATGAAGCATGTGTTCTACTTGCTCCCACCATGTAAAATTATAATAATAATAGGTAATTTTACTGAAACAAATAAATACGTGTCTGATATGACTCCACTGTATATGCCAGGCATGGTACCATGTGTCTAAAGTTACCTAATTTTTCCACAGAACTCCCACATATTAGCCTTTATTTTAGATGAAAATTTGACAAGAGTCATGTGGTTCATAAATGGTGAATCTGGGATGCAAATCCAGCTCTATTTGGCCATGTTTTCTCAAATTTTCTGTAGTGCGCAAGTGTACTGTGAGAAGTATAGAAGGTTCTAAAAATAATACTGACAGTATTTCTTCTTAAAATTTATTTTAGCCGGGCGCAGTGGCTCACATCTGTAATCCTAGCACTTTGGGAGGCCGAGGCCGGCGGATCACGAGGTCGAGACCGTCCTGGCTAACATGGTGAAACCCCGTCCCTACTAAAAATACAAAAATTTAGCCAGGCGCGGTGGCGGGCGCCTGTGATCCCAGCTACTCGGGAGGCTGAGGCAGGAGAATGGCATGAACCTGGGAGGCAGAGCTTGCAGTGAGCCAAGGTCGTGCCACTGCACTCCAGCCTAGGCAACAGAGCGAGAGTACATCTCAAAAAAAAAAATTATTTTAAGCATATTTAAGAAAAAATACTCCCGATATTCCAGTGTTATTTTTATATAGTAATCTGCTCTTGTGAGCTGACAACCCATGCCTGAGAACGACAGTTGGAGGCCAGACCACCCAGTGCTGTCACACACTGCAGGTGATGTGCACCCCACAGGCAGGCAGTGTCTCCAGGGAGCACAGCAAGGTGCACGGCCCTCCTCACTGAACGCCAGTCTGCCTTCTGTGTCTTCTCATTTAAGCACATACACATATATGTCTGTATATGTCTGTAATTGTTTTCCTTTAAAACTTTTATTTAACATCTCTAATTTGTTTCTTTCCTTGTTATGTTAGAGAATAGAGTCTTCAAATGTTTGTGACTGTCTGTAGCATTTATTGTAAATATAGGCTGGTGCTGCAAAAGTAATGGCAAAAATTAATTTTGCACCAACCTATCCTTCCTCAAGACATCACGTTATGTTGTCATTTATTCTGATCCAGGCACAGGTGAGCTCCTGGTATATGATGATTTTTAAAGTATTCAATGGTTAACTCTGGGAGGCGTTGCATGACACCGCTGCTACCTTCACAACAGGAAGATTAATATTTGTGAAGGGTGGGTCATGTCAACCACACGCTCACACCTGCCGGGCTCTTTCCTGAACACCTGGATGAAGCCCAGCCCAGGCCTTTTGGTTGATCTCCCAAGACTCCCCTCTGCCCGTCTAGTTTTTGGACTATTCACCCAGGCACCTGACGTTTTTTTGTTTTTATTTTTTATGTCCTGCCTCTGTGCCTTTGCTCATTCCATGCCCTTGCCTGGAATGCAATTTTCTCTAAATACTTACTGTTTTAGACAAACAAATCTAAGAGAAATCTGTCACTCTATCATGAGACATAAATTATGAAGTACTCTGTCTCTCAGGTGTCAAAAAATTATCTTCTGAATTTCACTTTCAAATTTCTATACAAGCATATATAACAATAAAATCAAACAGGATAAGCCAGCAGTTTGACCACCAGCATCTTAATCTACAAATCCCAACAAAAATAATCAAAGACACAGTAAAAATCTTGTAGTCGGGTATCATCTACAAGCTTAGACTTTGAAGAATTTCTACTGAGAGAGTGAGAGAAAACGGAAATACAGGACTTTCCCCCAATTCCCTTCCAGAGAAAATGGAGATATGGGAAACCTCCACTAACGCCCCCCACCCTAGAGGGCCAGTGCTGGAGAGGAGCACAAGAAGATCAAGGGCGTTCTGGCAAAGGATCAGGAACAAGAAGATCTGACATCAGAGGAGGCCATGGGCCCCAGGCACAAAGGACAGTAGTGACAAGGGGGAGGGCAGGAAGAGCCACAGTGTACATCTAAAAGGCAGGAGGGGCACACACACAGACTCAGAGAGCGGGCTCTGCATTCCAGGCTCACCAAGCAGAGAAGAAACTGGGCACAGGTGAATTTCCCACTAGGCACTCGCCCTTCTCTACCTGAGCTTCTGTACCTCCCAATATGTAATATAAATGCGTCTTCAAGAGCCTTCCATCGCGTTTAAGTCATGAGAAGATCAGAGGCACTGTCAGGCAAAGGCAGTGGATCTGAGCAGAATCCAGACACAGACCTGGGGCAAACATCAGGCCCTGCCACACCTGGATCTGTTTCAGCAGGAGAAGGTGACAGGCAAAATCATGCCCTGCTCGATGCAAGTATTTTATAATACAAAGTGAAGGGGAAACTGCACTCAAGAGAACCGACATTTGTAAATTCATGACTGGAAACAGAGTTTGACACTGACACCATCTACCTTGAAATTCAATAAAATAAGAAGGCAGGTCGCAGTGGCTCATGCTGTAATCCCAGCACTTTGGGAGGCTGAGGCATGTGGATCACCTAAGGTCAGGAGTTCAAGACCAGCCTGGCCAACATGGTGAAACCCCGTCTCTACAAAAAATTAGCCAGGCATGGTGGTGTACTCCTGTAGTCCCAGCTATTTGGAAGGCTGAGGCAGGAGAATTGCTTGAACCCGGGGGTGGAGATTGCGCTGAGCCAAGGTCACGCCGCTGCACTCCAGCCTGGGCGACAGAGTGAGAGTCTGTCTCAAAAAAAGGAAATAAATAGATATATAAATAAATAAAATAAGGAAACATAAACGGAGAATGACAACTTAAAATAAAAAGATAAATTAATATAAGCAATCTAATAACCCATGAGACATATTTTAAAGCAGAGCTCAAAAGAAAAAGAAATAGGGGCGTTATCTAGGGCAGGTCTCTGAATGTAGATGAAATAAACCGTGTCAAGGTAAGATGTCAATTCAGTGGGCAAAGAACAGTTCTGGTAATAAATAGCGCTGGCATGATCGGCTATCTACCTGGGAGAGAAAGACTCACACTTCACATCAGATTAAATAAAGAGAGGTGGATCAAACACCTGCATGTGTGTACATAAAATAGATGAACACATTTAATAGCATATTTGCATAAGATTGGGGAGAGTAAATCTTTAAAAAACCAGAAACAAGATGACACTGGCAGTTTATATAACAACATAAAATTGTCTATGACAAAGATGTTAAGGCCAAAAGGCTCATAACATACTGAGGACAAAAACACATGCTTCGCTAGGCATGGCGGCTCACAATTGTAATCCTAGTGATTTGGGAGACAACGCAAGATGATCACTTGAGCTCAGGAGCTGAAGACCAGACTGGGCAATAAAGTGATGCCCCATCTCTACAAAAATTAGAAAGGATTAGCCAGACATGATTGTGCATGCCTGTAGTCCCAATTACTTGGGAGGCTGAGCTGGGAGGATTGCTTGAGCTTGGGAGGTCGAGGCTGCAGTAAGCCGTGATCGCAACATTGCACTCCAGCCTGGGTGACAGGGTGAGACGCCATTTCAGAAAAAAAAACAAAAACCGTCCTCCATATAACAAAAAAACTCACATCCCTAATAAAATACTGAGTTATAAAACGATGAGAAAAAAAAACAAAAGAACCCACATTCCTTAATAAAATACTGACTTATACGCTGATGAGAAAAAAACAATCAGCTCGGTGAAAATATAGGCAAAAGTGCTAAACTACCAATTCTAGAAGAGAAAATTCAAGTGTTAAAGCTGACACTGGAGTTTCTGACTCTCCCACCAGGGAAAGGTTAGCCGACTACTCCAGAGAACAGCAGAGCTCAAGGAACCTTGAAAACTACCAACTCTTCCCATCTCTTTTAACAGAGGTAGGAGGCAGGGCTGGGAATGAGATACTGCTGGTTGGCTACAAAGATGAGGCTACCGCCTTCCTTCCCCATGTACCTTAACATCAGTTATTCTGACTCTGAAATAAAATATCTGTGAAAATATAACAGGACTGAAGATCATCGATGGGTTAGACACATTCCACCTGTGTAGGTACTGGGTTCCTCTAATAAATGCTGACTTGCATTCCGGCTTGGGCACTTCATCTCCTGCCCATCGGCCTGGCTGCAATCAACCCGGTGAGTGCCCATGGATGCAAACAGAGCTTAAGAACCAGGCAATCCTGTGTCAGGATCCAGGTGCTTTTTGGATCTTACCTTCTCTCAGTTGTCCTTGAGGACCTCGTCAGAGAATGCTCTGCAAGTTCTTTGACTGTGGCTGAACCAAGAATGACTTTTGAGTTCTCATTAGATGACTGTCAAAGTCAAATTGAGTTTCAGTGAAGAACTCACTCAGCCAAGATGGAAACACTGAATGGCTTCCGGAGCTTTGAGGGTGCGAGTTGGTTTCAAGTCTTGCTCTTGGGGTAGGTTCTGGAAGTGGCTGAACCATCAGTGAGTAACTCCCAAATAGTCAACTCTTCAGAGGGGGCAGCTTGCCAGAGAAGTGCAAAAATCAGACAAGAAACCGGCAATCACCGGTACTTGTCTGACTTCCTGCCAAATGCAATGACAGACAAAAATGTTCTGAAGCCTAATTTCAGTACCATGACATGTTCTCATTGGTTCATTCTAAAATTTTGAAATGTTTTGTAGTAAGGGGTTAAACTGCTAGATTGGGAGGTAGGTTTGTAAATCACTGGAAAATCAAAAAAGAAACATTCTGTGTTAAAAAAAAAAAAGGTGACGTTAAGATTGAAGATGCAGGATGCAGCATAGGGAGTCCTAAACCGCCAGGACCCATGCGGAGATTTCCTAGAATATCAGGTTCATGCTACATGGTCTGGTCCATGTCTCAGAATATACCTAAGAAACATGGCATCTCATACAAGAACCTGGCCTGTGTCTCAGAATATACGTAAGAAACGCAGTGTCTCATAGAAGAATCTATTCAGGGCCACCATGGAAACTCAGGACTTGTCTTTTATCATTTATCATTAAAATAACGTCCATGTGAAGCAACCCAAGTCCAGACTCGGATTTTCTTCCAATGACAGACAACAGGGAATCAAGACAGAGGCAAACAAACAAAAGCAGATGCAGAGGCCACCCAGAATGGCCTCACTACTGTTTCAGTAGGGAACACTGTGAAATCTAGTTTTCCTATTCTCCCTCTACCTCCACTTAAAATTCACATCCTTTGGTGACCAGAGGGTACAGGTGTGATTATAATGATCTTGCTGGGTAGATGTGTAGTCCCAGCTACTCAGGAGGCTGAGGCAGGAGGATCACTTGGGTTCAGTAGTTCGAGTCCAGCCTGGGCAACATAGTGAGGCCCCCCCCCATCTCTAAAAATAAATAGCTAAATAAAATAATGATCTTGATTTTTATTGGTTTTCAAATATTTTTAAATTTTATTTTATAAGTTCCAGGACACATGTGCAGAATGTGCAGGTCACACAGGTAAACGTGTGTTATGGTGGTTTGCTGCACCTATCAACCCATCACCTAGGTATTAAGCCTGGCTTGCATTAGCTATTTCTCCTGAGGCTCTCTCCACACTCCCCACCCTGTGCTAAGAGGCCCCAGTGTGTGTTGTTTCCCTCCCTGTGTCCATGTATTCTCACTGTTCAGCTCCCACATATAAGTAAGAACATGTGGTGTTTGGTTTTCTGTTCCTGTGTTAGTTTGCTGAGGATAACGGCTTCCAGCTTCATCCATGTCCCGCAAAGGACACGATCTTGTTCCTTTGCATGGCTGCATAGTATTCCATGGCATATATGTACCAGATTTCCTTTATCCAGTCTATCGCT
Organism: Homo sapiens; assembly: GCF_000001405.40. Taxonomy (NCBI): domain Eukaryota; kingdom Metazoa; phylum Chordata; class Mammalia; order Primates; family Hominidae; genus Homo; species Homo sapiens. Next base: position 20,947,846 of record NC_000017.11, on the reverse strand, counting down.
GACGGGCAACTGGGTTGATTCCATGTCTTTGCTATTGTGAATAGTGCTGCAATGAATGTACATGTGCATGTATCTTTATAATAGAATGGTTTATATTCCTTTGGGTATATACCCAGTAATGGGATTGCTGGGTCAAACAGTATTCCCAGTTCTAAATCTCTGAGGAATTGCCACACCGTGTTCCACAATGGTTGAACTAATTTACATTCCCTCCAATAGTGTAAAAGTGTTCCTGTTTCTCCACAACCTCGCCAGCAACTGTTTCTTGACTTTTTAATAATCATGGTTGTAGGCAGGGCCCGGTGGCTCATGCCTGTAATCCCAGCACTTTGGGAACCTGAGAGGTGGGCAGATCACCTGAGGTCGGGAGTTCGAGACCAGCCTGACCAACATGGAGAAACCCCGTCTCTACTAAAAAATACAAAATTAGCCGGGCGTGGTTGTGCATGCCTGTAATCCCAGCTACTCGGGAGGCTGAGGCAGGAGAATTGCTTGAACCTGGGAGGCAGAGGTTGCAGTGAGCTGAGATTGCACCACTGCACTCCAGCCTGGGCAACAAGAGCAAAACTCCATCTCAAAAAAAAAAAAAAAATCGCCATTCTGACTGGCGTGAGATGGTATGTCATTGTGATTTTGATTTGCATTTCTCTGATTATCAGTGATGTTGAGCTTTTTATATTTGTTGGCCACATGGATGTCTTCTTTTGAGAAGTGTCTGTTCATGAATTTTGTACACTTTTTAATGTTTTTTCTTGTAAATTTGCTTAAGTTCCTTGTAGATTCTGGATATTAGACCTTTGTCAGATGGATAGATTGCAAAAGTTTTCTCCCATTCTGTAGGTTGTCTGTTCGCTCTGATGATAGTTTCTTTTGCTGTGCAGAAGCTCTTTAATTAGATCCCATTTGTCAATTTTTGCTTTTGTTGCAATTTCTTTTGGTGATTTCATCATACAATCTTTGCCCATGTCTATGTCCTGAATGGTATTGCCTAGATTTTCTTCTAGGGTTTTTATAGTTTTGAGTTTTACATTTAAGCCTTCACTCCGTCTTAATTTTTGTATAAAGTGTAAGGAAGGGGCCCAGTTTCAATTTTCTGCATTTGGCTAGCCAGCTCTCCCAGTACCACTTACTATACAGGGAATCCTTTCCCCGTTGCTTCTTTCTGTCAGGTTTGTTGAAGATCAGATAGTTGTACATGTGCAGACTTCTCAGTTCTCTACTCTGATCCATTGGTATATGTGCCTGTTTTTTTATGAGTATCATGCTTTGGTTACTATAGCCTTGTAGTATAGTTTGTCCTCTACCATCCTGTGCTTCATATGCCTGGTAGCTTGTTTTTAGCTTTGTTTTTGCAATGTATCCATACTGATACACATCATGCTAGGTGGTTCCTTTAGTTGCTGCATAGTATTCCACTGTCTGCAAAAGAAACTATCAACAGAGTAAACAGATAACCTACAGAATGAGAGAAAATATTTGCAAACTATGCATCCAATACAGGTGTAATATCCAGAAATCCATAAGGAACTTAAATAAATTCATTAGCAAAAACAAAACAATGCCATTAAAAAGTGGCCAAAGGACGTGAAAAGACACTTTTCAAAAGAGGACTTACACCTGGCCAACAGGCATATGAAAAAATGCTGAACATCACTAAACATTAGAGAAATGGAAATAAATCAAAACCACTGTGAGATACCATTTCACACCAGTCAGAAAGGCTATTACCAAAAAGTCAAAAAATAACAGATGCTTGTGAGTTTGCAGAGAAAAGGGAACACTTACACACTGCTGGTGGGAATGCAGATGAGTTTAGCCACTATGGAAAGCAGGCTGGTGATTTCTGAAAGAACTTAAAACTACCATTTGACCCAGGAATTACATTATTGGGTATACACAAAAGGAATATAAAGCATTCTACCATAAAGACACATGCATTCGTTCATATGTTCATCACGGCACTATTCACAGTGGGAAAGACATGGAATCAACCTAAAGGTCCATCAAAGGTAGACTGAAAAAAGAAAATGCGGTATACATACACCATGGACTACTATGTACACAGCCATGAAAAAGAATGAGATCATGTCCTTTGCAGAAACTTGGATGGAGCTATAAGGCCATTATAGTTAGCAAACACAGAAACAGAAAACCAAATACCACATAGTCTCACTTGTAAGTGGGAGCTAAACATCAAGTACACATGGACGCAATGAAGGGAACAACAGTCGCCAGGGCCTACTTGAGGGTGGAGAGTGGGAGGAGGGTGAGAATCAAAAAGCTACCTAGCGGGTACCATGCTTATTACCTGGGTGATGAAATTATCTGTACACCAAACCCCCATAACATGCAATTTATCCATGTAACAAACTTGCACATGTACCCCTGAACCTAAAATAAAAGTTAAACAATAAAAGAAAAAACAAAACACTGTAATAAATATCATTGTCCCTTTTCTATAGTCCATTAACTAACATTAGTAAATAGCTGTATATTTACCAAGTAATCTAAGCTTGATGCCTAACAGATTTCTTTCTAGATTGGGGCAGAGGGTGTCTTCGTATAAGAAAATATTTTAAAGTTACATTTCATGTGCACAACCTGACTGTAAGCTCTAAGGGGACAGGGACCTTGTCTGGTTTATTCACCACTGCATCCCCAAGTGTCTACATAGTGTCAGACATACAGGAGGCACTTAATGAATATCTGATGAATGAATGAATGAATGAACACTGGAAGGCAGCACTACAGGGTCATTCACTGGGAAGCTGTGATAAAGAATAAGAAAGGGAGGGGAGACCTGGAGACAGAGCAAGATGGCCAAATAGAATTCTCCAGCGATTCTATTCCTCCCTGAACTAACACCAGATGGAACAACTATCCACACAAAAAAGCATCTTCATGAGAACCAAAAATCGGGTGAGCGTTCACAGCGCCTGGTTTTCACATCGTATCAAGGAAGGAGGAACTGGAGAAAGGGGGAAAGACAATCTCAAATCTCCTACACCACCTCTCCCTCATCTCCCGGCAGCAGCCACACGTGGTGCTTAGACGGAATCTGTGCACCCAGGGCAGGGAGAGCTCAGTGATTGTGGGACTTTACCTTGAAACTCAGCGCTGCCCTGTCACAGTGGAGAGCAACACAAGGCAGAATTCAGCCAGCACCCATGGAGGCAGCATTTAGACCAGCCCTAGCCAGAGGGGAATCTTCCATCCCAGTAATCAAAACCCGAATTCCGTTAACCCCACCATCACCACTGCAGGCTAAAGTGCTTTGGTGTCCTAGACAAATGTGAAAGCCAGTCTAGGCTACAAGGATTGCCATTGCTGGGCAAGGGCTGGTGCTGCACTGGGCTCAGAGCCAGTGAACTTGGGATGCAGGTGACCCAGTGAGACACCTGCTGGTGTAGCCAAGGGAGTGTTCGCATCACACTTCCTCCAGCCGAAGGCAGCCCAGCTCACAGCTCCAGGAGGAGAGAGAAGAGTAAAAAGCATTTTGCCTTGCAACTTGGATACCAGCTCAGCCACAGTAAAACAGAGCACCAAGTAGAGTCCTGAAGCAGCCATTCAGGGCCTAGCTCTCAGATGACATTTCAAGACACACCCTGGACCAGCAGGGAGCCCACTTCCCTGAAGGGAGGAAGGACCCAGTCCTGGCAGGGTTCATTACTTGCTGATGAAAGAGCCCTTGCTTGGGTCTTGAATAAACATCAGTGGTAGCCATGAGTACTAGCCACGGGCCTCTAGCAAGATTCAGTATTACGGTGGCATCACGTCTGACCCAGCGCAGTCCCAGTGGTGGTAGCCAGAGGGGTGCTTGCATCATCCCTCCCCCAACTCCAGGCAGCTCAGGATGAAGAGAGAAAAGAGGGGTTAACGCAAACACGAGAGAGCAATCAACACAGACACATTCTTTACAGAGCCTGTAGACCTTAATAAGAACTAAGGATTTGAAGAAGTATGTAGGTCTAAAAACTCAACAGAGAACAAAATGCACCACATTTTAAAAACCACCTTACCCAAACTAATCCAAACATAACATGAAATAGAAAAACTCCTGCCTACTAAACAAATTGAATAAATTCTTGAAAAGAAACCCAGCAAACAAAAATGTTTCACAAGTAAAACTCCAAGCTCATAATTATAGAATACTCCATACATTCAAGGCAGAAAAACACCAAAATTTCCCAAACTGCTGGGAAATAAAGATAGTATTTTTAAAGTTTTGTGTGGAGCCAGTATTAGATTGAGAACACAATTGGACCAGGACGCATTATGGAACAAAAAAGAAGAAAATTAGGTCACCTCTTTCATAAACAGTATGTATCTCCTCTTTCATAAACAAAGCTACAAATATTCTAAGCAAAATATTACATGAATGAAACCACCTATGAAAACACAGATTAGGCCGGGCGCGGTGGCTCACGCCTGTAATCCCAGCACTTTGGGAGGCCGAGGTGGGCGGATCACAAGGTCAGGAGATAGAGACCATCCTGACTAACATGGTGAAACCCCGTCTCTATTAAAAAATACAAAAAATCAGCTGGGCATGGTGGCGGGCGCCTGTAGTCCCAGCTACTCAGGAGGCTGAGGCAGGAGAATGGCGTGAACCCGGGAGGCAGACCTTGCAGTGAGCTTAGATCGCACCACTGCACTCCAGCCTGGGCGACAGAGTGAGACTCCGTCTCAAAAAAAAAAAAAAAAAAAAACCACATAAACCAAAACAAAAAACAAACAAACAAACAAACCACAGATCAATACCAAGTGGAATATACCCCAAAATGCAAGGCTCCTTAACATTCAAAATAAATCATGTAAGTCATCCCATTAGCACAAAAATACAGGCAAAAATAATAAGATCATTTAGGTTAAGTTTTTAAAAAAACATTTAATAACACTTAAAACTGAACCATAAAAACGAGTCTGAGTAAAACATAAAAGATGGCAACTTCTTTAATTTGATGGTTTGTCTAATATGAGCCTGTAACAAACAACATAATTAATAGAGAATCATGGGAAGCTTTTTCCCCCAGTGCAGGACCAGACGAGGATGCCTGCTATCACTCTTTAATCAGCATTGTACTGGAGAAACAATACAGCAAGAACAAAGAAATAAAAGGCATTAGGATTTTTTTTAACCAAAAAAAATTGTCATTATGTGTGTGTGACACTATTACATGCTTAGACAATCCATAACCCCAAAACTGTTACAAAAACATCCTAGATACATGATTGTTATCAACAAGATTACTGTGTACTAGTATGAAATCAACAGAAAGTAAATAACGATCAAACTAGAGAATAAGTATCTATGACAAAAATGAGGCAATCAAGGATTAATTTACAGATTTAAGATAAATCCTTCAAATCAATATAGGAACCAAAAAAGGACCCTACAGAAACACGCACAGAATGAGCAAAGCATATGAAGAAAAGTAAGGCACAGAGGCCAATCAACATTTGCTAAACTCTACCTCACATGAAACCTGCCACAGCAAGTTCCAGGTGAGAAGATCCCTGCAGAAACACTGCAGGGCAGGATCCCAGGAGGCAGGACCACAGGAGGAGGTGATAGAGGCCCTGCAGTGGAAGGGTGTCAGGCCCAAGAGGGCCAGGTGGCTCCAGACCTCCTGCTCCAGCTTCCCCTTACTCCCCACATCAGGCACAGCCCCACGTGAGCGCCCCAATGCAGGGAGGATTCTGACTGCTCATGTCTTCTCCACCACTGTGCATCCCCCGCCAAAGGCAGCTCCTTGCCCATGACATCATTCCAGCCTTCCCTTTTATGGGTCACCTCTCCCTCCCCAGTCATGATGCCAGAATCCACCCCAGGAGAGTAGAGATGGGAAATCAAACTGTGGCACCATGAGTGGAGACCCTGGAGGCAGACATGGGTGCAGGCACTGAGAGTGGAAACACGTTAGGCCCTGCTGATGGGCGACAAGCACAGAGGATGGGGACATTCAAGGGCAGACATGAGTTGCAGGCACAGGAGAGAAGACCTGGGCTACAGTCACGGGGGATCCAGATACAAAGGGAGCTCACTGACTACAGATGCATGGCAGAGAGGCACAGCAGGGACAGACATGGGTACAGGGGCAGGACAGAGGAGTAGGTGAAGGCTGGCGTGGGCAGGAAGCACAGAGATAAAGACACCCGAAGGTAGATGTGGCTGTAAGCTGAAGGGTGGAGTCACAAGAGTCCTAATGTGGGCTGCATGGACAAGGGCTGGAGACACAGGAAGACAGGCATGGGAAGCAGGCACACTCAATGACAGGCCTCTGCTGCAGTAACAACAGACAGAGATACCCAACGAAAGAGACTGGCTGCAGGTACAAGCACTGGGGATAGGAGTTTTGGGCATAGTCTCCTGGGAGAAATGATCCAGAAAAAGGACAGAAATGGACTAAAGGCACAGAAGGAGACACACGAGTGCAGACACGACTGAAAAGCATGAATGAAAACACTGTGGACATGGATTAGAGGGACAGAGAATGCAGCAAACATAAGCTGGCATGGGCCGAAGCTCAGGGGACAGACAGACGAAAATATCAGAATGGGCTGCAAGCACAGGGATTGAGGCACTGGAGGACTGCTACTGCCTGAAGGCTAAGGAGACCGCAACACTCAAAGCAAGTAATGTGTTGGAAGCACACAGGATGGAGACTCACACGGCTGGCATGGGCTGCAGGTGCAAGAAATGGAGACTTGACAGCTGGCATAAACTGCAGGCAGAGGACAGACCAGGTGACAACACACAAGGGCAGACATGGGCTTCAGTCATTATGGGATGGTGATACTGGAGAGAAGATACAGGCTTCAGGCACAAGGAGGGAGACACACAAAGCCTGACATGGCTGCAGGCATACAGGGTGGAGACAGTGGGAGGCCAACGCGGCTGCAGACACAGGGTCTGGAAACACCTATGGGAAATTGTGGCCTGCCAGATAAATCCCCGCTTAGAGAGAAACAGGACACACGTTAAGGGAATGTGTTAGAATAGAAAAAATATTGAAAATCAATCACATAAACCTTTCAAGAACTAAAAAAGATTAGAACGAAACAATGCAGAATGAAAGTAATAATAAAGAGCAGACATCAATGAAATAGGAAAAAAAATTGTAATGGAGACAAATCAAGGATAAAAGTTGGTTTATATAGCCAGGCGTGGTGGCGGGTGTCTGTAGTACCAGGTAGTTGGGAGACTGAGGCCGGGGAATGGCATGAACCCAGGAGGCAGAACTTGCAGTGAGCCCAGATCGCACCACTACAATCCAGCCTGGGCGACAGAGGAAGGCTCCGCCTCAAAAAAAAAAAAAAAACTTGGTTTATAAATGTTAATATACTAAATACACCACTAGCGAAACTGACTAAGGCAAAGAGAAAAGACGCAAAAGACCAATATCAGGAATGAAAACAGAGGCCTGCTCTACAGAGCAGTGTATCAAGATACTACGAAAATTCTGAGAAATACTTAGGACTGCAAGCTTGACAAGAGAGATGAAATTACACACATTGAAAAATACACTTACAAAACTGGACACAGAAATAACGTAAAACCAGAAAACTACCATATATACTAAAGGATTTGAATTGTTAAAACAACAACAACAACAAAACAGCTAACAAATAATGTTCCACAAGTAAAATTCCATGCCCAGACTAAAGAAATATTCCAAACATTTAAGGAAGTAAACACCTAAATTTCTCAGACCCTTCCAAAGAGAAGAAATATAGGGACTATTTTTCAATTTTGTTTTGTGAGGCCAGCATCACGTTGATACCACAATCTGAACAGGACATTAGAAAAAAAAAAGTATGGACCCACTCTTTCATTAACAGAAACACAAATATTCTTTTTTTGAGATGCAGTCTCGCTCTGTCTCCCAGGCTAGAGTGCAGTGACACAATCTCAGCTCAATGCAACCTCTGCCTCCCGGGTTCAAGCAGGTATCCTATTTCAGCCTCCAAAGTACCTGGGATTACAGACGCCCGCCACCGCATCCAGCTAATTTTTGTATTTTTAGTAGGAACAAGGTTTTGCCATGTTGGTCAGGCTGGTCTCGAACTCCTGACCTCAGGTGATCCGCCCGCCTAGGCCTCCTAAAGTGCTGGGATTACAGGCGTGAGCCACCGCATCCGGCCAGAGATACAAATATTCTAAGAAAAATTGTATAATATGAATTAAACCACATATGAAAACATAACACATAGATACCAAGTGGGATATACTAAAAAATGCAGGATTGGTTAACATTAAAAAATAGATCATGTAAAATATCCTATTTGCAGAAAAATAGGAGAAAAACATTACTATTCAGAATATATGTAAAAAAAGCATTTATTCAAATTCAACAATTAGTCATAACTCTTAGCAAATGCAAAGGAAGGCAGCTTCCTTAATCTGATTAAGCTTGTCTAAAATGAAATTACAACACAGGACCACTGAAGCTTTTCCACTGTAATCAGAACCAAGCAAGACTTCCTGGACATACCCCCTCTATTTCACACAGTGCTGGAGGTGTAATTGGGACAATAAAACAAAAATAAAGGTATAAGAACCAACATTTAAGCAATACAGCTGTTATTGTATGTGGCTGACACTATTATGTACATGAAAAATACACCACAATCCAAAAATGATGGTTATGAATATGTGAATTAAGCCAGGCTACAGGATGCAAGATGAATACATAAAATCAATCAGATTCCTATGTATCAGCAAGAAAGAAATGCAAAATACAATTAAAGAACAATGACCAGACTAGGAAACAACTATCTACACTAGAAATGAGCCCATGAAGAATTAATTTATAAAATACATTTTAAAATTATTCAAATCAATGTAAGAACATAAATGACCCAACAGAAAAACCAGCACTGAAAATGAAGAAAAAGATGCAAAGGCCAATATTCACGAAATTTTGCTTCGCTAGCTTATTTCCAGTGCCAGATGACAGGAGGCCCACAGGGACCCAGAAGGCAGGACCCCAGGGAGGTGACAGTGCCAGCAGCAGGAGGGCCGGACTCTGCCTTGGGCCGAGTGGGGCCACAGCTCCCCGGTGGCCATGGGGTGAAGCCCTGGCAGCCTGGCGCTCCGGGCCCCTGCACACGCTTTCCTCCCTCTGCCCCGTTCCTCTCTCCCTGTGCCTCGGCCCCGTGGGATGCGCTCGCATCCAGACTTACCAGGCCCAAGAGGTTGGGAGAATGGAGAAGGACTTGGGACGGTCCTCCAGGAACACATGGAGGACGCTTTGCCTACATCTGGGACACCCTTCTCTGAGGCCTGGCCTCAAGGCAGGCGCGCACCACACACGCTCCCGGTCGCTTCTGAACTATGACGACCACTGCGCAAGGAACCTTTTTGACAACTCTTATTGGATAATAATTTCCATCTCTGATTGCACAATCTTAACCAATCAGAGTTGGAGACTATTATCCAATCCGTGTTGTAGTACAGAGTCTGCTCTCATCCTATCAGAACGAGGCTTCCAGGATACCTCATTTGAATACAGCTATTATAAAAGGGAGGCAAATGTCCACGCCTGCTGTGGGGGTGGGCTCACGTGCATCTTCTCTGCGTTGGGGTCAGCCAGGGAGCGTGTGCAGAGCACCTGCATTGTAGACTAGCCGTGGAGAAGGATGTCCCAGGTGCAGGCCAAGTTTCATTGTGTTCATGGAGGATTTTTCCTGTGGCAAAGGCTTCTCCATCTTCCAACATCTCAGGCCTGGTGAGTCTGGATGTGACCGCTTCCTGTGGGAGCCCAAGGCGCACCTGCGTCAGGAAGCGAGACCCGCACTGGGCAGAGACCACCAGCATCTGATCCTGACCCGGCTCACCGAGCACTGTGTGCCCTGTGTCGTGAACAAGGACGCTTACTGTGTCTGTGGCTGGCTGTGGAGGCTTCCCTGGGGCTCCCAGGCCCTGCCTCTGACCCTCAGCCTTGGGAGCTCAGGGTCCCCTCGCACCTCGGGGTCCGTGCCCAACCACACGATGCCCCCTGTAGCCTGTTTTCAGAGGTCATTCCCCGCCCCAACACACACACTCTGCAATATCTTAAATTATATATATCTATAAATGATATATACATATATATGTGTATATATATACATATAGATATATTTTTTTGAGACAGAGTCTTGCTCTTTTTGCCCAGGCTGGAGTGCAGTGGCATGATCTTGGCTCACTGTAACCTCTGCCTCCCGGGTTCAAGCGATTCTCCTGCCACAGCCTCCCGAGTAGCTGGGATTACAGGCGTCCGCCACCATGCCTGGCTAATTTTTTTTGTATTATTAGTAGAGACGGGGTTTCTCCATGTTAGCCAGGCTGGTCTCGAACTCCTGACCTTGTGATCGCCCGCTTTGGCCTCCCAAAGTGCTGGGATTACAGGCATGAGCCACGGCGCCCGGCCAAATGATATTCTTGTGGGCAGTCTGACTTACGTTGAAAATTTAACTGAATTGTAATGCATTAGACTTAGTGTTCTCTTCCATCCCTATTTCTTTCTCTCTCTCACACAGGGATACACACATTCTCACAAACACATATATAGTTTTGTTTTGCTGGTAGAAATATAATTAACAATTGCCTACATAGCTGTAAAAATGAATACATTAAAATAACTTCATTTCACTGCATCAACAGACACATTTTCCTGCGCATACAGAGCTCTTCCCCTTTCAAAAGGGAGCCCTATTAAAATTTATTACATCACATGTTAAAACCAAATGTTTAGAGTGTGACTCACAAAGTAAGCCAAAAGATTATGTCTTAAGTAGCAGATAAACAAATCCCATATTTTATCCAATTAACCCTGTGATTACCTGGATTTTACAACATATGATGTCTTATACTGAAAACATGAAGCTCATATGATTGCAATTAATACATATTCGTCCACAAATAAAACAATATGTAATACTTGGTTGCTTACTTGGCTATTGTGTTATGGCTCTCGTGGGTTTCTGTGCTTTTAATTTTTGTATGGTAGTTTTAAGTTACATTTGAAATACAAGTCTTAAAGGGTAATGCTATACATATTGGAGTCCTACAACAATGTTCACAGACTTTTGTAATTTATGGGTTGAATCCTCTAATAGAGTGTACCATTTTACCCGTATTATTTGAATTTTGTAACTATGTGGATGTTAATCCCTTTTGTACTAATTGTCTTTCTTTTAAGAAAAACTAAGTGTTCCAAATGAAACATATATCTTAACGCTATTTCAAACAATATAGTAAATTAGGACTTTAAAAATGAAGACACATTGACAGCAGCAAGCTTTAGCTGATATAAGCATTGGAGTCACTAGGTTTTATTCGTTTCATAATAAATACAAATTTTTAAAGACTCATTATTTGTAGCCATTCTGAATGAATTTAAAAGCTTAATGCATTTTACTGTCTTTTAAAATTTTATAATAGGCTTTTGTAAATAATTTAAAACTATAGGATAGCCTAAAAGTTATGAAATCATAGCTTCTGAGATTAATATACTGCATTTCCTTTAGTTTTCCCCCCATGTATCATTTTAAATCATATATATGTGTAATTGAATGGCAATATAAAAAAACTGTAATGAAGCACTTTCAGCAGAATAGTATAAAGTCTCTTAAACTTAATTGCTCTTTAATATTGCCAATATATGGTAGAAAAATATCTATTTCCTTTCACCCAGTTTGTAAATGTTAAACCACCAGCATTTCAAAGATGAAGGCAGCCAACATGATGTCCCTGACTGTGAACTTGTGAAGAGGTGAGCATTATCAGCTCCCCTAACCAGTCTCAACTGGCTTTACCGTATCCTGCACTGAGACCTTTCAGTTACTTTCAGGTGTTTGCTATGAAAAGTACATTTTACAGTGAACGTGTTTGTGCAAGCACTATCCTCTCTGGGAATTTTTGGTAGTGAAGATTCAAAACAACATAACTCTTCTTGAAAGTCCATTTGCTTTCCACAGGGTTGTGCCAAAAATAACAAAGATTCAAATTGTATGTCATGAATCATTTCCTTCTTTCTCTTTTGGTCTGGAAATACTACACTGCTTGGTAAAATTTGTAAAAGTCTGTTTACTGGAGGAATTATTTTATTATTCCTGCATTACTCTGTACATTGATAACTTATTCAACTACTTATGTGTATCAAATTTCATGTCCCTTTCTTCTTAGTCATCATTCAGTTTCCTCCTTCAATCGATTATTTAAAAAATTTTCATTCAGATAATATATTCAAGATTCTAAGTGTCCATATCATAAATGCAAATATGTTGATGAATTTCTTCAAATTGAGCATGCCTGGTTAGCAGGATCCCAGGCTGAGAAACAGAACATTATCTGCACCACAAGTCTCTCTAGTACTCCTCTCTAGTCTCTACCTGCCGTTCCTTTCCTGAAGATAACCTTATCCTAAATCCTAACAGCATTGACTTGTTTTGCCAGTTTTTAAATATAGCAATATGTACTATTTGGTGTCTGGATGCTTTGATTTAGCAGTATGTTTGTAGGATTCTTCCACATTTTTCTGGAAGTGTCATTATGTGACTATGCCACAATTAATTTATAAATTTTAATGTGGATGGGCATTTATGCAGTTTTCAGGTAGGACCGTCACCATGACTGCTTCTATTAACATTCTAGCACATGTCTTGGTAAAAATCGGTACTATTTTCTGTTGGGCACATAACTTGCAGTGGATTTACTGATTCTGAACACTTTTTCAGTTGTAATAGATACCGCCAAACAGAATTCCTAAGAATTTTTGCCAGCTTAAACTCTCATCAGTAGTTTATATAAAAAAAAAACATTAGTTTTTTTGGTCTATTTTCATTATAATCACTAGAGTGTGTATTTACTGACACTAAGTTTAAGTTAATTTTCCTTATAAGCTGAGCCACTTTTAGTGTGTTACTGTCCCTATGTATATATATATAATTTTGAAAATATATATTCAAGCCTTTGGCTAGTTTTTTTTGGATCTCTTGACTTACCCTTTTCAATTTATAGTAGTTCTTTATACATATTCTGTTCTTTGGTACATTCTTTTTGTGTATTCTAGATGTGAGTCTTAAATTGTATATATACATAGTGAACATCTTTTACTTTGTGTTGTGTCCCACTGCTCTCCTGAATAAAATGCTCAATTGTAACATACTCCAGTTTTCTTTTTTCCCCCTGTGGATCATGCTTTTTGTGTTCTGTTTTAAAAATGTGTGCCACCTCTAAAGACTATGATGTGATTTCCTGTGTTTTTCTGTATAACATTTATTGTTTTGCTGTTCACATTTAGATCTATGCAACTGGGATAAATTTTTAATTGTGGTGTAAGGTAAGGGCTACAACACTGTTTTTCCAAACTGATAGTCAATGACTCAGCAAAATTTTTTAAAAGTTAAGCTTTTTCTGTAAACTGCAGTGCCACATATGTCATAAATCAAGTTTTCTCTACTTTTGAATCTTTTTCTAGACTCCATTTTATTCCATTGATGGTTTTTCTACCCTGTGCTTATTGCCTGACTTACTGTAAATTAATAACACATTCCATATCTGATAGTTTAGGTCCTCCAGGTTTATTCTTTGCATTTCTTTTTATTAATTGTTGATACACAGAAATATAACTGAGTTTTGCACGTATAGGTATTTTTATACAAATGATTTTGTATACTGTATCCGGAGACCTTTCTAAATGGATTAGATGTGAGCTTTTACTTACTATGGTGGTTGAAATCTTATCTAATGTTCTATTAATATTTTTTGATTTAAATGTACATTTCAGTGCTACTTAGCTTCCATCTTGTGAGTGGCCATGTTGGAAAGCCTCGGGGTATCTAAGAACCTCATAAACAATGGTGATTAGCATGGCTGGGATGAAATTTTGGCTCTCATGTTACCCACAGGAATCAAAGGGAAATATTGAAGGTGGCCTAAGACTCTGTTGATAGTAGCTCTACAGAGTCGATTCCTCTGTTTATCCAGAAGGACAACACGGACACAGTATCCCAGAGGTTAATGGGATGAAAGCTGCCTAGCAGACATCTAGCAAACCCAGTTCTTGCTGAGCCCTGACCAAGTCCTTGATTTTGTGTGCTCCACTTCCCTAAACGCTTGCCTCTGATGAAGTATTAGAAATCAGCATCAATGTATTCCAAGTTGGTGTTGGCCCATTTCCTTTACCAATTAGCAAACACACAGGAACTCACATAAGTCCAAGCCAACATCTCTCATTTACTACTTCTGTTTATTTCTTGGCCTGGTCACAAATCCATTAACATAAAAAATATGAGATTTATTTATTCATTTGTTCATATTTCACACAGTTCCTCATAAAATAAATCACATTTCAAAAAGGAAATGTGGCCAGGTGTGGTGACTTCATGCCTGTAATCCCAGCACTTTGGGAGGCCAAGGCAGGTGGATCAGTTGAGGTCAGGCATTCAAGACCAGCCTGGCCAACATGGTGAAACCCCGTGTCTACTCATGCACATGTATGTTTATTGCGGCACTATTCACAATAGCAAAGACTTGGAACCAACCCAAATGTCCAACAATGATAGACTGGATTAAGAAAATGTGGCACATATACACCATGGAATACCATGCAGCCATAAAAAAGGATGAGTTCATGTCCTTTGTAGGGACATGGATGAAGCTGGAAACCACCATTCTCAGCAAACTATCGCAAGGACAAAAAACCAAACACCACATGTTCTCACTCACAGGTGGGAATTGAACAATGAGAACACATGGACACAGGAAGGGGAACATCACACACTGGGGACTGTTGTGGGGTGGTGGGAGTGGGGAGGGATAGCATTAGGAGATATACCTAATGCTAAATGACGAGTTAATGGGTGCAGCACACCAACATGGCACATATATACATATGTAACAAATCTGCACGTTGCGCACATGTACCCTAAAACTTAAAGTATAATAATAATAAAATTTAAAAAAAAAAACCATGTCTACTGAAAAAAATACAAAAAAAAATTAGCTGGGCATGGTTGCACATACCTGTAAACCCAGCTACTTGGGGGGCTGAGGCAGGAGAATTGCTTGAATCCGGGAGACAGAGGTTGCAATGAGCCGAGATCACCCCACTGCAATGCAGTCTGGGCGACAAGAGTGAGACCCTGCCTCAAAAACAAAGGAAATGTGTTTCACATTTCATAACAAAAATGAGATTTTTAATTGTGTAAAAAATATTGTTAATTGACATATGACTTAAATGAAAATAATTGTTTTTTACTTCTTGGAAAAACCTACATGTTCCTGAGGATTTCATAGTGAATAGATTGTAAATCCCTTATTAATGTCAAGTATGCATTTATTTTTAAGAAAGTGTTCCATATTCTGTCTCTCCCAGGTTCAAAACCTGAAGGGGTATGGTGAGGTTGTAGAGTAGAAGACCAAGTAATTTTTATCAGGGCCCTAAATCAGAGGAGATTTGAGACTATCTTTTCTGTATACAGACTGTGGAGAATACAGATCTCTTAGAGAAACCCGTGTCTAGCAAGGGCTGGAACCACAGAGGTCCAAAAGCCAGGCTAATGGAGGGTCTTGAAGCCTGGTGGAGACACAGCCAAGAATTCTTGAGCCACCTAGAGAGCACGTCAATGCTGGAAGGGTGGTAAATTCTCAGTGTCCTACATCTAGACAAGGCAACTGCATAGAGGACATATGCTATGGTTTGAATGCGTCTCCCAAAGGTCATGTGTTAAATACTTAATTCCTAATGGAACAGTGTTGAGAGATGCAGCCAAGTAAGATGTGATTGGGTCATGTGGGCTCTGCCCTCATGAATGGATGAATGTTGCTATAGCAGGAATGGGTTAGTTATCTTGAGAGTGAGTTTGTTATAAAACTGAGTTCTTCCCCTTCTTGCTCTCTGGCATTCTCTTGCACTTTTGCCTTCTGCCATGGAATGACACAGCAGGAGGGTTCTCACAAGATGCCAGCACCTGGGGTGGACTCCCCAGCCTCCAGAACTGTAAGAAATAAAACTTCACTCTTTGTAAATTACACAGTCTAAAGTATTCTATTAGAGCAACATAAAATGAAAGAACTCAACATAAATACCGAATGGAAGCTGTGTCAGAGCAGCCAACATCAGAAGTGGATTCTAGCACAAACACTTAGTGTTGCAGGGTGCAAATTCTTTCACAGTGAGCACCAGAAGAGGACAGAGGGCTGTTAGAAACCTTCCAAATTAGAACCTGGGTGATGTAAAAATTCTCCTTATACTTCAACTTCAATTTCTGTGAAGGACAGAAAAAGAAAGTCAGAGAGAGTAAAAGCCATGCAGTTTACTATTTGCCCAAGGAGACTAAATCGAGAACCATATAAAAATAAGTAACCTAAAATTAGCAAGGTAATTGGGGGCCAATAGGTATGCTAATTTATAGAGAATAACTGGAATAATTGAAAAATTCAATAGAAAAATTTTAGAGCAGTTTTAGGTTTACCGAGAGAAACTGCACAGAAAGTCCAGTTCCCATACATCTTCCCTCCTCCCAACACAGTTTCTGCTCTTACTAGCATCTGGCGTTCGTGTGGTATATTTGCTACCATTAATAAACCAATATGGACTTTTAACTAAAGTCCTGTCTCTACAAATAAATGAAGTCCAGAGTTTACATTTACAACATTCTGTTTGGGGCTTATAGGTTTTGATAAAAGTGTAATGTTACATATCCACTGTTAGAGTACCATACACAATAGTTTCGCTGCCCTAAAAGTGTGCTGTACTCCATTTATTTAATTCCTCACCCATTTCCCTGAACCCCCTAAAGGCCTTTGATACTTTTATTGTCTCTATAGTTTTGGCTTTTCCAGAATGTCATATAGTTGGAATCATACAGTGCATAGCTTTTTCAGACTGGCCTCTTTCACTTAGCAATATGCAATTAAGTTTAGAGCATTACAAAACTTTTTTAAATATAAAGATTCTATAATATGAGCTTTTTAGAGTATTTGAATGATGTCATTGTCAGAGGAAAGTAGAGGCTGAGAATAGGGTAGATCATTAAATTTACATGTGTAGTATGTTTATTACATATATTAAGTATATAAATGTTAGATATTTGTATAGTATATATGTATATAGTTCTAATATATACCTTTGGAAGAAGTGGTTATTTTTAGGTCAGAGGGAAGAACTGTTACTGAACATATTAATTACAGAGATAAACACACTGAAGCCAGAAGATTACATGACTCGTCCAAATTCACACAGTAAGTAAATGCAGAGATGGAAATGGCAGGAGACCGAGATTCTTGTCACTTACCCAAGAATTCTTGTGTTTGAACCATACTCATCACCATCTGTGCTATTTCAGTAGGTTCTGGTTGGAGAAAACGTTACAGAGGCCACAAACCTCATCCATATACTCAATTCATTAGGCCTTGCTAGTTTCACACACACTAAAAAGATTAAAAATATGTCTGTTTGTTTAAGTCAAAGTCATCAGAAATGACAATCTGGGTTGTGTGTGATTCAGCTCTGGTTGCTGATGGAGTCTTTTGGGCAGTATTAGTGGTGGGAGAGAAGACCTGACATACCAGAGGCCTCTGTACCCTGCGATCATGACTGGCAGGAGGCAGCCATGTGATCCACATTCCAATTTAAAGTATGTTTCTTTCCCTACTGCCAACTGTTCTAATTGTGAATGCTTCCTACGCTCTACCCATCCCCCTTTATTTTACTACAATATCCCCCTTTATCAGCAATTTTGTTTTCTATCATTTCAGTTACCCATGGTACACTACAATAAGATATTTTGAGAGAGATCACATTCAGATAACTTTCATTAGGTTGTACTAATTGTTCTATTTTATTATGAGTTATTGTTTTTAATCTCCTGTGCCTAGTTTATACACTCACTTTATGATAGGTAAGGATGTACAGGAAAAATCATAGGATACATAGAGTTTGTTATTATCTGTGGTTTCAAGCATCCTCTGGGGGTCTTGGGATACATCCTCCATGGATATGGGGAAACTACTATATATAAAAAGTCGGTAAAATGACAAATAGAGAAGAAAAGCAGACATCATTTTACATATGCTGAAGAAGGCTAATCACGAGTTCAATCCATCCTTCATTGCTCAGGTCCTTCACTCACAGGATTTGAGTCTACAGGTGATGCCAATGTTTTTATTATTTTACGTCTTTCTTCCCTGTGTAGCCAAATGTTGGCACTTTCTATGCCTCCTTTTTTGTCTCTCCACTTCTAAAGCCAATCACCAATTCCAGGTTTCTGCAAGTCTGGCCATCCTTTTTCTCCAGCGCACATGGTCTGTTTCCTCTTGGCCACGTACTGCCTCTTCCATCTGGAATACTTCACTCCCCTCCATTTCGTTTATTCAACTTCGTCCTATTTATTATGTTCCTAAGCTGAATGAAGGTCTGTTGTTTTTGCTGAAATTATGGAGATGAGACAAATTAGTAAAAATGTTTTATTCAAAATTTATTTGGTGGAAGAGATACAATAAGAAATGAACCAAAAAAGCAATAAAAAGAGACAAAGAGAAAAAGTAAAATAAGTTGTATAATTTATTAGAAGGCAATAAGTGCTTTGGAGGGAAACAAATCACAGAGGAGACAGAAGCTCCTGCTGGGCTGGTAAACTTGGTACACCTTTAAGTAGGATATTGAAGGAAGACTTCACTGTGAAGTTAACATTTGAGAGAAGATGTAAATGATATGAGGAGTGAGTTGTAGAAATACCCGCAAGAGTCTGTTACAGGTGAAGGAGGATACAGCACAAACCTCCTATAGCTGAGAAGGAAACTTCAAGGAGGCCAGCATAACTTCAGTGGAGAAAGCAAAGTGGAAAAGCAGCAGGAGAAATAGTCAGAAAGGTACTGAGCACTGAATCATAATGCACTTTGCAGGCCATTTTAACGATTCTAGTCTTCAGATGAAATATGATTAAGAGCCATGGGAAGGTTGTGAGCAGAGGAGTAATGTGATTCAATGTGTATCTTTAAAGGAACATTCTGGCCGCTGGACTGAGTGCAAGCATTAATGGGAGGCAAAAAAGCAAACGCAGTAGGGTCATTTGGAGTCAATTGCTATAATCCAGTCAAAGATTGTGCTAGCTCCGGCCGGGTAAGTATCAGGGACGGGGATAAGTTTAGATTCAAATTATTAATCAAAATTATAATTAAAACCAAATTAATAGTGCATGTATACATGCACAGTTGAAATATAAAAAGTAAAATAGAATCGAGTCTGATCCAATTAGTATATTTATTTGAAATAACTTACCTTCACTTATGATGACCATATTAAATGTCTCCAGTACAAGAATACAGGGAAAAAGCTAGGCCAATAACTACGTCAGATGAGAACAGTTCAATTTAATTGGCAGTTCAGGTTAACTATGTAAAGTGAAGATGGTCATTATGTGCTTTCACAGAATCATCGGGTTGTCTGAACAAGGTAACACATCTCTTTGTCAGTCTATTTGTTGCTGCTTAGAGGCATTAAGGTTTCTGGGATAAGTTATGGAGTCTAAGTGAGAGTGAAGTTTATTGCATAAGCAATTGTAAGGTGGAAAAAAAGTTTCTAAAAGTTCAGGTGAGAGGAAAATGGTGCCATTGTGGATTAATGAGGTGGCAGCTCACAGCCCTTCTTTCTCACATCCATCTGCATTTTGGTCACCACAGTTCCTTTAATGTTTATTAAATTGTGTATGTGTATTTTTCATCTTGACAACAAATAACACACTCACACTAGAAAGCTAAGTCACAGATGTAATATTCAACAAAAAAATGAAGGCATAATTTTAAGAAAAGGGAGACAAATATTAGTGCAACACAATCATGTCTGGCAAAAATAAACGCTTGATATAAAATGACCTTTAAGGGCATATATTAGGGTTCTCCAGAGAAATGAGTGATGCAGATGATATAGATTAGATATAAATATAGATACACACAATCATGTGAGCCAGTCCCTTAAAAGCCTAAAAGACCGCAGGGTAGGCCGGCGGGCTGAAGACCCAGGAAACAGTTGCTGTTTGAGTCCGAAGCAGTCTGCTGGCACAATCCCTTCCTGCTTGGGAGAATTCTGTCCTCATTCTGACAAAACTTTCAGCTGATTGGATGAGGCACACCCACAGAATGGAAGGTCATCTGCTTTACACAGAGTCTACCAATTTAAATGTTAATTTCATCCAAAAAACATTCACAGAAAAATCTAGAATAATGTTTGACCAAGTATCTGGGCGCTGGGCCCACACAAGTTAATACGTTAAAATTAATTATCACAGGCATAAGGCTTGTGAAATCTTCATATGCAGATAGTAAAGAAAATACTATCCTTTGTATAAGGCATGTCCTTTGTGGCAAAGTGAAAGAGGCACCATTATTCATGGGTGGGAAAGTCGTGCATTTCATCTAGTCATCTGCTCTAACTACATTAACACTATTTCTTTTTATTAAATGTCTTGGAAAAAAAGATTTTTTGTATTTATACTCAAGCTTCAAATACAATATCATTAGCCAGAAAATACTAAATGTATGTAAGGCTTATATAAAATTTAAAGAATAATTGTGAAACTAAAGTAATCCAGAGGGATATATAAAGGTATTTTCGAAGCCTAAAACCCAAGAATCAGAAAATAGAATACAGGAAGAATTAAAAGAAAAATGAGAAAAGGAGCTGAGAAAAATTTTAAAAATAGGACATTTATAGCAATGAGTTATTGTGATGCATGACAGAAATTATCAACTAATTGTAAAGATGTCACAGACAGTAAAATATAAATGAAAAAGAAGCAATTACTTGTATACCACTAAATAACACAGGAAGCTTGCCAGATAGGAATGCCAAATGTATAGAAAATGAAATAAAAATTAAAATGTGGTCTTGTAGAAATGAATATAACCTAGAAATCAAAAGACAAGGTAAAAAAGTAAAATGATAAAATTATAGAAGAAGGTGAAACATTTGAGAAAGACAAGCATTTACCTAATTAAAAGACAAATGAATAGTCTATCATATTTTGGTCATGTTTTCATAAGTTATTTTTAATGAAATATTTCTCCTGAAAAGGACCAGAGTTATTTTTTGACCGTTTGCATAGTGTGTATGACATCAGGAATGCAGCAGAGTATCGAAAAAAAAATGTTTACTTGAGTTGAAAATATGAACCACAAATATTTCAGGGAAGTGGCATGGAAAGTGAATGAATGGTCTACATAAAGCCAGAGCCATTTCAATGAAAAAACAAAACTGTCTTGCTGCCAGCTGGGTTAGATATAGAAATCACAAGCAGAGAAGTTTAACATGGCAATGTTAAAGCCTACTTAGAACGCTATGGAGTGATTGGCACATAGTAAGTTATTGAAAAATTTTTATTGATAGCCATTCACAAAGGAGTCAACGCAAAATGTATCATTTATATATCTTCAGTGGCCTTCACTATAAAGCATTGAAATAAAAACTAACAATAAATTATCTTATTTGATGAGATATTTATATGAAATATTTATAAAAGGATAATAGAAAAATAGAATTGATATTCTTATAAAACTCAAACACTGAAGAAGATAATCTAGTGAATAAATAATAACCAGGGCCACTATATTTTAAAAAAGAAAATAACAAATGTCAAGGAGGTGGAGAAATTGAAACCCCTGTACACTGTTGGAAGAGATTTAAAGTGGTGCAGATGCTATGCAAAACAGTATGTCAGTTCCTCAAACCTTAAAAGCAGAATTACTGTATAATCCAGCAATTCCACTTCTGGACACATACCGAGTAAAACTGAAAATAGGGTCTAAAAGAGATAGTTTTATACCCACGTTCAAACAGCATTGTTCACAATAGCCAAAAAGTAGAAGCAACCTAGGTGTCCATCAATGAATGACTGTATAAGCAAAATGTGATATACGTCTTGGCATACAATGAAATCTTATTCATCCTCAAAATGGAAGGAATTCTGATGCGTGCTACAGCATGGATGAACCTTGACTACATTGTGAAATGTAGCCATTTACAAAAGGCAAATACTGTATAATGTTATTTATATGTAGCATCTTGCATGGGCAAACTCCTAGAAACAGAAAGTGGAATGATACTACAGGGTTACTAGGGGGTGGGGCAGGGGAAATTGGGAGTTGTTTAATGGGGACAGAGTTTCATTTTTGCAAGATGAAAAAGTTGTGGAAATTGGATTTACAACAATATGAATATACTAAATACTGAACTGTATACTTAAAAATGGTTAAGAGGGTAAAAATTATATGTTCATTTGTGATAAAATTAAATCTATTTAACAATAAAATAGAAACAAATGAATCAATACATCTGTCTACATATTAATTCATTGTGGGGCTCCTGAAATATAAATTATTTGTTATTCTTATGAGACCCAAAACCAGGTAAAATGGATTATGTATACATATAATTATAAATGTTGTATATACATATCATTGTAAGTTTTGTATATACATATCATTGTAAGTTTTGTATATACATATCATTGTAAGTTTTGTATATACATATCATTGTAAGTTTTGCACTAATGTCGCAACAGTCAATGTGTGAGTCAGGCTTAGAGTCTTTGTATGATTCTAGATCTTCTGTGCTCCATATCAGTGCTTTTGTTGTGGACCTTTTCTTTTGTGATTTCGTCACTGTTGTTGTTGGTTCTGTGTTTGGATTTTTTTTTTGAAAAAGCGAAAATAACTCTCTTTATTAAGGTAATGATTATTCATGGTTAATATATTTGATAATTTCAAAGAACTGGAAAACTTCTCTTTTTAAAACTCAGAAAAAAATCCATTTCCAGGTACAAATATTTCCTATTCACTCCGTGACAGCAACTCAGTGAAACTTTAATCAGAGGATGATGGCTTTGCCTAGCACACATCTTCTGAAAACTATTTAAACTAAGCATAAATGTTTTGATTTGCAACACTTTGTAATTTGGATCATATCTCTGATATAGCAGAAATTTTTAATGCCTTCCCCAAACCGATTGCCCATTTACTTGGAAATTTACCTTTTTTTCTGTTGAAGCCTCTGTACTCTTCCTGTGGTGATGTAAATCATAACTCCATGCTGGATCACAGAGTGTGGGGCACTCAGTCCTATAAATGCCATCACAATCAATCCCTGTGCTCGGAGATGGGAACATAAACTCATCCGGACCAGGAGGTGCATGAAGATTATGGGAAAGAAGATTCTGTTGATGTTTTGGTTTTTCTTCCTTGCATCTTTGAAATGATTTATTGTTCACTTTTGCACACACTCGTCGTGAGGACAGGGCAGGTCCAGCCTGGGGCCTGCTCCCTGCTGCAGCATTTCCAAGCCCCCAGAGTGGAGGGAGGGGAGGACATGGGCACGTCTTTCCATCTGTTGATGTTTTGAGAGAGCTTCAGGAACTGACGTTTTTTCCTTTTCATTGTATGTAGACTAGAAAGCAAATACCTAATGTCTTCTGGGGAGCACTTTGATAACTTTGCAAGGGAAACTATCTGAAAACAAGAAACCAAGTGTGACTTAATAGAAACAAACCAGGTATTATGATTTTATTAACACACTGAAATACACTAGTCCTGAAACCTATACTTTGACTTTTGTTAGTAAGTCATATCCCTCTATTGGTTGGCAAATTTAAGCTGGATCTTCTTTTACTTGCAACTTAAATTAGCACAATTACTATATTGATAAATCCTGACCTATATGATGTGTGTAGAACATCTTCAAAATTAAGGAAGCCCATTCTTATGATGGGGACAAGGTCAAAGTGACCCAACCTATAACCAAAAGAAATTGATCTTCCTTAACTCCAATGTGCAGAGTACATCAGAAATGTGTTATCAAAATAGTCTTCAATATCTAATGCAAAATACCTTAGTACAAATACATTTTTATTCAGATGTTATTCAAGCTTTGTTTATATTTGTATAAAGATTACTTTTCAAACCAAAAAGTTATGTAATTGTTGACACTGAATAAAATATTTTAAATTCTTAACAGTTCTGAATATCTATTATTTTTATGTGTCAACTCTAAACAATAATAGCACTAGCATAAAAGTGTCAAAATTTAAGGATGAGTTTATTATTAAAATATTAAGTAAAAGTCTTATATTTTATGAGAACTGATATTTTCTCTTTCACATATAATGTGGTTACATAATTTATTATTCTTCTAATAGCTCAAAAAGCAAACCAATAATCACATTTTCATGGACCTAAGTCATTTTCATTTGTGTGATTCAGAGACCTAGGAATACAGTTATCAGATACAATTTCCAGATATAAATAAAGATATACATAAAGATAAAAAGTCACACAAGACATGATACTATAAGGAAAAATCAAGAGAAATAATTCACAAAAGAAATATTCTCAAAAAGTGTTCACATTTTAGATCTTGAGGCTTAGATGATTAAGCAAATATGATTTTGTTCTAAGAAATAAAAGCCACATGGACACAGGGAGGGGAAGATTACACACCAGGGCTTGTCAGGTGGCTGGGGGGCAAGGGGAGGGAGAGCATTAGGACAAATACCTAATGCATGCAGGGCTTAAAACCTAGATGATGGGTTGACAGGTGCATCAAGCCACTATGGCACATGTACACCTATGTAACAAATCTGCACGTTCAGCACAGGTATCCCAGAACTTAAAGTAAAATTTAAAGAAAGAAAAAAGAAATAAAAGCCAAGATAGTAAAATTTGATCAGGAAACTGGTTACTTAAAAAATAGAAGAAAATAACATAAAAACTTGAAAATGAATAGAGTATAATTTTTACAACTGAAAACTTTAAAACTGAAATTGTTCCTTTTTCAATTATTGAATGGGAGTGATTTCAGATCTTATTTAAATGAACGAAAAAATTAACAGACCTGAAGAAAGGTCATAAGAAAATATACAGAAAGCAGCCTAAAAATGAAAACACAGAAGAGAAGGTAGAAACTTTGGGAATACATTGAGATAGCCTAACATGTATTTAATTGGTGTCACTGGGGGAGGTGAGAAAGTGACACAAAAGTAACATTTGAAGAAAAATAGTTCAGAAATGTTTGATTTTCCAGAATCAATAAAATATCAAACAAAGATTTGATAAGGTCAACACATCTCAAGCAGGATAAATAAAATAAAATATCCACTCTGAAAAATCATAATCTTACTAGAGAAAACCAAGATGCTATGCAGCAGCTGCCTGGCCTAGGAAACCAAAGCCACACCCTTCCTTTGCAAGTTGGGGAGGGACAGTCCTGATGTCCTCCCTGGGCCTCTGGGGAGGGTGCAGCCCTGATGACCACTGAGTCATCTTCATGGTCATTCTCTTTTCTTGAATGATTTTCTTGAATGATACAGCATTCAAGAAAATGTTTGCAGCCTAACAGCTTTACTGTCCTGTCCTGTAGTATCCAAGAAGTTTGACAGTCTTCCTTTATGCCATCCCACTTTTTAATTCCTCTTTAGTTCAAACTAGCTCTATCTCTGTGGATATAATCCATCTCCATTCTTGGCTTTTCCTGAGATGGCTGATTAAATCCATGAGTCACTCCCATGATCTCCACCATATGGCTGTTCTGCCACAACTTTTGTTTTCTGTTCAGAACTTGTTTCTTTTCTTTTCTTTCTTTTCCTTTCTTTTCTCATTTGCTTTCTTTTCTCTTTTCCATTCTTTTCTTTTCTTTTCTTTTTGAGACGGAGTTTCACTCTTGTTGCCCAGGCTGGAGTGCAATGGCTCAATCTTGGCTCACCACAACCTCCGCCTCCCAGGTTCAAGCGATTCTCCTGCCTCAGCCTCCCGAGTAGCTGGGATTACAGGCATGCACCACCAGCCCGGCTAATTTTGTATATTTAGTAGAGAGATGGGGTTTCTCCATGTTGGTCAGGCTGGTCTTGAACTCCCAACCTCAGGTGATCCGCCCACCTCAGCTTCCCAAAGTGCTGGGATTATGTGCGTGAGCTACTGCACCCGGCTGAACATTTGTCTTATGTTTTGCAATATAGGTAGGCTGAGGATTTTCCAGATGTTCAAGCTGTGGTTCTTTTTTTTGAGACAGAGTCTTGCTCCATCACCCAGGCTGGAGTGTAGTGGTGCCATCTCGGCTCACTGCAGCCTCCTCCTCCCAGATGCAAGTGATTCTTATGCCTCAGCCTCCCCAGTAGCTGGGACTACAGGTGCATGACATCACGCCTAGCTATTTTTTTGTATTTTTACAAAAATAGTAGAGGTAGGTTTTCACTAAGCTGGTCTCGAACTCCTGACCTCAAGTGATCTGCCCTCCTCAGCCTCCCAAAGTGCTGGCATTACAGGAGTGAACCACTGCACCTGGCCTGTGATTCCTTTTTGTTTAAGTATTATTTTAATGTATCTCTTTTGCATTTTACTACAAGTGGTAAAGGGAAACCACGCCACTCATTCATCACTTTGCTTAGAAATCTCCTCAGCAAAATATACAATTTCATCACTTGCAAGTTCTACCTTTCACAAAATATTAGAACGTGATACATCCAAGTTATTTGCCACTTTATAACAACGATCACTTTTCCTTCTGTTTCTAATAAGCTGCATCTCATTTCCATATGAGACCTCACCAGAATAGCCTCCAGCTTTCATAATTTTACCAACATTCTATTCATGATGATATAGGCATTTTCAAAGCCAATAGATATATGCTTTTGAAAAACAGCTCACCTCTTTTCTTTCTGAAGCAGCACCATAACTGAATTGGAGGGGGATACAATCCAGTCCATAACAGTTACTGGTCACTATGATTCCATGATTCCCAGACTCCTTAACAAAAACGCTTTTTTAAAGAAGTCTTTCTCTCTCAATCAACAATAACTAATCCAGTGCCTGCTGTGTATGAGACATTACATTAGGTCTTAGGAATGCAAAGAGACAACATCCCTATCCACAACAACTCCAAATATAGTGAAATCACAGTCTATCCTGAAATGAATGCTGTGCTATTCTATCTTCCTAATTATGAGTGAACTTCAAACATTTAAAAGGCAATAAAGCTGTTGAAGTGAATAACATCAAATTAGAGAACATAGCCAATCATCTGTTGGTGAGCCAGCAAATATTGCATTTGCTTTAGTGCTCAATAAAGTTTTTCTAATACATTATATTTTACAGCAATTTTAGATTCATAGCAAAATTGGGCAGAAAGTACAGAGTCCCCATAGACCTTCTGCCCCAACACAGACACAACACTTCCCACTATCAACATTTCACACCAGAGTGGTACACTACCACCAGAGCAGTTCATACAATCTATGAACCTACATGGACACATAGTCACCAACCAAAGCCCACAGGTTACATTAGGATTCACTCTTGGTGTTGTACATTTTATGTGTTAGGAGAAATGTAAAACGACATGTATTCACCATTATATTATCTTAAAGAATAGCTCCATTGTCCTAAAAATCCTCTGTGTTCTGCCTATTCATCCCCCCAACCCCACCCCTAACTCCTGGCAACCACTGTACTGTCTCCATAATTTTGCCTTTTCTGGAATGTCATATAGTTGAAATCATACACTACGTAACTCTGGAGATTGGCTTTTTTTCACTTAGTAATATGCATTTAAGTCTCCTCCATATCTTTTCACGGCTTGATAGCTCATTCATTTTTAGCACTGGATAATATTCCATTGTCTGTATGTAACATAGTTTATTTCTCTATGGACCTACTGAAGGACATCTTGGCAGCTTCCATGTTTTGACAATTATGAATAAGGCTGTTCTAAATATCTAAGTGTGGTTTTTGTGTGCATAAATTTTCAGCTCACTGGGGTAGATATCAAGGAGTGTGAATGCTGGATTTTATGATTTTGTTCCACCAGCAACGAATGTGATTTTCTGCCATTCAACATCATAGCCAGAATTTGGTATTATCAGTGTCACCTGTAGGTCTGATGCTTTTGTGTACTTCTTATGGCATGACATGGGCATAACAAGAAGCCAGCATGGGGGCAGCAGCCTCTAAAACTTTTCCCAACACCCCTGGAGCCTGAAAAAAAACCGCCCCCAGCTTTCACATCCAAACATGATTTATTATGTCAAGACACACAGCCTTATGTCCTTGAAAGGAAAGTTCATTACATTTACTTTCAAGGAGAAGGAAAGAGTTGGGAAAAGAGAGGTGGGTTATCACTGGTTGTCTTTCACATTTGATGATCTTTTTCAGGGAGAACTCTGTTCACTGAAGGTGCATCTCACGTGGTATTAGAAGCAACTATGGCAAAAGCAGGATGTATAAAGAAGAGCTCTATCTTGGCAATGCGGGCTCTTTTTTGGTTCCTTACGAACTTTAAAGTAGTTTTCTCCAATTCTGTGAAGAAAGTCATTGGTAGTTTGATGGGGATGGCATTGAATCTATAAATTACCTTGGGCAGTATGGCCATTTTCATGATATTGATCCTTCCTATCCATGAGCATGGAATGTTCTTCCATTTGTTTGTGTCCTCTTTTATTTTGTTGAGCAGTGGTTTGTAGTTCTCCTTGAAGAGGTCCTTCACATTCCTTGTAAGTTGAATTCCTAGGTATTTTATTCTCTTTGAAGCAATTTTGAATGGGAGTTCATTCATGATTTTGCTCTCTGTTTGTCTGTTATTGGTGTATAAGAATGCTTGTGATTTTTGCACATCGATTTTGTATCCTGAGACTTTGCTGAAGTTGCTTATCAGCTTAAGGAGATTTTGGGCTGAGACGATGGGGTTTTCTAAATATACAATCATGTCATCTGCAAACAGGGACAATTTGACTTCCTCCTTTCCTAATTGAATACCCTTTATTTCTTTCTCCTGCCTGATTGCCCAGGCCAGAACTTCCAACACTATGCTGAATAGGAGTGGTGAGAGAGGGCATCCCTGTCTTGTGCCAGTTTTCAAAGGGAATGCTTCCAGTTTTTGCTCATTTAGTATGATATTGGCTGTAATCCTAAGCCAAAAGAACAAACCTAGAGGCATCACGCTACCTGACTTCAAACTATTCTACAAGGCTACAGTAACCAAAACAGCATGGTACTGGTACCAAAACAGAGATGTAGACCAATGGAACAGAACAGAGCCCTCAGAAATAATACCACACATCTACAACTATCTGATCTTTGACAAACCTGACAAAAACAAGAAATGGGGAAAGGATTCCCTATTTAATAAATGGCGCTAGGAAAACTGGCTAGCCATATGTAGAAAGCTGAAACTGGATCCTTTCCTTACACCTTAGACAAAAATTAATTCAAGATGGATTAAAGACTTAAATGTTATACCTAAAACCATAAAAACCCTAGAAGAAAACCTGGTCAATACCATTCAGGACATAGGCATGGGCAAAGACTTCATGTCTAAAACACCAAAAGCAATGGCAACAGAAGCCAAAATTGACAAATGGGATCTAATTAAACTAAAAAGCTTCTGCACAGCAAAAGAAACTATGATCAGAGTGAACAGGCAACCTACAGAATGGGAAAAAATTTTTGCAATCTACTCATCTGACAAAGGGCTAATATCCAGAACCTACAAAGAACTCAATCAAATTTACAATAAAAAAACAAACAACCCCATCAAAAAGTGGGCGAAGGATATGAACAGACACTTCTCAAAAGGAGACATTTATGCAGCCAACAGACACATGAAAAAATGCTCATCATCACTGGCCATCAGAGAAATGCAAATCAAAACCATAATGAGATACCATCTCACACCATTTAGAATGGCGATCATTAAAAAGTCAGGAAACAACAGGTGCTGGAGAGGATATGGAGAAATAGGAACACTTTTACACCGTTGGTGGGACTGTAAACTAGTTTAACCATTGTGGAAGACAGTGTGGCAATTCCTCGAGGATCTAGAACTAGAAATACCATTTGACCCAGCCATCCCATTACTGGGTATATACCCAAAGGATTATCAATCATGCTGCTATAAAGACACACGCACACCTATGTTTATTGCGGCACTATTCACAATAGCAAAGACTAGGAACCAACCCAAATGTCCATCAATGATAGATAGACTGGATTAAGAAAATGTGGCACCTATACACCATGGAATACTATGCAGCCATAAAAAAGGATGAGTTCCTGTCCTTTGTAGGGACATGGATGGAGCTGGAAACCATCATTCTCAGCAAACTATCGCAAGGACAAAAAAACCAAACACCGCATGTTCTCACTCATAGGTGGGAATTGCACAATGAGAACACATGGACACAGGAAGGGGAATATCACACACCGCGGCCTGTCATGGGGTGGGGGGAGGGGGGAGGGATAGCATTAGGAAATATACCTAATGTAAATGACAAGTTAATGGGTGCAGCACACCAACATGGCACATGTATGCATATCTAACAAACCTGCACGTTGTGCACATGTACCCTAGAACTTAAAGTATAATAATAATAATAAAAAAAGAAGAGCTCTATCAAACCCTGTCCAGCCTATGTATTGCAAGTAACAGTATTTGTTTAAACAATGTAGTATCTGGAACAAAGACTCTACTAGATGTGATACATGGGTAGCAGAAATAAACGAGGTCTGTTCCATGTAAACCAGGACTTTTCCTTTCTTTCTTTTTTTTTTTTTTTTTTTTTTGAGACAGAGTCTCGCACTGTCACCCAGGCTGGAGTGCAGTGGTGCAATCTCGGCTCACTGCAACCTCCGCTTCCCGGGTTCAAGCAGTTCTCCCACCTCAGCCTCCTAAGTAGCTGGGAGTAGTAGGTGCATGCCACCACACCCAGCTAATTTTTGTATTTTTAGTAGAGATGGGGTTTCACCATGTTGGCCAGGGTGGTCTCAATTTCCTGACCTCCTGATCTTCCCGCCTCGGCCTCCCAAAGTGCTGGGATTACAGGTGTGAGCCACCACAGCCAGCCAGACCAGGGCTTTTCATTGTAAATCAGGACATGCAATTGGACATACAATTCTCTAATTAATACGTAGAGTGTGGTGTGTATGCAACTACAAGAGGAAGCTGGTTGGAAAAGGCCACTGGAAGAGGTGACATTTCAACACACGGATAGATATTTACAGTCAGAGGGCAAAGAAAGCACAGCAGATCTAATCTAGGAATTAAAGTCTGCCCAAGCAAAAGAAAGGTCATTTAAGACAGAAGCATTAAGGGGTTGAGTGATAGGCAGTGAGGCAAGCAGAGATGAGATTATACGCAAATTAGGCTGAGCCCGTTTTAGTAAGAAACAAAAAATTGGGACATGGCCACATCAATTTAGGCAGGCATGCTATAACCTGCAGCACATAGAACATTTACTGTGCAGCTCTTTAGAGAAAAAGTTGGCCAACCTATGACATACAGCGTAAGACAAACCTGCAAAACAATGAACTCTTATAATCAGAATAAAATGAAAGTGAAACCGAACATCTTGATAAAATGGCATACTGTACTTCTAAAATGTATTTCCTAAATGATACAACAGGATATTAATACCTTAAGGAAGATAATTTAATGGGTATGTCTAGCAATATAACTATGGTGTTTGTCAAACTAGATGATAAATACAAGTGAAACATTCCAGTGTATTCATTTAGTGAGAATTCAGATTCTTACCTGTGGAAATTTTAGTTATGATGGTTGCTGAGTGAATGAGTGAAAACTATTTAATGTGCTTCCTACCTGATAGTCAAGAAACAGGCAACACTGGGCATGGTGGTGCACACCTGTAATACCAGCTACTCGGGAGGCTTAAGCTCAGAAGTTTGAGACAAGTCTGGGCAGCATTGAAATACCTCATCTTTTAAAGAAAAACCAAAAACTTAAAAGACATTAGTAACATAAACAATGTATTGAGATTTTTTAAAGCATAGTATTTCTTAAATGTTTTTCTTGCTATATTTCTATTTATTTAAAATGCATGCATATGAAATAATAATAGGCAGTAGGTATAGTTTTAATACATATACTTAAAATCTTGCCACTATTAACATAAAAATACTTGTGAAATGGCCAGGCACGGTGGCTCGAGCCTGTCATCCCAGCACTCTGGGAGTCTAAGGCATGTGGATCACCTGAGGTCAGGAGTTTGAGACCAGCCTGGCCAACATGGAGAAACCCCGTCTCTACTAAAAATACAAAAATTAGCCGGATGTGGTGGCACGCACCTGTAATCCCAGCTACTCAGGTGGCTGAGGTAGGAGAATCCCTTGAACCCAGGAGGCAGAGGTTGAAGTGAGTTGAGATCAGGCCACTGCACTCCAGCCTAGGAGACAGAGAAAGACTCCATCTCAAAAACAAAACAAAACAAAAACTTGTGAAATAAAATTAAAATATATATTGAATCAATTTATTTTTGAATTTTAATTATTTCAGAATAAACATTTTTCATAGAGGATAATTAATGAGTACACTTGAAGCTATTGAAATTTAACATTGTGGCCGGGAACGGTGGCTCCAGCCTGGGTAACAAGAGTGAAATCCTGTCTCAAAAAAAAAAAAAAAAAAAAAAAAAAACCAAGAAATTTAACATTGTTGGCTGGGTGAGGTGGCTCATGCCTGTAATCCCAGCACTTTGGGAGGCCAAGGCGGGCGGATCACGAGGTCAGGAGTTTGAGACCAGCCTGGCCAACGTAGTGAAACCCCGTCTCTACTAAAAATACAAAAATTAGCTGGGCATGGTGGCGTGTGCCTGTAATCCTGGCTACTCGGGAGGCTGAGGCAGGAGAATCATTTGAACCTGGGAGGCAGAGGTTGCAGTAAGCCGAGATCATGCCATTGCACTCCAGTTCTGGGCCACAGAGCAAGACTGTCTCAGAAAAAAAAAAGAAGAAGAAGAAGAAATTTGACTTTGTTTTGCTTAACTGTCTCAATCAGATAATGTAACATAGAAATTCTGTATAAATTACTTTATACTTCGAAACAACATTCTTCCTGTAATAATTTTAACCAATTTAGTAACAATGTTTTTCCATTCAAGTGAAAATAATGCAAAACAAAGGAGAACAGAAACCTGGCCAAGTTTCAATCGACGCAGATAGGCATGTTTATTCAAAATGAAATATTTTTCTTTGTGCAGATTATGTTTCAATGCATCCATTCATCAATATGTAAGATAGTCATTTTGCTTTCTGCCAATCCTATGCTTACTGTCAATTTCTCAGCTTCATTTATAACTACTCCAAAACAAATTCACCTTTAAAATACATTATGGATATAAGCCTGATTATTCTCATCGTGCCAGAGATTCTAAAACTGGTAGTAACAATTTTGAAGATCATCACTGGTGGAAACAAATATCTGCTCTTTTTTTTTTCGAAAGAGTCACATTTTTTTTTTTTTGAGACGGAGTCTTGCTCTGTCGCCCAGGCTGGAGTGCAGTGGCACAATCTCGGCTCACTGCAAGCTCCACCTCCCGGGTTCACGCCATTCTCCTGCCCCAGCCTCCCGAGTTGCTGGGACTACAGATGCCTGCCACCACGCCCGGCTAATTTTTTGTATTTTAGTAGAGACGGGGTTTCACCGTGTTAGCCAGGATGGTCTCCATGTCCTGACCTCGTGATCTGCCCTCCTCGGCCTCCCAAAGTGCTGGGATTACAGGCGTGAGCCACCGCGCCCGGCCAAGAGTCACATTTTTATCATGAAGTCTGTAATGTCACTGACTCGGTTCATTGCTGGGCTCCAAGGGTCACTCATTGTATGAGCTTGGGCAAGTTCTAATCTCTCTGAGCCTCATCTTTAAAATGGGGGAAATATTAATATCTCATGAGATTCTTGTGAGTTTTAAATAAGCCAATACATTTAACATACTGAGAATGTGGCCGGCATGTAATAAAACTTCCATAACTATGATTATTTTGTTAATAAAAGACTTTTGCCATCTCTCCTTCCACTCACAAATTGCCTAATTTTTATTCTTTTCAATGCTATTTTTACATACTTTACAAAAATATATATATTTATTGGTTTTACATGTGATCTTGGGTCTCCACAGATTCTAGTTTTTAAAATTTATCCTAAGAATAAAAGCACTTTAGAGCTCAATTATAGGAATGTATATTATCTGTATCTCTCAGGTTAGGCTTGGAATGGATACATTTTTCATGTTAAATAATTATAACCAAATGCGTATTTTCAACTCTCTTGAGAGAATAAGCTGTGGTTCCCAAGGGATGGCATTGTAAAGCAGAATTGGACTGATAAATTTGTCAATGAAATGTAAACTATTACATTTTATTCAAGAAGTTTTAAAAAAGTACAAGATGATACATATTACTTTTACTTATTCAACAATAATTTTAAAAATTTAGAGTGGGGTTGGGCCAGTGGCTCACGCCTGTAATCCCAGCACTTTGGGAAGCTGAGTCGGGTGGATCCCTTGAGGTCAGGAGTTCGAGACCAGTCTGGCCAACATGGGTGAGACCCCATGTTGTGGTAGCGCACACCTGCAGTCACAGGTACTTGGGAAGCCGAGGCACGAGAATTGCTTGAGCCCAGGAGCCGGAGGTTGCAGTGAGCAGAGATTGTGCCACTGCACTCCAGCCTAGGCGACACAGAGCGAGACTCCGTCTCAATAAATAAATAAATAAAAATAAAAATTTAGATTAGGGTACAGAGGGCCGCAGAGGCATATCGAGAGATTCAGCTGCAGGAGATATATGGATGACCTTGAGGAAATAACCAGAAAGAAGCAAAAATTTTAAAGATAATTTTAAAAATTCTACGTATACATATATGTGTATTTTCAAATGAAATCATGTTTATTGCAGCAACTTGGATGGAACTGGAGGCCGTTACCTTAAATGAAACAACTCAGACACAGAAAGACAAACACCCCAAATTCTCTTAAGTGGGAGCTAAATAATGTGTACACATGGACGTAGAGTGTGAAAACATGGAGACTTGGAAGGGTTGGGGGTGCAAGATGCAAAATTACTAATGGGTACAATGCATGTTATTCCAGTGATGGATATTCAAAAAGCCCGGGCTTCACCCCATGCAGCAAAATATCCATGTAACAAAATTACAATTGTGCCCCATAACTTTATACAAAATTTAGAAAAACCAAATGTGTATAATATATATTTTCTCAGACAAAACTAAAAGTGGAACTAGGCCGGTCGCAGTGGCTCACGCCTAGAATCCCAGCACTTTGGGAGGTCGAGGCAGGCGGCTCACCTGAGGTCAGGAGTTCAAGACCAGCCTGGCTAACGTGGTGAAACCTCGTCTCTACTAAAATACAAAAATTAGCCGGGCATGGTGGCATGCGCCTGTAATCCCAGCTACTTGGGAGGATGAGGCAGGAGAATCCCTTGAACCCGGGAGGCAGAGGTTAGTGAGCTGAGTTCGTGCCAGTGCTCTCCAGCCTGGGCGACAGAAAGAGACTCCGTCTCCAAAAAAAAAAAAAAAAAAAAAAAAAAAAAAGTGGAACTATTGATTGTATGGAAACAAATGGTTTATTAGTTTTATAAATAACACTAGAAAAATTATCAGTATAAAGACATTTGTTGAAATCAGGTTAATGAAATAATGGTTTTATAACTCTTAACTTTATGTGGTACTCATTGTTATTAAAATATTTTTTCTTTTGCAGATTCTTTTTCTCCAGTACTTTCCCCCTAATTTAACATTTTGTGTTTTCCCGAATTCTCATTGCTGGCTTCCAAATGCTACCAGACTGGTGGGCCATGTTGCGGGTTGCCATTCTCTGCTTCACGGCCTGGAAACAGTTTCCAGGGAGTAAACTGGTAATATTTTCACACTTAGCTTTCTTATTTCCTTTATGTCATAGATCACAGTCCTGCACAGTCCTATTTTACAATGTTTATGAAAACTGTTTTCATGTAATTTTCTAGTTTTCTAGATTATAAGGTGTGAAGTAAATCTGTTTACTATTACTCCAGTTTATTCTGAAGTGAAAGAATGTATGTAATTCACTTTTTGTGTCATAATAATTGTAGCTGGATATTAATTTTTCAAGTAATTTCAGAATTTTGTTTTTAGTAATTGGTTTGTATAGCCTGTTTACAATTATTATGGTTACTGAAATGTTATGTTGCTATTTTGTGACTTTTCTTTAGTTTTGTTTACTATGATTTCTATTAAATTGCTTTTCCCCAATTCTGTTCTTTTTCAATTAAATATTTTATTTGCTTATTTTTTGAATTCTATTTCTGTCATTTTTTATACTTACATATTTCCTTTCTACATTTTTAGAATGTTTGTAAATTTTTGGCGTGCATAAATACTTTAACAAAACCTAACGTTAATAAATATCTTTTCCCCAATATGTGGTAAAACCAAATATTTCTTTGAATCTGCCTTACTACTTTTGTTTAAAATTTTAGGTCCAATTTGTATTGAATTGTTTTAAGAGCCAATATTCTCTTAGATATATTAATACATTTACTAGTATTAACTAATTACTTCGTTTTGCATTCCAGATCTTTCCTGAGATGAATTTCCTTCCTACCATAATTTCTCCTTTGATGTTTCTGTTAGTAGTGTTTTACTATTGATAAATTCATCAGACATTTATTGGATCTTTTTATTTCTTTATTTTTATTTTTAGACAAGGTCTTGCTCTGCCACCCAGGCTGCCATGCAGTGGTGAGATCACAACTCACTGCAGCCTCAAACTTCTGGGTTCAAGTGATCCTCCCACCTTAGCCTCCTGAGTAGCTGGAACCACAGGTGCCACCATGCCTGGCTAATTTTTTGGTAGAGATAGGGTCCAGCCTTGTTGCCTAGGTTTGTCTCCAACCCTGAGCTCAAGTGATCCACCTGCCTCAGCCTCCCAAAATGCTGGGATTATAGGAGTGAGCCACCATGCCTGGCCTCGATCTTTTTTTTATCATTTATTTACTTTAATATAATTTCCTGTTTTCCATCTATTTCTCTGTGCTCATTATGAAGTAATTTGTGTATTTTTTCCATTTTAGGTATATCTTCAGATTTATATCATTTACTTTTCTGTTACATCACCTATTACTCTTTCTCATAGTCCTAATAATTGACAACTTTTTTCTAGTCTATTTTTATATTATACTGCTCATTTACCATTATTTTTTATCTCTCCATTTGCTCTTTACTTGAAAATGATTTTTTAAAATATCTTTTGGATTGTTCTACTGCTTTAACTAGAGTTGCTAATGTGAACAATAGGTCTCTGAAAAGGAATTTGGAGAAAAGAAATTTTATTTCAGTGAACAGTTTGCAAACCAGGGAGACTATGTTTTGATGTGGTTGGTGTTATATATCTGTGCTATTTTCTTTTTCTTTTTTTTTTTTTTTTTTGAGATGGAGTCTTGCTCTTTCGCCCAGGCTGGACTGCAGTGGCGCTATCTTGGCTCACTGCAAGCTCCGCCTCCCGGGTTCATGCCATTCTCCTGCCTCAACCTCCGGAGTAGCTGGGACTACAGGTGCCCGCTACCAAGCCCGGCTAATTTTTTTTTTTGTATTTTTAGTAGAGACGGGGTTTCACCGCACTAGCCAGGATGGTCTCGACCTCCTGACCTCGTGATCCACCCGCCTCGGCCTCCCAAAGTGCTGGGATTACAGGCGTGAGCCACCGCGCCCGGCCATCTGTGCTATTTTCATATGATTAGAGCAGAAAGGGGTCTCATTTTATATTATTCTGTCATCATCGTTACAGTGTATTGTTCTCTCTCTCTAGCCTCATGCTTTTCCTAGTACATTGTCTCTGATATCTTTAAAATTTATTTAATTTAAAACATTTATTCTGAATACTGCACATTTTAGGAATATTTTTAAAAGTTTATTTAAAAATAAATCAAATGTGGAAATATTAACAAAAAGGCAATATTTCTATGCCGTTGCTATATATTAGGTTGAAATGATCTGCTGAAATAATGGTGGTTATCTGTTGACTAAAGTTTATCTGACATTCCCTAACCTATATGATAGTAGGTTAAAATTTCAACTAATATAATGTAAAGCAAACAGAAATCCAAAATTTGAATGCAGGGGCTGTCATCCTTGACGAATTGGAATATATGGTAAAGTGTACTTTGGTAATTAGATAACCAAGAGTTGAAGAATAATACTTAAACATGGAGAAACTGTCCTCCTCATGTATGTAATTGTTTGGGTTAGGGTCATCGGGAGACAAAAGATAAAAGCATAAGGAAGAGATATGGCGTGCATTTATACACACTAGTTTTTACTTTTTTGGCATTAGAAATTGCTGATATAGTTTTACAATTTTTACAGAAAAATATACTAGTAGAAAACAAAATAACCAGAAAAACATAACACAGTCACTAAAAAATGTTTATATTACTTTAATAATTTTAAATATATTTAAATCTCATATATTTAAATATTTTATGTTTCTTGTAGTACTGAAGTTTCATAGGCAAACCCGTCATCTATATGTTTTTTGTAATCTAGGGAAGATTATGCACTTCATGCCCCCTGAGAGTCAGATGTTATGAAAATTCTGTGAATTCCGAGAATGGATCTATTTCGGACTGGTAAAATTTCCTTTTCTGCTTTAGTTTCTCAGCTTGCCCCCACTTTTTAGTTAAGAACTAGTACTTGTTGGTTGCCTTTTAAAAAATAATGTATTTCCTCACAGGCCAACTTCCATCCATATTTAATGTACAGTCACCTGTATTGGATGAGTAATCTTTAAAAGATTAATAAAGTTGGCATATTGAGACTACGAATGAAAACGGAGAGCAAGGAGCTCAAGTAGCCTGTGAGATTTAAACACAGGACTGATTTTGACCCCGAAGGTAGAGGACAAGTGTACCTGCTGCACCCTGTATCTGCAAAAATGCAACCCAAACTCCTGCCACGTAGGAGACATGAGGAAAACTGGTAACCCTTAAAATAATTGTGCAATTAATCACTGCAAGAACTAGTTGGGACATGCATATTAATACCGAGCGAGGTCATCATGATTAATATTGTGACAATAAATACCTGAGGAAATCAATAATGATCAGCGATTGTTTTAAAGGGCTGCAACATAATTAAAACATTTTACCCTGAAATGCGAGCGCTTTTAGGGGACATGCCACATAAAATTTTCCTGGCGAGCGACCGCGAGCAGCAGCAGGAGGGCCTGGCAGGGCCACTCGCCTGGTAGGGACACTTCCCTGGCAGTGGCCTGGGCTCTAGCGCTGAGAGGGAGGCGCCTGCATTGAGGAGGCCTCTGCGCGGGGTCATCAATGATGTCACAGCGCGGGGGAGCGCAGCGCGCCTGCGCGTGGGGGGGGGCCTTGCTCCCTGGGCTCTTCCCGCCACCCGGGCTAACCCCTGCGACACCCTGCGCTGCGCTGGGGCTCAGGGGCCAGTGCTTTCCAGATCCCCTGCTCGGCAGCCGCTGTCCGCGCCGCATTCTGTGAGAAGCTTCCTTTCCAGGTCGTTTCTCTGGGCTCAGGTCCTGCGCCGCCTCGTGGCTCCCTGGCCTGTTCAAGCGCACCCTCCGGCTCCAGCCGCTGCGGGCTGGAGGCTCCTTTTATGTTTTTATTTTTAAAAACCAACATATTTTTTGTTACACAGATACAAAAAATACATAGTTATATGCCCTGATCAAGCCAGAGACAAGTCTGGAAAACAAGTAAAACAGGCATGCGTAATTTTTGTTTTTTTGAGACAAGGTCTTGCTTTGTTGCCCAGGCTGGAGTGCAGAGGCATGATCTCGGTTCACTGCAACCTCCGTCTCCTGGGTTCAAGCGATTCTCGTGTCTCAGCCTCCCGAGTAGGTGGGATTACAGGCATTCAACACCATGCCCAGCTAATTTTTGTATTTTTAGTGGAGACGGGGTTTCACCATGTTGGCCAGACTGGTCACTAACTCCTGACCTCGTGATCTGCCGGCCCCGGCCTCCCAAAGTGCTGGGATTACAGACGTGAGCCACCGCGCAGGCCCATCCCTAATTTTTCAGATCACACTGGAGATAAGCAGCCTTCTTTCCCACACCGTGAGGGCTGGCGGCTCCCCTGCAAAGAGGGCGTGCCGCGTTCCCTAGGAACGGGCAACCCCAGTTCAGAGGCAGCGCTCTGCGACCCAAGGCCGGCTTAAACAAATACTCTCCCAGCACTTTGGGAGGCCGAGGTGGGCGGACCACCTGAGATCAGGAGTTGGAGACCAGCCTGGCTAACATGGTGAAACCCCGTCTCTACTAAAAATACAAAAATTAGCCTGGCGTGGTGACAGGCTCCTGTAACCCCAGCTACTCGGGAGGCTGAGGCAGGAGAATTGCTTGACCCCGGGAGGCGGAGGTTGCAGTGAGCCGAGATTGCACCACTGCACTCCAGCCTGGGCAACAGAGCAAGACTGCGTCTCAAAACAAAAACAAAACAAAACAAAACAAAAAGCCCATACGCACCAGATATGCAAAATTAAAATGTTCACGTCAAATATGTGTGTTTCATATGAATTGATCTTAGCACATCGTAATTATCTATTTTGGAAATTTCAGTTGCTGCATGTGGGTAGCTCACATTGGCTGTCTTAATCCGTCAATTCAATATCACATCACAATGCAAGATACCCACCGTTGTCTTCTCTTTCTCCTTGGTTATGTGACTGATACATTCCTACAGGTTCTGTGTATCGTCCTAACATTACGGTACCATAACATTAACCCATATTTAATGAACACATCTAAACTCAAACCAATAATTTACCATTGTAGTAAAATATACAACAGAAATGATGAGATGGCTTTCCCAGGGAAAAGCGCCGCGTGCACAATCATTCTCTAGGCGACTTCATATTTCTCTAGTCCAATTCTCTGGGAACAATGAGTGCTCTTTCTTCACTCTTCCTCTAGTACCTGCTTTTCACATGCAAAGGTATAGACCCTAGTGGGAAATAATGCCTAAGACCACCAACCCCTTGATGGTTTGCTCACAATACTATAAATGAAAATGTTTCCAAATAATATTAACATCCATCTTTGTCTATCACCATTGCATCAATGTTTGTGTTATCCTATAAAATTTAGAAGGCCTAGAAGGATGTTTTTGCTTTTTGCAATATAAAAATGGTCTAACACAGATATAGATGATATAGATATGGATAGGTAGGGGGTGTATTTTGAAATTTGTTTCTCTAAGGGACTTATTTCACTTCAAATTTGAAATTATTCTGGTTTTAAATGTAACAAATGATAAACCTGATAGAATGACAACACAATTGTATATGTTATAAAGGCACAGGGTATATCAAATGATGAACCAATCATTTCGTGTTGAGGTTAGTAATTTTTTTTTTTTTCCTGAGACCTCAATTCTCGGTAAATGAGGACAGCTTTTACACAGAGGGGCCTTAACACCACCACACACTGGACTTGTTCTCGGGCTGTGAGGTTCTGCCCACACCAAGCCAGGATGAGAATTTTATTCTTCACACTGTTCTCAGTACTTGTTTATATCCCCCCAAAAGTTCATTTTTTATGCTGTTTGTTCTCTCACATTTAATACACGTAACAAAAAGTTATCATGGTTTTTAAAATAAAAAAGTATGTTATCTTTTAATCCATGTCCCTATAGAATTATCTTGATCCATGTACTTTTGTTGTTACAGGCAGATCAGGCTAAACTTCCTCTCTCTGGAATAAATGCCATGACCACTGCTCTTTGAGCATTATTTTTCTTAAATTATTTTTTAAACAAAAATTAATCTAACTTACATTAACCAAATTTGTTTTCAAAGTAATCACATTTCTTTTAAGTGAAAAATGTTTACCTTCTGTTATAAAGAATTTTCTGAATACAAAATTTTTTTTTAAACTTTAGAAGAAATTGAAAATATCTACATATTACTAATCTAAAAATACAGGCTCTGGGTTTATATGGTGTTAACATGTCTTCCAAATTTTAAGGAATAAGTATTTAAATGCCATGCGCTTTGTTTTCCAATTTAGAAAATGTTCCAACCTTTTGGCTGGGCATGGTGGCTCATGCCTATAATCCCAGCACTTTGGGAGGCCGAGGTGGGAGGATCACTTAAGTCCAGGCATTCGAGACCAGCCTGGGCAACATGGTGAGCCCCATCTCTACAAAAAATTACAAAAATTGGCCAGGCATGGTGGCACTACCTGTAGTCCCAGTTACTTAAGAGGCTGAGATGGGAGGATTGCTGGAGACAGAAAAACTGAGGCTGCAGAAGGTAAAGTGTTGAGGCTAACAGATGGTAAAGATTTAATTTTTCACTTGAAAGAAATATCGGTTACACTGAAATTTGGTTAATGTAAGATAGATAAATTTCTGTTAAAAAAAATTTAAGTGAGTCTTGTTAACACCACTGCACTCCAGCCTGGGCAACAGAGCAAAACCTGAAGAAAGAGAGAGAGAGAGAGAGAGAGAGAGAGAGAGAGAGAGAGAGAAAGAGAGAAAGAGAGTGAGAGAAATAAAGAAAAAGGAAGGAAGGAACGAGGGAAGGAAGAAAGGGAGGGAGGGAGCGGAGGGAGGGAGAGAGAGAAAGAAGGAAGAAAAAAGGAAGGAAATAAAACAAAAAAGAAAATGCTTCAAGCTTTACAGTAGCAAAGCCACTCTGTAATGAACAAACAACAGAACCAAAACAAAAAAGGATTCTACCGACCAATCTAACCAATACAATTATGAAGTTGATTCAAATATCAAAAATCAATTTTTATAATAACTATATGGTATGAAAACCCCACAAAGATCAAGTAGGATGTATTATACTTGAATGAATTTATTAGTTGAGAGTAGGAAATCTATAAATTTAATCAAACAAGTCTAAGAATTATGAGGAAATTGTACTGCTAATGTATTATTTGACAAGCTATTCAGTGGAACAAAGATATTCTTAATGAAGTTGCATATGTATTTTAAAATGTTATCGAGGTAGATTTTTTAAAATGAGATGAATAACTTGAAAAAGTATTCAGGGATAAAGAGAAAAATAAATTTAGATAGTTTACATATATAAAATATATTTTAAAAGCTAGGCTTGTCTTTATTCCTTAAATAAAAGGAATGGATATTCAAATCCCATGCCTTTCATTTTAAAATTTAGGAAATGCTTATAGCTTCCCACACTGAAATCTATACTAACACAGCTAATCTAATCAAAGGATAACAAAATCAAAACAAATGGAAATCTCTTGACCAATCTATTTTCTTGATTTTTGAAAGTCTAAATGTATACTCAAAGAAAGAAAACTATTAATAATTGATTCTGTTATTTGAAAACATTTATTGATCATTTACCTTACACTAAGTGATCTCCAGCTCATGGAGACAGATCAGTGGAAAAGTATA
The DNA here is from genome assembly GCF_000001405.40 of Homo sapiens. Classification (NCBI taxonomy): domain Eukaryota; kingdom Metazoa; phylum Chordata; class Mammalia; order Primates; family Hominidae; genus Homo; species Homo sapiens. The sequence continues at coordinate 20,904,641 of NC_000017.11, read as the reverse complement.
TAAAGTTACCCAGGTTTGTTAAGCTTAAATTCTAATGAGGGAGAAAAGAAGTAATAGCGCAGGTACTTTAAAACAGGAGCGTTGGCCGGGCACGGTGGCTCACGCCTGTAATCCCAGCACTTTTGAGAGGCTGAAGCAGGTGGATCACCTGAAGTTGGGAGTTCGAGACCAGTCTGGCCAACATGGAGAAACCCCGTCTCTTCTAAAAATACAAAAAATTAGCCGGGTGTGGTGGCGCATGCCTATAATCCAGCCACTCGGGAGGCTGAGGCAGAATTGCTTGAACCTGGGATGCGGAGGTTGCGGTGAGCCCAGATTGCGCCACTGCACTCCAGCCTGGGTAACAAGAACCAAACGCCGTCTCAAAAAAAAAAGTGTTATGATGCGGCTTGGAATTCTAAAAAATTGCATACTGTGGTTGCTGTGTAGAGACTGGAATGAAAAAAAGGGCAATGATAAAAGCTTAAATTCATATAGAATATGGCTAGCCTATAATTTTGAGGGTGCCTGAAATAAGAATTTATAATAGTTCTCATTATTTCCTCCAAGAAATGTCTGCAGTAGAGCCCTGACCGTGTGAGGGAAGTAGTGTAGTTACCAAGTGGTGAGGGTGGGAAGGTGAATTTGAAAACACCATTTGGAATTACTGCACTTTAAAGGCAAAGCTGGCAGGTTTTCCATACACAACAGATCTGAAAGTGTGTGTGTGTGTGTGTGTGTGTGTGTGTGTGTGATGGAGAGATAGAGAATGAGAACCAGACAGATACAGAGAGAACTAAAAGGGGATATCAAGAATATTGAGCTGAGAAACTATAAAATGGGAGTTGCCATTAAACAGATAGGGGAAGGGCAAGTCTGGGGAGTATTGGAGGCTCCATGTGGAACTTCATTTTGAAATTCTTGGCTGACACCCAAGTGAAGAAGTCAGACGGTGCTGGGTGTAGTCTAGTGTTGAGGTATAATATGAAATATCAGGAAATTAATGACACAAAAATTAGTAAGAAAGTAAATAAAAGAAAGATAAGTCCAGGTCCTGAGCCTAGTGCTTCTCTAACATTTAAAAAGTAGTAAAGGTGAGAAAAAAACAGCAAAAAAGGACTAGGGGTAATTATCAAAAATGTCGGGGGGAAAGTGGGTTAAGTGTTCTGGAATTCTATCAAAGAAAGTTTTGCAAAAAGGAGAGATCACCTGTGTCAAATGCTGCTGATACATAAATTAAGACAAAGGCTGAGGAATTATGCTTTAATTCATAATTTAACAATATCGTTTGTGCTTTGAGAAGAGCAATTTTGTTGGAGTGAGTAGGTGAGAAACCATATTGGAGTCCTTACTAAAAGGAATGTCTGACCTCTGGATTCTCTGTTTTTTTTGTTTGTTTGTTTGTTTTTTTGAGAGTCTTGCTCTGTCACACAGGCTGGAGTGCAGCGGCTCGATCTCAGCTCACTGCAACCTCTGCCTCCTGAGTTCAAGCAATTCTCCAGCCTCCTGCTTCTACTCACAGAAGCAGAGAGTAGAATGGAGGTTACCGGGGGTGGGAGGCAGGGGTTTGGGGAGACGGTGAAATCATTCAAAAGTGTAGTTAGACAGGAGGAATAAGTTTAAGAGATACATTGCACAACATGGTAACTGCAGTTAATGTATCGTATTCTTGAAAATCAAGAAGGGTTCTCACCACAAAAAGTAAGTATGCATATGTTCCTGAGCGCAATGCAATCATTCCACCATCTACCTATTTCTAAAAAGGTTTTACACAACATATATACAATTTTGTCATTTAAAAAACGAATGAATTGTAAAAAGAATTAAGTACTGGAAAATTTGTCACAGTTTAGGACAACTCTCTTTGTAAAATTAGTGGTTCCTTGGGAGTCGAAATGCTTCCTGGTGCCGGGAGTGAGCGATGAGCCGGCTTCTGTTCCTGGCCGCAGAGTCGCCTTGGCCGCCTTGCCCTGCCGCTGCTCTCACGGGTTCGGGATGTTCTATGCCGTGAGGAGGGGCGGCAAGACCGGGGTCTTTCTGACCGGGAATGAGTGCAAAGCACAGGTGGACCGGTTTCCTGCTGCCAGATTTAAGAAGTTTGCCACAGAGGATGAGACCTGGGACTTTGTCAGGAAATCTGCAAGCCCGGAAGTTTCAGAAGGGCAGGAAAATCAACATGGACAAGAATCAGAGACGAAAGCCAGCAAGCGACTCCGTGAGCCACTGGATGGAGATGGAGATGAAAGCGCAGAGCCATATGCAAGCACATGAAGCCGAGGGTGAAGCCGGCGCCTCCAGTTAGCAGAGACACGTTTTCCTACATGGGAGACTTCGTCGTCGTCTACGCTGATGGCTGCTGCTCCAGTAATGGGCGTAGAAGGCCACGAGCAGGAATCCGCGTTTACTGGGGGCCGGGCTATCCTTTAAATGTAGGCATTAGACTTCCTGGGTGGCAGACAAACCAAAGAGCGGAAATTCATGCAGCCTACAAGGCCATTGAACAAGCAAAGACTCAAAACATCAATAAACTGGTTCTGTATACAGACAGTATGTTTACGATAAATGGTGTAACTGGGTTCAAGGTTGGAAGAAAAATGGATGGAAGACAAGTGCAGGGAAAGAGGTGATCAACAAAGAGGACTTCGTGGCACTGGAGAGGCTGACCCAGGGGATGGACATTCAGTGGGCGAGTATCTTAAATGTTCATGTCCCATGGCTATTATGACCAAATAAGCTAAGTTTACTAGAAATTAATGGTTTATGTAAGTGGTTTAATGACATAACAATTTCCATGAAGTAAATATAATGTATATTAAAACATATTTGAGGCTGGGCGCAGTGGCTCATGCCTGTAGTCCCAGCACTTTGGGAGGCTGAGGTGGGTGGATCACGGGGTCAGGAGTTCAAGACCAGCCTGGACAGTATGGTGAAACCCCATCTCTATTAAAGAGTACAAAAATTGGCCAGGCATGGTGGTGTGCGCCTGTGGTCCCAGCTACTCGGGAAGCTGAGGCAGGAGAATCACTTGACCTGGGAGGCTGAAGTTGCAGTGAGCTGAGATCACGCCACTGCACTCCAGCCTGAGCAATGATATGAGACTCCAAGACTCCATCTCAAAAAAAAAAAAAAAATTTGAGACTCGGCTCAGTGGTTCACATCTGTAACCCAGCAATTTAGGAGGCCCAAATGAGGTGACTACTTTAGCTGAGAAGTTTGAGACCAGCCTGGATAACATGGTGAGACTCTGTTTCTAGAAAAAAATAAAAAATTAGCCAGGTGTAGTGGTGCATGCCTGTAGTCTAGTTACTCAGGACACTGAGGTGGGAGGATGACTTGAGCTGGGGAGGTCGAGGTTGCAGTGAGCCAAGAGTACCACTGCACTCTAGCCTGGGCGACAGAGTGAGACCCTGTCACAAAAAAACAAAACAAACCCACCCATGTACATGCATTTGATTCTTTTCCTTATCATACAAGTAATACATTTTTTTGGTTTGGTTTGGTTTGGTTTTTGAGACAGGTCTTACTCTGTCATCCCAGGCTATGGCGTGATCTCATTGCAACCTCTGCCTTCTGGGTTCAAGTGATTCTCGTGCCTCAGCCTCCCAAGTATCTGGGATTGCGGGCATATGCCACCACACCTGGCTGGTTTTTGTGTTTTTGGTAGCGATGGGGTTTTGTCATGTTACCCAGGCTGGTCTTGAACTCTTGACCTCAAACAATCCACCTGCCTCAGCCTCTCAAAGTGCTGGAATTACATTTGTTTTATGTCATTTATTTCTTTTCCATGCCTTTTGCACTAGCTAGAACTTCCAACACCGTTTTTTGTTGTTGTTTTTGGTTTTGAGAGTCTTGCTCTGTCACCCAGACTGGAGTGCAATGGCGTGGTCTCGGTTCACTGCAACCTCCGCCTCCTGGGTTCAAGTGATTCTCCTGCCTCAGCCTCCTGAGTAACTGGGATTACAGATACCTGCTACCACGCTTGGCTAATTTTTTTTGTACTTTTAGTAGAAACGGAGTTTCAACATGTTTGCCAGGCCGGTCTTGAACTCCTGACCTCAGGTGATCCACCTCCCTCGGCCTCCCAAAGTGCTGGGATTACAGTCCAGTACAGTTTTAAATAGGACAAATGACAAAGGGAATCCTTGCCTTGTTCCTGATTTTACGGGGGGAGTGGGAGTGTTTTCTGTCATTGGTTCTGTTTTTTGTTTTTATTTTTACTTATTTATTTTGAGACGGAGTTTCATTCTTATTGCCCAGGCCGGAGTGGAATGGTGCCGTCTCAGCTCACTGCAACCTCCGCCTCCTTTGTTTAAGCGATTCTGGTGCCTCAGCCTCCCAAGTAGCTGGAATTACAGGCGCCCACCACCACATCTGGCTATTTTTTTTTGTATTTTTAGTAGAGAGAAGGTTTCATCATGTTGCTCCTGCTGGTCTCGAACTCCTGACCTCAGATAATCCACCTGCCTCGGCCTCCCAAAGTGCTGGGATTATGGGCATGAGCCACCGAGCCCGGCTGTTTTTTTTTTGTTTTTTGAGACAGAGTTTTGCTTTGCTGCCCAGGCTGGAGTGCCAGTGGCGCGATTTCAGCTTACTCAGGGGTGAGCCACCACACCTGGCCTGTGATTGGCTCTGTTCTTAGTAATTATGTGCAAACCATCTAGTACCATCTCTGGGCAATGGTGTTGCAATTTCCCTCCCTCCATGCTGGGGCCATACCAGCCCCTCTCCAATGGGAGCCCAAGTTGCCAATGACTGTGGCCAAACTCTCCATTTTTCTCTGTATCCTGCTCTTTAGGTTAAAAAGAAGGAAAGAAACATGAAAGGCCATGTGCAATTTATTTCTATAACTCAAGGAGTTTCCCTGACTACCATTTTTTTTTTGCCAGTGGGTGTGCATACAGAAGAGAAATGCTATGTCCTATCCCTAGAAGTACACATGGTGGTCAGGCATGGTGGCTTATGCCTGTAATCCCAGCACTTTGGGAGGCTGAGATGGGAGGATTGCTTGAGCCCAGGAGTTCGGGACCAGCCTGGGCAACATGGCAAGACCTCTGACTCCACAAAAAAAAAAATTTATTTTTTTTTTTGAGAGAGCGTCTCACTCCGTCGCCCAGGCTGGAGTGGTATAATCTTGGCTCACTGCAACCTCTGCCTCTGTCACACACACACAAAGAAATACAGGCGGTGTTTCAGGGAAGGGAAGGTTCTGCTGGGGTCCTGGAATTGTGACTGATGGCCTCAGGGATGCAGGAATAGGCCTTCTAGCACAGCAGCTAGTAGCCTCCCCCAAGCCATCCGCTGGCGTGTGGAGGTGCAGGACCTGGGGGAGGCAGTCCTCACCCCAGCTAGGCCAAGAGGTAGGGTTTTTAGGTCTGTTTTTAACAGAACTCAGAGCACCAGGTGAAGGTGGAAAGTTGGTAAACTGGGAAAACAAGGTCAGCATCTTACATTTTCTATACTCAGCAGAGTGTGCCATTCCCAGTTTCTGTCCTGAGGCTTTCAGAGGCCACAACAGCCACGTTTCTTTCCATCTTCCCTCAGTCAGTATGTAGTCATTTAAAATTCTTTGGTTGTTCTGAAGATCCTTTTTTTATGTATAATTTTTACATGAAAGACAGCTGCAAAATGCAAGCCTCAGTAGAGTGGGGGAGTTTTTCAAGATGAGAAGTCGCTGTTCTCTGCACTGAAAAGGGATTGAATTTTCCTTCTCTGATGGTAGCCCATCCCCCTCCCCCCCGCCCCCCGCAGGGATAACATTCTCAGGAATTTCTCTTGTCCTAGCCCCTTTCACTTCAAAAACAATATTAGTCTGTTTTCCTTTTTCATTCATTTGTTTTTTTACAGCTTTTGTAGAGACCAACCCAAGTAGATGCCAGTCGGTATTAAACAAAAACACACATACCCAGGGGACAAGCCCTCCAGCGGTGAGGAATCTCTGCCATGTTCTCTTCCCTGCTGCCCACGAACATTACGGGGACTCCCTTAGTCTCCCCCTCCTCTTCCCCACTGAGGGGCGGCTTGTGGAGATGGAGGACTCGGGCCCATAGATGCAGACCCACTGTCAAATCCAGCAATAGTTCTCATTCTTCCAAAGCTCGAGTGCCATTTTGAGATGTCCTACCAATGACATGCAGTAAAGGACAACCTCACAGCCTTTTTAGAAGCATTTTGAGTCTCTACAGTTGCCTCAATTCACGGGGCATTTCATTCCTCTGATCCAGGTTAGAGTTTTGCTAAATCTGTAACATCCTGAGTAGCACACTAATTTTTTTTTAGCACACTAACTTTAACTACATTAGTTGAGTGTAATTGATACATCTGTGGCCTCATGTCTATAAAGAGCACACTAGATTGTACCCAGCACTTTTGGACATGACATGCTAATTATATGTATTTAACTATTCATAGGAAAGTGTATGATAAATGACTAATATTTCTAATAAATACATTTTGTTTCTAATTATTTTTTTCTCACTGACATTTATCAATATTTTTCAAAGTGCCACCCTTAAACTGAGTCTGTTTTCAGACCAGCATCTTCATGCATATATCCTTGTCAGGTCACAGTCTCCACTGCAGCTGCTCTTGCGGGTGGTGCTGGAATTTTCCAGTGGACTGGGCTCCTGCTGGTTCCTCCGCTGCCCGTGTGCAGCTTTCTTGCTCTGGCCACAGGCTTACGTGAAGATCACCCTTCAAGGCCTACCCAGGACACTGCTGAGCTGTGCAGTTGTGCACACGATATGTGCAATGTGTGACTAAATGCCAACTGAGACCCCAGAAACCACTCGCAGGGGGAATTATGCCAAGATTGAGGAGGCAGGGTGAAGATACTTTTTTTCTTTTTCTGTTTTTTTTTTTTTTGAGATGGAGTCTAGCCCTGTCGCCAGGCTGGAGTACAGTGGCACGATCTTGACTCACTGCAACCTCCGCCTCCCGGGTTCAAGCGATTCTTTTGTCTCAGCCTCCCGAGTAGCTGGGACTACAGGCACGTGCCACCACGCCCAACTAATTTTTGTATTTTTAGTAGAGAACAAGGGGTCACCATGTTAGCCAGGATGGTCTTGATCTCTTGACCTCATGATCTACCCGCCTCTGCCTCCCAAAGTGCTGGGATTACAGGTGGGAGCCACTGGGCCCGGCCGCAGATACTTTTGTAAATGATTGCTTCCTTACCACTTCCTAGTTCATGTTTTCTTATACATAGTTACATTTCTTCTTTGCTATACTAAAAATCCCTAATTTTAGTTGGTCAGAGAGACGGATTTGAGACTGAGCTCCCATCTCCTCGGCTGCAGCATCTGATTAAAGCCTTCTTCCTTTGCAATACTCATCTCAGTGATTGGCTTTCTGTGGGTGAGCAGCGCAGGATCTAGGCTGAAGCCCTGAGCCTTCAGTGACAAAATCTGTTTTTCATAATGCGATCTGTCTTAATTGTCCTCAAGAATTAGTATTTGAGTGCTCTCTAGCTTCTCCTTTGTCACGCTTCCTTCCTTCCTTTCTTCCTTCCTTCTTTCCTTCTCTGTCCTTCGTTCTCTCCTTCTTTTTCTTTTTTTAAGACGGAGTCTTGCTCTGTCGCCCAGGCTGGAGTTTGGTGGCACGATATCAGCTCACTGCAACGTCCACCTCCCGGGTTCAAGCGATTCTCCTGTCTCAGCCTCTGGAGTAGCTGGGACTACAGGTGTGCGCCACCACGCCCAACTAATTTTTGTATTTTTAGTAGAGACAGGGTTTCACCATGTTGGCCAGGCTGGCCTCAAACTCCTGACCTCAAGTGATCTGCCCACCTCAACCTCCCAAAGTGCTGGGATTACAGATGTGAGCCACCGCGCCCAGCCGTCACTTTTCTTCAAACTCACTGGTGCTCGCGGGCTGAAGGGTCAGGACGGACTAGAGGCGAGCAATCCCGGTGGCACCAGGCATTCCCCGACCCGCCCGGGTCGCCAGCTGCACGGACCCTGGGCAAATGCGCGCAGCGGCTGCGGCACAGGGCGGGGAGCGGCTGCTCGGCCCCATCCTAAGGCAGCAGAATGCCCAAAGCTGGTCCCTGGCTCCGGGCGCAGGCCAAGTAGGAGCTGGGCGGGCAGCGGCGTTGGGCAGGCCCTTCCAGCCGGGCTGACAGGCCGCTCTGACCCAGCCATCAGACTCCGCTTGCGTCCTGGCAGCGCCGACCCTAGGGCAACTTCGCTGCAGTGGCCAAGCCGGGGGCGGAACTGGCCCATACCCCTGAACCGAGCAAGCCTAGGAGCAGGTGCACCGGCGGCGCTGTGAAGCAGCACTCATGACAGGCAGGCTGGGCGCCGCCACCCCCAAACCTCCGAGGGAGGACCAGCCGGCCCAGGTTGGCACTGGAGCTGCAGCACCACCTGCAGACCAAGGAGTCTTTTTCTGGGAGGCTGGAGCTGCAGATGCAGTGAAGGCACAGGTTCAGTGACGTCAAAGGTGCGCAGGCGCACTGGTGTGTAACGGATTGGCTTGGCCTTACCCGCGTGGCTTGGCCTTACCCGCGAGGCTTTGCGGTGGCTGCTTGGCGTGGCAGTGATCGCTTGGCTTGGCATTTCTGGCTTAGCGGTCCTCCTTTCGCAGATTGGAAACCGCGGGCTATCCTGCTGGGAGGTTGTGGCCGAGGCAGTAGCTCGCTACTGATGGCCTCCTGGGGTGGAGAAAAGCGGGGAGGGGCTGGGGGGTCTCCGAAGCCGGCAGTCTACGCCACGAGGAAGACCCCTAGTGTTGGGAGCCAGGAGGACCAGTGGTACTTGGACTACCCGGGGGACCAGTGGTCCTTGGGCTTCTCCTACAGCTGGTGGAAGAACAGCGTCGGCAGCGAGAGCAAGCACGGTGAGGGCGCCTTAGACCAGCTCCAGCACGATGTCCGCCTGGAAGATCTTGGCGAGCTCCACAGAGCTGCCCGGTCGGGCGACGTCCCTGGGGTGGAGCACGTCTTGGCTCCTGGAGACACTGGCGTGGACAAGAGGGATAGGAAGAAGAGGTAATGGCCAGGTGAAGGATGCGGGCGCGCCGTCCTGTCAGGGACACTGGCTTTCTGGTGCCCACAGGCCCCACGGCACCCGGGATGGGGAAACGTCAGAGGGGTCAGGGGCCCAGGCCTCTTAATGAGATGGGATCAAATATAAATGATTATTACTATTGCAAAAGTGTTCGTCTACTTTACAGGAGTTTTCTTTAAAAATATTGCACTTCCCAACTGTGTTTATCCATTTTCTCAATTTATTCATCAAACATAAGCTGAATACCTATTGTACAGCAGACATATTCTACTGTCGCTCAGGTTCCTTCCATCCTTAAGAACTTCATGTTGGCCGGGCTCGGTGGCTCATGCCTGTAATCCCAGCACTTTGGGAGGCCGAGGAGGGCAGATCACGAGGCCAGAAGTTCGAGACCAGCCTGACCAACATGGTGAAACCCCGCCTGTTACGCTTTTGTCTCAGCCTAGACTTAGCTAAGACCTTCATGATAAATTATCCTTTAGGCCCTCGGGGTTCAGTTCAAATAATGTTGCAGAAAGAGACGAGTTTCCTTTTTTCATTGCTACCAGATCTGTATGCTGAGGACCCTTTTCTTAGATCGTGGAATGTCCCATATTATCCTTTCCCAGATTTGTGGCAGGAAGCCCTCACCAGAATTCTGAGTCTCAAGTATGTTAGTTGGATTTAACAGAGCTAAGTCTCATCCATGACTCATGAATATCCATGTATAAAATGAGAGCTTTGGCAGGGTGCAGTGGCTCATGCCTGTAATCCCAGCAATTTGGGAGCCTAAGGTGGGCGGATCACGAGGTCAGGTGATTGAGAGCATCCTGGCTAACACGGTGAAACCCCGTCACTACTAAAAAATACAAAAAAAAATAGCCGGGCGTGGTGGTGGGCGCCTGTAGTCCCAGCTACTCAGGAGGCTAAGGCAGGAGAATGGCATGAACCCAGGAGGCGGAGCTTGCAGTGAGCCGAGATCACGCCACTGCACTCCAGCCTGGGTGACAGAGCAAGACTCAGTCTAAAACAAACAAAACTTGCTTCAGCAGCAAACATATACTAAAATTGGAACAAAATGGAGAGAAATTAGCATGGCCCCTGCCTGCATAAGGATGCACAGATTTTTGAAGTGGTCCATATTTTGCGCAGTCACTAGAAGTTCATTTGACTATTTGCTGACTAGTTCCAAAGACAGTGTGAGTCAAAGCAAACTGGGTATCACCTAATATTAAAATTGTGATTTTTCACTACAAAAATATGCAGTAAGGTGATCAATGGAGCTGAGTAACACGTGGGATGTTGTGTGCAAATATATTGTCAGTATGTATCTCAGAAATGAGAGAATGTCAACTTGCATGTCTTTCGTGGAACTGAAAAAAAAAAGTAGAATTTTGTTTTCCATGTCAGTTGGAGATGAACACGGGGATTGAGCATCCTTCTAACAAAGATCTGCCGATTCAGAGTTTGAGTCTGTATGGAACAGTAGTCCAAGCTAGGTCTTGACATCTATTAGCTTTCTCCCCTTGGCGTGATTGATGAGCTCAGTAATAGTGGACAGTGTTGTTATCTAGTTTGGTGAAATAATATATTTATAAGTAAATTTAGTTACAAACTATGAACTAGCTGTGATGCCCCAAATTATAAGCCACAAAGAATAGAACTAATAAAACTAGAACTTAATAACAGTTTTGGAAAACTGCAACATTTGAATATTAGAACCTCTGGAAAAAATAGACATTGGGTTTTATTTGTGATTCCAAAACCATTTCCGCAATAAACCTCAAGAACAAATTATTTCATTGCTTCACTGTTCCTCTGAGCATTTACAAAACGTTTTCTTGTTAAATCTTTAACAACCTAGTGAAATAAGGCAGTAAAATCCTTGCTTTTTAGAAGAATACATTGAGCCTAAGAGAAGCAACTTGTCAGAGAATAAATAGCTGCTGGTAATAGAGCTAGGATGCTTTCCATTATGCCAAGCTAATGTGAGTTAATTTACTGAGCTATACTCCCTTCAATTCATGAGTACTTCATCTTTTTTTCTTCTTCAGAAGCTTAAAGAGAAGTTGGTAGAACTCACAAATTGAAGTATATGGGATAATTAAAGTTCTGATATTAACTCTGATATTGTTTGAAATGCTCTAAAAATTTAATATATTTGGTATTTTTCATTTGTTTTAAAATAATTTCATTTATTACATTTTTATCCATAGCATTCAGCAACTAGTTCCTGAATATAAGGAAAAACAGACACCTGAAAGTCTTCCTCAAAATAACAATCCAGGTAAGACTTCTGATAGTGAATTATTTTTGGTGGTCCTACCATGGGTAAAAAAGAAGTAAGAGTAAGGAAGTTTTGATCATGAAAGAGCAGTTTTAAAAAATCTTTATTTCTTTCTTGATAGGTTAGATTTCTTGGTAGGTTAGATGTCACAATTATTTAAAAAGTTAATTGTAGGTCATTTATTTTTTCAAACAATCTGGTCTGAAAAAAAATTAATTATGGTCCCTAAAATTCTATGTGATATTTTTGTATAAATAAGAAAAAGATTTTTTTTTTTTTTTTTTTTTTTTTTTGAGACGGAGTCTCGCTGTCGCCCAGGCTGGAGTGCAGTGGCGCGATCTCGGCTCACTGCAGGCTCCACCCCCTGGGGTTCATGCCATTCTCGTCTCAGCCTGCAGAGGAGCTGGGACTACAGGCGCCCGCCACCCCACCCGGCTAATTTTTTGTATTTTTAGTAGAGATGGGGTTTCACCGTGTTAGTCAGGATGGTCTCGATCTCGTGATCCGTCCGCCTCGGCCTCCCAAAGTGCTGGGATTACAGGCGTGAGCCACTGCCCCCGGCCAAGAAAAAGATATTTTTGAGTTAGTAAGTTGTATGTTTTCTTTATAGTCACATTATAATGAATTAGACTTGTTATGAAATTGGAACTTCTATTTAATTTTTAAAATAAATGACTTATGTTTAGTAAATGAATATCAATCACAATTGACCCTTAACAATGTGGAATTTAGGGATGCTTGATTCCCTCTGCAGTCAAACATCTGTGTATAACTTTTGACTCCCCCAAGAACGTAACTACTAATAGCTAACTGTTGACCAGCAGCCTTATTGATAACATAAACAGTCAATTAAGATATGTTTGGTATGGTATATGTATTAATATGCTGTATTCTTACAATAAAGGAAGCTAGGAAAATAAACTGTTAAGAAAATCATAAGGCAGAAAAAATACACTTACTGTTCATTAAATGCAAGTAGATCATTATATAACTCTTCATCATAGTCTTCAAGTTGAGCAGGCTAAGGAGAAGGAGGAAGAGGAAGATTGGTCTTCGCTGTCTCAGGTGGTAGAGGTGGGAGAAAATCTGCTCATAAGTAGACCCCTGCAGTTCAAATCCGTGTTGTTCAAAGGCTAACTATATTACATAGTGATTTGTGTCACTGAAAAAAAGAAATTAGTTTCAAAACTGGAAACTCAGCAATACCTTTCTGGCACCATAAACAAATGGCAATAAGAACTGTGAAATGGCCAGGTGTGCTGCCCACACCTGTAGTCCCAGCAAGTTGGGAGGCCTAGGTGGGAGGATCGCTTCTGTCCAGAAGTTCCAGACCAGCCTGGGTGACATAGTGAGACCACATCTCTACAAAAACAAATACAAAATTAGCTGGGTGTTTTGGTGCACACCTGTAACCCCAGCTACTTGGGAGACTGAGATGGGAGGCTCGCTTGAGCCTGGGAGTCAAGGCTGTAGTGAGCTGTGATCATGATCACAACCTGGATGACAGAGTGAGACCCTGTCTCAGAAAAAAACAAAAACAAAAACACAAACAAAACCCTGCCAAACATACCCAATGTGCACTAATACTAATGGGAAATTATTTTTTAAAGATACCTTCTGAGTGCAGAAGTCAGAAAAGCAATTCCTTGTTGAGAAGAACAGGTCATGTTACATACTTATAAACCAACAAGGTGTCACTATTATTGACTTTCCCCCAATTTGAAATCGAATGAGGTATATTTACTTCATTAGAACAAGATGTGTTTTTCTACCTGCTGGTTAATTGCTGTTAACAGTAATTTTGTTAGAACAAGATATGCTGTTACCATTAGCCAAAAGATTATCATAATAAATATTCAAATAGCCCAACTCTAGGCTCAACAAATTATAATGAAAGTATAAAAATGTTTCACAATAACAAAAAATGCTTCTGTGCTTCCAAGATGTGATGCCTAATGCATTGGACAATCTGAACTGTAAGGGGACACCTTTAATTTAGTACATATTAATCAAAGAACTTCTGTAAGTTAGGTTTTGCACGTTATGGGAGACAAACATGAAATAGACATAGTTTTGGTCTTTGAGGTGCTCATAATAGAATAGAGCTTTATTTAATTTCTGTGTTTTTTTCAACAGAATTTTCAAGGAAATCATTTATTCATTTGTCCACTTCACAAATAATTATCAAATGTCTTTTAGTACTAAGCATTTTTTTTCTAATGTTACAGAATACAGACATTTAAAAATACTGTTGGGGCCAGCACAGTGGTGTATGCCTGTAATCTCACCACTTTGGGAGGCTGAGATGGGAGGATCACTTGAGCCCAGAAGTTCGAGACCAGCCCGGGCAACATGACAAGACCTCATCTCTACTAAATTTTTTAAAAAACAATAAAACATTAGCTGGGCATGGTGCCAGGTGCCTGTACTTCCAGCTACTTGGGAGGCTGAGGTGGGAAGATTGCTTGAGCCTGGGTGTTTGAGGCTACAGCGAGCTATGATCATGCCACTGCACTCGTGTCTGGGTAACAGAGTGAGACCCTGTCTCAAAAAAGAAAAAAAAAACCAACAAAACCCAGGAGCTTGTTATTATCATTGTCACTTTAATTATTTGATGAATTATTTATTCAGTGCCTACTACTGTGTTAGATGCCCTCTGGAACCGTATAGTGATCATTTACTATGTTAAATATGTGCCAGACACTTTATGTGGTGAGGAATGAAAGCTGTAAAAAAGTGGGTAAGATTTAAGGTAACCATGCAGTGAGTAGAACTTTTCCAGGTAAAGAGGCAGAAGGATGATGTGGGCAGAAGATTGTGTGTTTGGCAGAAGGAGCAACAAGTGTGAAAGTAAGATGCTTGAGTGAAATTTGCAGGGTTTATGAGCAGTTCAGTTTTGCTAGTGCAAAACATATGAGATGCGAATGTTGGGAATGAAGTGAATACCTAAGGCAAGCTTATGACAGACTTTGTTTTTTGAGACAAAGTCTCACTCTGTCACCCAAGCTGGAGTGCAGTGGCATTCTCTGGGCTCACTGCAACCTCCACCTCCTGGGTTCAAGTGATTCTCATGCCTCAGCCTCCCAAGTAGCTGGGATTATAGGCATGAGCCACCATTCCCAGCTAATTTTTGTATTTTTAGTAGACACAGGGTTTCAGCATGTTTGACAGGTTGGTCTCAAACTCCTGACCTGAAGTGATCCACACGCCTCAGCCTCCCAAGTGCTGGGATTACAGGTGTGAGCCACCAGTCCCTGCCCAGACTTTTTAATACTATAGAAATGAGTAGATCTCAGGCTAGGTGCGGTGGGTCATGCCTGTAATCCCAGCACTTTGGGAGGCCAAGGCGGGTGGATCATGAGGTCAGGAGATCAAGACCATCCTGGCCAACATGGTGAGACCCATCTCTACTAAAAATAAAAAAACTAAAAAAATAAAAAATAATTAGCCGTGCGTGGTGGCATATGCCTGTAGTCCCAGCTACTCGAGAGGTTGAGGCAGGAGAATCGCTTGAACCTGGGAGACGGAGGCTGCAGTGAGCCGAGATTGCACCACTGCACTCCAGCCTGGGTGACAGAGCAAGACTATGTCTCCAAAAAAAAAAAAAAAAAAAAAGAAACTAGATCTTTTCCTGTAGGCCATGGGAAATTTACCAGGTGGAATGCTTTGGGCTGAAAATGCTAGATGACCTAATTAACAGTGGCTAAAACAGTAGGGACCAGAGTTATTTTGACCGTTCAGTGATATCAGTGTTTTGTTCATGTCAGTTTTCATGGCTAATTAGCAACGGCTCCAAACATCATGGTCTCACCGACAATATCTGAAGGCTGAAAGGGTGGCTTTTCTTTACATGTTTCTTTTAGTTAGGGAGAAGACTCGGAAACGTGCAGTTGACTTCCTGTAACATTTTATTGGCTGGGTCCTACCACATGCTCATTCCTAAACCAGGCACTGGGGAAGCAAATGTAATTACTATGATGAGCTTAGGATAATCATTTCTTCTTTTGGGTTGGTAGGGATATTGGCATGGCAAATATCCAAATAGACATGTGTTCCTCCAGCAAGACAGAGCAGGGACTCACTATTGGGTAGGGAGACAGCAATGTTTACTGTAGGGATTCATTGGAGTGGGGAGTCACATGATTAGATTTGAGTATTAGGGCATTCTGGTTATGGTATAAAGCAGGGATTGGCAAGCATTTTCTGTACAGGGCTTTTTCATGTGGTATGTCATTCCTACTCAACCCTGCCATTGAAGTATGAAAACAGTCATAGATAAGAGGTAAGCAAATACGCATGACTGAGCTCCAATAAAACTTTACTTACAAAACTATAAGGCTGATTGGATTTGCCCCACAGTCTATAGTTTGCTGACCCCTGATATGGAGGGTAGCTGGAAGATAACCACATAAAGAGACAGGGAAACAAAGGAAACATTTGCAGTTATCAGAGCTATAGTTTCCTTGTGCTGTCCTCAGACTAGTGTCAGTCTGTTGTGAGGTTTTCACCCATCCATGGTGAAATCAATAAGGTTAAGGAGCTCAGTTATTCCTTTAAAAATGTTGGTCTTTTTCTTGGCATGATGCCTTTTTCATTTATTTTACTTAAGCTTTTTTTTTTTTAAGAAATAACATTAATAGTTGTTTTTTCCCTATAAAAGCCACTACTTAAGAGCCCATGTTTAACTAGGAAATATAAACATAAAATAAATGTGTCACAGTGGAAATATAAAGCAGATGCAGAAAAGAGGTACAGTTAATATGATTTAGTGACTGTTGAATGTAAAAAGATAGGGGATAGGGAGAAATCTCAGATGATTCTCAGGTTTCTGGCTTGTGCCCTAGCATTTAACCTGGACACGAGGGAGTAGGCAGTTTTCAGGTGTATAGAGGAGAGCGTGGGTCAGCAGCCACGACTAACAGTTTTCTCTGCATTGCTGAGTTTACTGAAATGTCCATGTGGGATATTTTCAGTAGGTAATTGCATAAAATTTTTATGGTTGGAGATGGAACTCGGAGGTTGGAGTTGCAGACTTGGAATAACGGAGGCAAAGTTGTAGATCTGAGTGAGCTTATCCATGATGGGAAAGGTATAGAATGAGCAGAGGGCCAGTGACAGAACCCTGGGAATATCAGCATTTCCCAGAGGAGTTAGGAAAGAAGCCTGAGCAGTGGCTTAAGTAAAAGGAGAGGAATCATAAAGTGATGCTGCAAAAATTTATGAAGGTGAGAATTTCAGGGAGGGAGTATCAATTCTAACCAGTAAGATTACTGAAAAGTGAGTTAACTTTTTAAAAGCTCTCGGTGGCACTCTCTTCTAAAGAACAATCATAGAGTTGTGGGGTTCGCTGTTTATGTGATCAGTACTTCCGGTGTTCAAATGTGGAAGAATACACCTACCAAGATCCTGTCTAACTTTTGTAACTGCAGCAGCTCCCTATACAGGATCAGGGAAAATGGTCAAGACGTTGAGTTAATGTACCACCATTTTCCTAGAATTGTCTAAACCTAAGGTCATTTGTGAGGAGAAGTGTCTTTCTTACCTGCTTTTTTGTGGAAATGCTTGTTTTGTACTCAAGTCCTTGATAAGCTCTTCTGAATGCATTCCCAAACAAACATCTGACAGCAACAACTGGAAGCCACTACCAGATGCACGTATATATCCTTCCTCTGACATGGAATCGTAATACAGCCATGTTGTGACACAATTTCAGGTTTCGATTAGAAATAGTTTACAGTCCAGCAGTTTCGACAAACTGACATTGTAAAAATATTTTATTGCAGGAAACTAATACAATGTCCTGGAGAAGAATATAAAGTGAAATGCTGAATATAGTAGTTCTCAGTACTTGGGGAATACTGGTCACATCAGTAGAAAAATCAGTGCCTGACTCTTTTTATTAGTGCAGTTCCCTTTTCATTTTATCCCCTTGTCGTATTTCTGCTCTTACTGCTTCCTTTTGCATTTCATCCCTAAAGAAAATACTATTAGAACACATTTCAAATGCACTTCTTTATATCTGCACCACAATGATACAACGATGATGGTCTGCCAAGATTTTAAGTGTCTTCTGGGTTATCAAATACAAATTGTTTTATCTGACATAGTTTAAATGTGAAGTGCTTTTCTGGTATTATATTTCTTCAGAAATTGGTAATCTGTGATTTAACTAGAATATATGGTCAATTGGATTACCACAATTTTAACCATCTATATATAAGATAGACTCTTCTCCCTGCCAGATAAGTTAAAACTCCTATTGATCCTTACTGATCATTTCCACTATTTGCAGGAGTTTTTTTTTTTTTTGGACTTTTTTTTGAACAGGTGTGATTATAGCACACTGCAGCTTTAGTTCCTAGCCTCAAGCAATCGTTCTGCCTCAGCCTCCTGAGTAGGTGGAACAACAGATGTGTGCTACTGAATTGTTGGCCTGCTGCACAATTATAATAAAAATGAATTAAACTCTACCGAGTGGGAGAAAACTGTGATCTTTTAATTTTTTGTTCCAGAAACTTTTATACTGTAGAACGTATTGTCAATCAAGATTTTCTATTTTTTAATTGGGTTAAAATAGGATTGTTGATTTTTAAAATTACTTTCTGACATCATTGTTTCATGCATTTTTAATGCTGTTAGTCCAGTGGATATAGAAGTACAGGAATCTCCAAGGCAAACATCAAAAACTAAATAATAAGCAGATTAGGGAAAGGTATTCTGTGAAATAACCTTCTGATTGTAGTCACATATAACACATCAACTTAAACAATAAAAAAAATTGTATAATGCAATTGTATCAGGGGTTCCCAAGACCATCCTAGGTTTGGTAATTCACTGAGAAGGACTCACAGGACTCAGCAGTCAGTCATACTCGGGGCTTTCATTTATTATATTTAATACAGTGAAAAGACACAAAGTAAAATTCAAGAAGGGAAAAGGTGCATGTGTCAAAGTCTGGAGGAAGCCAGGCACAAGCTACAGGAGTCATCTCCTGTGTAGTTAGCAGGATGCGCTTAATTCCCCCAGCCTCAAATTTTGACGACACATGTGCAATGTTGTCTACCTTACCAGAGTTTCATTAGAGACTTAGCATCCATGTTTTCAACGGAGGCTAGTCACATAGGCCACCTCTTCTCTCCCTCACATGTAACAAAATTCTAGACTCCCAGGAAGAGATTAACTGTTCATAGTAAACCACATTTGCACAAACAATTTAGGCACAGTGAGCCATTCCCTTCTTCTAAGTTAGGGAATGGTGGGAACCCTCTCAAATTCAAGGTCCCAAACACCAGCCAAGGACTAGCCTTGCAAGCAAGCCTTTCTAAGGATGGATGTCTTGTGCCTGCTATATGAAATCTTTGCTGCCCAGCAGCTATGGCCCTGACTAAATTTTTGATGTTATCTTAAAATTTTATGTAATATAATAGCAAATATTATGATAGACCATAACATGGTATTTGTTTCAGTTGCATCATTCATGTTAAGCAGCAAGGCTGCTTACAGTTTTGACATTTGGTGAATACTTAACAGGTATTTATGCATAAGTTACTATGGCAATATTAAGTAATTATAATCTGTCCTTCTTACCTGATTAACTTTTCAGTAAAATTGTGGGATAAAATAGGCATAATAATTTCTGATTTAAAATTAGAATAAAAATTGTCTTTCATTTTATTTACATGGATGGACCATTTTTGATTCATATTGTATTAAGTCCCTGTTTATAATTATGAAATAAGATTAGATATTCAATTATTTTTATCAATTTTTTTTGCCTAAATATGCAATTAAAATTAATTGCTTTATGTGTTTTTATATGCTTCAATTTGGGAGATAGTACTCATATTCTGTTACCTTGATCTTTAGTGATTTGCAGTTTTCAAGGTGACTCTGTCTTTTTATAGTTTAGGGTAATAGCAAGTTCAGTGAGTAATTTTTTAAAATTAGTAACATTATTTTCCGAGCAGTCTTAGATTCACAGCAAAACTGAGAAGGTACAGAGACTTTCCATATTCCCCATGACCCCTGACATATGAATAGCCTCCCTCATTATCAGTACCCCCCATCAGAGTTCATCAGTTACAGTTGAGGAATCTACCTTGACAGACACATCACTCCCAAGGTCCACAGTTTACATTAGGGTTCACTCTTGGTGTAGTATACTCCATGATATTGGACAAATGTGTAATGGCATGTATATACCCTTGTAGTATCATAGACAAAATAGTTTCACTGCCCTAAATATCCTCTGTCCTCTGCCATTTTGTTTCTTCTTCTCCACTGGCTTCTGGCAACCATTGTTCTTTTTGGCGTCTCCATAGTTTTGCTTTTTCCAGACTAGTCATATAGTTGGAATAAAACAGTGGATATCTTTTTGAATATTTAAACAACAAATTTCCATAGTAATTGGATTCTGTCATTTTAGATGTTCTTTGTCCTTGCCTTTGTTTTTCTCGTGTTTTGTTCATCAGAATAGGATCTGATGACATATGACTTGACGTGCTGAGAAAGTGTGATTTCTGTAGACATTTGCCATGTAACGGGGAGGGTGGGGAAAAATGGCACCATGCAGTATTCCACAGCACTAACTGGACCATCGTGCTCTAGGAGATGGGTCCAGATAGACTTTAGCGATGGGACAGGATAATCTCAAGAGCTGGTCTTTATAAAACTGGAATCACAAAGTCTTGCGTACTTACCTTGCACTTAAAAAGAAGATCAGGCAGTGAATATTACAGGTGAATAAATATGTTCCTCACTGGTTCTCTTCTTTATAGGGATGAGCTTGAAAACAGTCTATATTATTATAACATGGCTCATCTGTAACTAGATGCTCTGTCATAAGAAATACCAGTGTTTTGCTTTACAAGAAGTGAAAAATAATTTTGTTTTCACCGGAGACAGTTAACAACTGTTGGCACATTCTGGCAGCTTGATTGATAGTTCTGTTCATATATATTTTTCATATCAGGTAGTTTTTCATATTTATTTTTCATACACCGTGGCAGTGTTTCTTCTTAAGCTTCTCACTGAATGAATGGTGTGGCTCAGAATGAATAAGCTCTTTATGGGAGTGATCTTTCCAGTGGTTCTGTCCATAGGAGGTAAAATGGGAGGTGAATTTGAGCCTTGTTTGTGCTAGGGAAAATAGCTAGAACTCAGTAAACATTGCCAGCATCTGCCCTAGAAGATGATTAGTGAGAGTGAGTACATTGATCTCCCTTGAGCTCTTCTCCACTGGCAGCTCAAAAGTCTTTGCAAAGATCCTTGTCCCTGGTCTCTTCCCTATGTTTTGCCATATAACACAGCACAGCACCCATAGACCTACACAACAAAATGTACAGTTTTCCCCCCTTATCCATGGGGATATATTCCAAGACCCCCAGTGAATGCCTGGAACTGTGGATAGTACTGAACCCTAGATATGCAGTGTCAGGATAGAAGGAAAAGGATAAGAGTAAAAGGGAGAATAAACAATGTGGAAGGCAGAGAGTACAGGGAGTAAATGAAGGGAAAAGAAGCAGTTGGATATGATGGAGGGTGGTAAAATGAGATAATACTTCAGAAAAAGGAAGAGTGGGTATTAGGAAGGTGGAAATAATATAAGACAAACTTTACTTGCCAACATGTGAGTTGTGCTTTAAGTTTAATTGTTTCATCATAGTGTGGCTATACTGATGATTTAAAGCCAGTCAGATATTCTGGTTAGCAGATCATGTGTGTGTGTATTGTGGGGGTATCTTTGATTATCAAAAATGAGGAAAGCAATTAATCACTCCTTAATAACTGTATGGTGGACACAGTCTTTTAAAACACTGATTCTGAAACTTTTTGGCCTGGGGCTCCTTTTATATGATTAAATATTATTGCCTAGAGGTAACCAATACCCTGAATTAAGCATTTATCATGTCCATTCCCTTATAAAACATTTTATTACATATGTGTATGGTCATAAATAATAAGTATAATTTGTTTTCATGTCCTAAAAGTGTATATAAATTGTTGTACACTCTACATATTTTGCAACTTTCTTTTGTCTGGACACACATTTTTGAGATCAGTCCTTATTGACACAGGAAGCTCTAGTTTTCTATCAAATGACTGGATCTCAGTTAAACTGTCTTCATAATGATAAATAAATAAATAAAATAAAAATGATTGCAGATTCCAAAGAGCTTTTGTTTAAGTCAGTTGTATCTATTGATATTTACTATTTTTTTTATTATACTTTAAGTTCTAGGATACATGTGCACAATGTGCAGGTTTGTTACATATGTATACATGTGCCATGTTGGTGTGCTGCACCCATTAACTCCTCATTTACATTAGGTATATCTCCTAATGTTATCCCTCCCCCCTCCCCCCACCCCATGACAGGCCCCAGTGTGATGTTTCCCTTTCCTGTGTTCAAGTGTTCTCATTGTTCAATTCCCACCTATGAGTGAGAACATGCAGTGTTTGATTTTTTGTCCCTGCCATAGTTTGCTGAGAATGATGGTTTCCAGCTTCATCCATGTCCCTACAAAGGACATGAACTTATCCTTTTTATGGCTGCATAGTATTCCATGGTGTATATGTGCCACATTTTCTTAATCCATTCTATCATTGTTGGACATTTGGGTTGGTTCCAAGTCTTTGCTATTGTGAATAGTGCCACAATAAACATACGTGTGCATGTGTCTTTATAGTAGCATGATTTATAATCCTTTGGGTGTATACCCACTAATGGGATTGCTGGGTCAAATGGTATTTCTAGTTCTAGATCCTTGAGGAATCGCCACACTTTCTTCCACCATGGTTGACCCAGTTTACAGTCCCACCAACAGCATTAAAGTGTTCCTATTTCTCAACATCCTCTCCAGCACCTGCTGTTTCCTGACTTTTTAATGATCACCATTCTAACTGGTGTGAGATGGTATCTCACTGTGGTTTTGATTTGCATTTCTCTGATGGCCAGTGATGATGAGCATTTTTTCATGTGTCTGTTGGCTGCATAAATGTCTTCTTTTGAGAAGTGTCTGTTCATATCCTTTGCCCACTTTTTGATGGTTTTTTTTTTTTCTTGTAAATTTGTTTGAGTTCTTTGTAGGTTCTGGATATTAGCCCTTTGTCAGATGAGTAGATTGCAAAAATTTTCTCCCATTCTGTAGGTTGCCTGTTCACTCTGATGGTAGTTTCTTTTGCTGTGCAGAAGCTTTTTAGTTTAATTAGATCCCATTTGTCAATTTTGGCTTTTGTAGCCATTGCTTTTTGTGTTTTAGACATGAAGTCCTTGCCCATGCCTATGCCTTGAATGGTATTGCCTAGGTTTTCTTCTAGGGTTTTTATGGCTTTAGGTCTAACATGTAAGTCTTTAATCCATCTTGAATTAATTTTTGTCTAAGGTGTAAGGAAGGGATCCAGTTTCAGCTTTCTACATGTGACTAACCAGTTTTCCCAGCACCATTTATTAAATAGGGAATCCTTTCCCCATTTCTTGTTTTTGTCAGGTTTGTCAAAGATCAGATGGGTTGTAGATATGTGGTATTATTTCTGAGGGCTCTGTTCTGTTCCACTGGTCTGTATCTCTGTTTTGGTACCAGCACCCTGCTGTTTTGCTTACTGTAGCCTTGTAGTATAGTTTGAAGTCAGGTAGCATGATGCCTCCAGCTTTGTTCTTTTGGCTTAGGATTGTCTTGGCAATGCAGGCTTTGTTAATGTTAATAAGGAAATTAAGTTAATAAGGAGATTTAATGAGTGATTAGTGGACAATTATCTTAGTTCTTTTCACAAAATTAGAAGACTTAATTTTTAAAACAAATTCAAAATCTTTTTTATATTTTAATATCTTATCCACAGCTTGGATATGAAAACTTATTTTTTATATTTATACACTCTAGTTTTGAGTTACCTTTGTACCATAATCTATTATGGACAAAAAATAAAAATACTTATAGAATACAAAATTTGAGAAAGAATGAAACATAATCCTTACCCCTTCACCCTTTCTGAAAAAAATTATAATAGCAAGAATGATTATAAAAATGCGTATGTAGCAAAAGAACTATTTTCAAATCCTGATTCTATTGCTGATAATAAGGATATGGCATCTCTTTGAAAAGAAGATAACTGTGGCATTTTAAAAATATAGCTACGAATACTTTGAATGTCCTCACATCAAAGGGTAGACATCATGTTTCTTCCCCCTGAAGTCAGACAGGCTGTGATTGCTTAAACCAACTCAGCGTTAAAGTAATTCTATGTGACTTCTGAGGCAAGATTATTAAAGGCAATACAATGACCCATTAACTGAAACACTCAGGCAAGCTACCTGTATGATTCCATGCTGTGAGGAAGCTCAAGTTACATGAAGAAGCAATATTCAGACACTCTGGTTAAGAGATTATTTTGAGCCCAGCCTTTAAGTCATACCAATGCAGGAGCCAAACATGTAAAGAAGCTTTTAGAAGATTTCATTGTCCAACGTTTAATTCATTCCTAGACATCTAGGACTTCTCAGAGGCCCCAAATACTGTATACCACAGAAATGTCACCCCACTTTGCATTTTCAACCCCGACCCCAGAATATTTGAGGATGACAAAATGGTTATTGCATCATGCCACTGAATTTGAGTAGTTTGTTTTGCAGAAATAACTAGCAGAGGCAATCACAAATAGAAATGCTTTCTTTCTCCACAGTTTGGCATACCATCACAAAAAGGAAAGAACAGAAAATGTGGCATAGCACAAACCTGAGTCTTCCATTTGATAGCTGTAAATTTTGGCAATTGGTATTTAAATCTTGGATGATATTCTCATATTCTGGGCATTTATGAAAGGTTAAATTAGATAGCATAATTAAAGTATCAGACAACTGTGATTTCAACAAAAAATGCATAGTTATTTTATCCCTCCCCTTATTATTAAATTTTAATAGGTCTTTTTATGGGTGAAACATTATTGCTAGAAAAGAATTTCAAACTATATAAATGAGAAAAAAATAATGTTTGGCTTTTTTGAAATTAAGGAAAATTTAATAGTGCAAGAGGTATTGGTAATGTAGTCTATAGACATAAACATTTCATTCATTTTAATAAATACATGACTGTCTCACAGAAAGAATGTTACAAAGTTTGAGATACACAGGTAAATAAGAGTTGAATTTCCAGTCCTCATGGAATTTACAATCTAGCAGGTAAATAAATGGGAACCACAAACAATTTTTAGCCCGATGAGTTTTTAATATAGAGAAGACCACAATACTATGGGAATACAGAGCAGCAAAATTTGCCCTTGTCTCCTCGAAAATAAACCATTAAACTCATTCAAAATAATAGTAGCTAGTAAATATTAGAGAAGTATGCCTTGAAGAAGCAATAGACATAAAAGCTGTGAGAAGAAAGAATGCAGAACGTCTTAGCGAAATCGAGAGACAACTAGTGTGTTTGGGTCACAGACACCAGTAACGGCACGTGACTGGAGAGAGGTCAGGGCTATACGAAAAGGACCTTTAGTAGATTACAGAATTTCTCTTAAAGGCAATAGTATATTATTCAAAGGGGTTAAGCAAATGATTTCAGGTATCTGTTTTAAAATGTCAGCTAAAGAATGCACAATCTATATGACTTTCCAGAGTAAAACTCTTAGGGATTTTCATACTTTTTTTTCCCCTTTTGATGCTCATGACATACCCTCACATTCAAAAAAGGTTTGGGCATTATTCTATATTTATACAATGGACATAAGAATACTTGATTTATGATTTGTACTGTCATACCCTGATTTAGGAATCAAAAATATAAAGCCTTTTTATCACATACATGATTCAACTGGCAAAACTATTTAAATTTATCACTATGTTGTTTCAGGATTTTTTAAAAAAAATCCTACAAAATGAGTTTACACTCTAAACTGTATCCCAAGTATAGCAGGAAATTTCATAAAAATATATTAAAGAGGATTGGTTAAGTTGTGAAAAACTAGCATGTAGCTTTATATAATTACTAAACTGAAGAACAAAATATTAAATTATATTATGATAAACCTCTCATTATTTTGTCATAGTATCAAATGTCTATATGTACTTGCTTCACATTTAACTATTGACACTTGTAGTTTGAAAGCCTCTTAGTCTTTCATGCTGTCTAATGGATGTTTGCTTAATAGGCCTTGATACTATTGTAGGCTTGAATTTATACAAATCTTACCTCCAGAACACACAATATAATCACTAGCTATCCTATACAGAGGGTCCAGATATTCTACCTGTGTCTCTCTGGAATCAGTCATGTAACTTTTTTCTACTACTAGTATACTCTCCTCATGAGAAAACAAATAAAAAACAAAAAAAAGTCAATTTCCTCTTCACACTCTTGCTTCTGCTCCCTGTCTCGTGAATCCAATTTGCTGGTTCTTTGCTCATGGAAATGTTGCTTGGATCCAGAATGTGACTTTGCTTTCTGTGGTGCTGGCTCTTCTGCTAGCTTCTTTCCTTTTATCCTTTCATTGAAAATTATTCTAACATATTTTATTTTCAGCATATTTTCTACCAACATTCATCAGAATTAGTAAGGAATCTCTGATTAAAGTTAAGCATTATGGCTATGTAAGTTAAATGAAAGCATATTCAACATGTATAAATATTGGCATACAGCATAGGATCCAAGGACATAGTCTTACAAGATAATTAAAACACTTAACTTTGATATGTGAGAGCTTGTTTTGAAAATGAAACTCTACACCCACACACAAACGTAACGTTTACCAGAAAATTTTCAAGTTACTTTTTTCAAAGGAATGTCACCTACTATGATCACAAAAGTTGGATGTCAGGAGTAATTACTTATCTCATACTTTTAGCCACAATGCTTAGACAGTAGGAATTAAAGTTTTAAATTGGGACATAAATCTGGAAAAAAAGTTAAATTGGCTCTGTGGGATCTTATGTATAACTAAGAATGCTTATATTTTTCATCAAACTATTCTCTTTTAAAGGTTTGCTTTATAGCCAATTAATTTTGCTGTATTCCGAGTCATGTATTTAATAATGAGAAAGAAACATGTTTTCTATGTTGTTTTAGAAGAGATGGAAAAGCACTTCATAATTTTGTCAGAAAAAATATGTATCAAAGTAATTTTTCACTTTGTTACAAATTCGAGTGTGTCAACATCTACTCTATATATTAAAGTCTATTCAACACATGCATAAATAATGGAATTAATAATATAAAATATAAATGTGCAAGTAAGTTGACAAATTGTTGAAAGTTATTTGCTAGAACATGAAAGTCAAATAACAACAGTTGGGGAATACCAAAATATCATGTGCTTTTTTATCTGTCTAGGGAGATTGATTACTTAATCCACTTCTTTTTAAAGCTTCATGAGCACTCAAATATATTGTAACTTTCTGAATGAAAAGATAATATACAATGAATGTGAGGGTTTCATGTTGATCTTCCTATTGTCTTTTAACAACAAAACAACCTTTCAAACATAACAATATAAAACAAAAATTATTTGAGTATCTAGCAAACTTCTCTTGGAGAAAGAAATATACTGAGACCCAATTTGCTGTAGAGAGTGAGATTCCAAAGCATATTTTAGAAGAAGAGAAATTAAAGAAAACCTTAATTTCCTTGCCTAAGAAATAAATGTAGAAGTTCCACCTCTAGAATGGCAATGTGAAGAGCTCCATGGATCTTTTATAAAATTGTTGAAAATTATAAAACAACCATCACCTATGTCACTTGAAAAGTCATAATGGTACATAGAAAATGATGAACTATTTATTCAAGAAAATCTACTGAAACTCACTAAGAACAGTAAGAGTTTTTTGCATTTGATCCACAACCCATTCTTACCTCTTTTTCTCATAGCCTATCTTGACATAAACTCTACTCAATGCAATGTAGCCAAGAACACAGAACTTTTACTAGACCCCACTGGGGGGCTATAGTATCTTTCTGGGAGTAACAGTACATCCGAACTTTTCATTTCAACCCCCACCTGCTGCCACTACCTGTTCTTGAGATTAAGCTTTTGTGGAATGTGGCCAAGAAGTAGGATGTCACTTCTTCCTACCAGCTCTAATTCATGGAATGGGGACTGTTTGGGTGCAACACACTGAGAACACTGAGCCCTGATCGCCTTCTTTCTGGTTTGTCTGTAAGGCAAAGTTCTCATTCCAGGAGTGGCAAAGCTGAGATTACCAACGGCTACTTCCCATCCCAGTGACAGTCTCAAAGTAGGGCTGTCACTCCGAGAGGAGAATGCTGCTCTCTTTGCTACAATCACCAGAGCCAAAGCTCAGAAGTTTTGCCCAAAGGAAGGGGCAGAACATAGAGCAGAGAGTGTAAAGCTTTTCCCAAAAGAAGAGTTTGGGGAAATTCAACCATAAGCGTACTTTGAAAAACAATGAAGTGATGGTAAAAAGCAAATAAGAGAGACTGGCACTTTATTAGAGACATATGCTTTGAAACAAAGGTCAGCTAGTTTACCAGGAATAACCCAGGAAAAAGACAGCTAAGAAGAGCCCTTCTGGTGTCAGGAAGAAGTTTCAAATGCTGAACAAATGAAAAGACCTGAAATAATAAATAAGACTGCTAATGTAACAAAAGCCGTAAATACATAGTACGTTTCTTTTTATCTTTTTAAGACATAAAATTATGTCAAGTATGTTAGTCTGTTCATGCTGATACATATATATACCAGAGACTGAGAAATTTGTAAAGAAGAAATTTATTTCTCATAGTTCTGCAGGCTGGAAGTTTAAGATCAATTTGCTGGCAGGTTTGGTGTCTAGTGAGGTGCCTTGAATACTGCATCCTCCAGAGGGGACGAATGCTGTATTTTCATACGGTGAAAAGGATGAAAAGGCAAAGGGTCCTAATTCCCTCCAGCCCTTCTATAAGACACTCATACCATCCATGAGGACAGACCCCAATAGCCTAATCATATCCTCAAGGTTCCAGCTCTTAATGCTGTCACATTGAAATTGTTTCAAAATGAACTTTGGAGAGGACAAAACAACAAACCATATCATCAAGTAACAGTTATAACAATAAATTATTGGGTATATAGCATATATAGATGTAATGTGTACAGCAATAGCACAAAAAGGAGAGCCAAAGTACACAAAAGTGAACAAAAGTAAAATTTATATATACATATATGCCACTAGAATTGTTATGCACCTAAAATTGATTGTGATGTCTACAGTAAACCCTAAAGTAACAATGAAGGGAAACATTGAAAAAATATAGATATTATTAAATATAGATTAAATGTTTTATAAAAAATACCTAATACAAAAGAAAGGAGGAGGAATAGAGAAATGAAAAGACATAAGGTATACAGAAAACTGAAGTAAAATGGATGTAAATCTATACTAGTAACCTCAAGTGAAAATGAATTTAAATATTCAAATAAAAGACAGATTGTCAGACTGGAGAAAAACAAATTAAATAAATAAGATCCATCTACATGTTGTCTGCAGGAGACATACTTCAGATCCAAACATGAAAATTAATAGGAAAAAAAGGATGGAAAAGTTATATGATGCAGGCAGTAACCACAAGAAAGCAGGAATTGTTATATTAATATCAGAAAAAAAATAGACTTTAAAACAAAAGGGGTTACAGAGGTAAAGAGAGCTTTCATAAAAATAAAAGGGCCAATATCTCAAAAATAAATAACAATTACAGGCATATATATGTGTGTGATAAAAAACTTCAAAATCTATTGACACAGAAACCTCCAAAAATGAAGATTAGACAATTTAACATACTTCTTGCAGCCTTTAATACTCACTTTCACAAATGGATAAAATGACTAGGCAGAAGATCAACAAAGAAATAGAACACTTGAACAATACTACAAAATAACTAGACTGATTAGATATTTAAGGAACACTTTAACAACAGTAGATTCTCAAGTGCACATGCAATATTACCCAGGAATACCATACCCCAGGCCATAAAACAGACCTCAATGAATTTAAACATTGGAATAATACAAAGTATATTTTCAGACAATAACTGAGTAAAATAATAAATCAGCAATAGGAAAATTTGGGAAACTCAGAATTATGTGGAAATTAAACATGCTATTAAATAACCAATGGGTCCAAGAAGAAATAAGATAAATTAGAAAATACTTTAAAAAAAATAAAACACTTTAAGAATGCATAATATCTCTTACGTGATGCAATAAAAGTAGTTCTCATACTCAAAAATAACATTCTCTAACCTGCCACCATAAGGCACTGAAAAAAGAAGAGCAAATTAAAACTACAGCAACCACAAGGAAGTATTAGGGATATACAAATTAGTGAAATACAAAATAGAAAAACAATTGAGAACCTCAACAAAGCCAAAAATTGTTTCTTTGAACACATCAAAAGTGGCCACAATTTACATAAACTGACCAACAAGAGAAACTATTCAAGTATCAATGAAATTTTTAAAAGAACACTAAAAGACATAAAAAATTATTACAAAAGTACCTATGAACAATTATATCTAAAATTTAGATTTTTTAAAGAACAGGACAAATTCTAAGATTCAAATTAGCAAAAATGAATCAAGGAGAAATATAAAATCTTATCAAGTAAAGAGATTTAGTAATCAAAACTACCACCTCAGGAAACAATGACAACAGCAACAAATCTTCTAGCCAAGAATGCCTCTACCAAACTTTCAAAGTTGAATTAATACAATTATTTACAAACTCTTGCCAAAAAAAAAGAGAATACGCTTCCCAGTTTATTCTATGAAGCTAGTATTACCCTAATAACAAAACCATACAATAGCATCAAAAAAAAAAAAAGAAAACAAAAACACAGAACAATATCTTTAACAAAAATAGATGGAAAAAATCCTCAGCAAAATGCTAACGATCAAAATCCAGCAATACATAAAACATGTAATATACTATAACCAGGCAGGACTTAGGAATGCAAGAAAAATCTAAAATAAATGCATCATTACATTAACTAGAGTCAATTATATTGAGTTTCATTTTCCCTATTGATTACCTACTAAGTTGCTTCCAGTTTTACAGTATTTCATACTGCCATTCCTGGACTCATATCTGGACTGTTTCACGGTATTGACTTTAGAGAATATAGAGGGATAATCTTGGAAATAGAGAAACAATATTGTTCATTGATTTTAAAATTATATATATATACAAATAGTCAAAAAGTCGTTTTAGCCTAAATGAATTCCATGTCAATGAAAATGAAATAACGAAATGATACCATCAATCAAAAAGATGAGAAAATGGAGGAAATGAATATTGGAAAATAGAGTTACTGACTTAATTGTTGGATTTCTAGTGAAGCAGGTAAACAAATTCTTTTCTGTAGTTATCCTATCTAGGGCCACATGTCTTTAACCTGGCACTAACAAAGTACTAAAACCATATAACAAAACATTCTTTTATACATTTGGGTCCTCATGTAACTTTATCTAGAAAGAACACTTTTGTTAATTTAAAAGGAATATTTCAGTTCCTACAGCATTTCTTTGCATTAACTGGTTTAAACACCAATCTCCGTTAGTTAGTTAGTATACCCCTAGCAAAAACTGGATTAATAATCAGGTATCTGGGCAGGAAATGCTGTGCCCCGGGGTCTACTAGCAGTGAGTAAGGAAATGATTCTTTGTGTCTTTCTGTAGTAAGGCATTCATAGCTTCTGTTTTACAAAGCATAATTATAGCTACCAATATTTTGGATCCATAGATCTTCAGTAAAAGGCTATATTTGTGTGCAGAACATTTGATATAAAAAGTTAAGGCTTCCAGTCTTATTTGTGTTGTAAGTTTTCTAATTATATAGTATTGTATTTTCAGATGAGTACACACAATGAAAACAAAATTACCATTCACAGTTTGCCTTCTTTCCATCAAATTGGTCTCGTCATATAAACGTAGTTTATTTTAGAGATGCAGTGTTCCTTTGTATTCATAGCATCATCACTCAAGATGGTAATTATTATGGTGAACATCTGGGTCATTACGCTGGCTTATCCTTTAACAGATTGCTATGAAATTGGATCTTATCCTTAAGCTCCAATGTCTGTATGGCCCTGATAATGTTGAAAATGCAGTCCTCATTGTACCTAACCTTAGGAAATGAATAAATGGCTATTTGGAGTCCTGGGTCCCTTTGTGCTTTTATATTCCTGAGAGCGTGGTTTTATAATACTTCACAGAATAAGACTAATTGTGAAATATTTGGATGTAGGTTGATTTGGATGTCCCTGACTACACAACATCTGCATGTAAGACAACACACTATTTTCAATTATGATTTTGTCAAGTTCTCAAAATACAGGATTGACTTTTAACAGAAACTTTTTCTGTGTGCTGGCATAATACCATTTGTGCTATTTTCTTATATTTATTCCGTATATCAAAAAGGGATATTAATTAACTAAAAGGGTTTTTGTGCTTATTTTAGACAATAAAGAAATTATGAAAGTTTACTCATAAATATGCTGGACAGTCATTTCATAATAAAGTATGACATTCTTTTATGTATGTCTCCCCAAGGGTAAAAGATCATTCAAGCAAAACTATCTCCTGTATCGATATTTATTCACCTAAATAGACTGTTTTGGTTAAAATTTTAATGAAAAGTCATGCTTATGTTACTGTATAATTTTGTATATGCATGGATATTTATCTGTTCAAAGTAGAGATGTAGTTGACATGAAGGGATGTCTGCCTAGTTCACAAAAGTATAACCATGAAAATATCATTTCTATGATACTCCCTCGTTAGGGAGCTATCCCTTTCTCACTCCAACCTTGAAACTGTAATGTCAGAGATCATAGTATCTACTTCCCTGTGCAATACTTTTTGATCCAAGTAATAGATCCATGATCTGAGAATAGTCAAAGTGCATCTCAGATTTTTCAAGAGTTGGAGAGAGTGAAGGTTTCACTTCTGATGGTATATGTTGTAAGAATGAGTCTGTATCTGTCAGTGCCAAATTAAAGATGGAATAAGAATAAAGCTGATGCTCAGAGAAGGGGGAATGAGATTTAGAGGTAGTATTGACTATTTAAAATGCGTCCTGAGGTCAGTCCCACAAATGCATTTTATTTTATTTCAATACTGACAAAACCTTCTTTTTATGGTTATAGTTAGTTCAAATTAGTTTTTTTCAATTTCAATTGAAATAACAGGTGTAAAAAAACCACAAAAGTACACCATTTCCCCTTGCAAATGTATTGTTCTGAAGCTAGACTGATGTTGAAATACTCGAGGTCAACCTAAAATGATACTGTTTTACTGATGCCTTCATTTTTAGTATATTTTCCTTAGATTTTACAAGAGGTAAAAACATCTACTATACATGTGTTACACCTTTCGCGGTTGCTTGTAGTCTTCATATCTGGTGTGTGTGTGGCTGGGACAGTGGAACACGATGGGAAGACTGAAAATGATACAATTCCAAAAAGCTGTTTTTACAGTGTGAAGCCTAGCCTCAGAGTAAAATCCCAACACTATCACGCAAAAAATTACTAGGTTTGCACCAAGTATGAATAGGTTGGAAAACTAAAAAGGCCTATGAGGCCCTGTAAGAACCACCTTATTAGTGTTTAATAAAGGTAAAGGTAAAGTACAACAGAAATAAAATGCAGGAAATCATTGAATGTCTGTCTTTCAGGAACAGGGCCTTTCTCCCTAAAGATCCTTTCTCAGTCTCACGGACACAGTTTATCTGTATATTATGAACCTTCAAGATTTGAGCTTACTATAATAATTAAAGGGAAGTGCAGAAAAGTCTTTACAGCAGGCTCCCTCATACATTGTTGGTCATATACTTCTTAAGCCAAGTTGTGTAAACCATCAAACTAAACATTCTCAACGATGTAGACCAGTTGGCACTAAACTTAAAGCAACATTAGGAATCACTAACTAGCACATGCCATTTTCATCTTGCTCACGGGTCAGTGTTATGCTTCCGATGCATCTCTAGATATAAATATCAAGCTGTTCCAGTCCAACTGTAAGAGAGCCCTCTCTTATGTAGCCATACATTAACATATATGAGAATATAAGATGTGTTGAGGAAAAAGTATCAAAGGATTGAGAAATCTACGTAAATTTTAAAAAGAATTAAGAGAAGACCAGGCTATATTTAATGTCATCAAAGATAATTCTAGTGCATTGGCATTTTTTCACGTGCCTTTTCTTTCTTTTCCCCTTGACTGATTCTCTAACTAGTTTTAATCAGTTTTATAGAATAATCTGCGTATAAGGCACACATTTTAGTCCAGTTCAGTTTTACAAATTTATAAAGCTAGATAACCACCTACACAATCAAATATAGAATATTCCCTTCACCTACACATTTATTGCAAGACCTTTGCCAGTGAATTCCCCACTTCAACCCCAGAAAAGTTTAATGCATTGTCTTTATATAATTTCAAATTTTATTTACGTGGAAGCATACAATATTTATTATTTAGTATCTGCCTTCTTTCCTCTAGCATATGATAAAAATTCACGTTTAATTTTTTTTTTTTTTGTACAAAGGAATGACAATCCTTCAATTGTAAAAACTAAACAACATGCCACCCAACTAATCACATGCCTTAGGGTGTATTTCTGAAATATAAGATACATTTTTTAAAAGCAACTTTATTAAAACTCAGGGCTATTAAAGTATATGCACAAATACAACACTAAAAAATAAAGTTACGTTTCCAGGCCGGGCTCAGTGGCTCACGCCTGTAACCCCAGCACTTTTTGAGGCCGAGGCAGGCAGATCATGAGTTCACGAGATTGAGACCATCCTGGCTAACACGGTGAAACCCCGTCTCCACTAAAAATACAAAAAATTAGCCGGGCTTGGTAGCCTGCGCCTGCAGTCCCAGCTACTCGCGAGGCTGAGGCAGGAGAATGGCGTGAACCCGGAGTCAGAGCTTGCAGTGAGCTGAGACCATGCTACTGCATTCCAGCCTGGGCGACAGAGCAAGACTCCGTCTCAAAAACAAAAAAAACGCCTCAGCAAAGCAGAGGAAGCAATCAGTAGAATGAAAAAACAGGCAGGGAGCGGTGGCTCACCCCTGTACACCCAGCACTTTGGGAAGCTGAGGGGCGCCGATCATGAGGCCAGGAGATCAAGACCATACTGGCTAACAACATGGTGAAACTCCGTCTCTGCTAAAAATACAAAAAAAGTGTCCTGGCGTGGTGGCAGGCGCCTGTAGTCCCAGCTACTCGGGAGGCCGAGGCAGGAAAATGGCGTGAACCCAGGAGGCAGAGCTTGGCAGTGAGCG
Organism: Homo sapiens; assembly: GCF_000001405.40. Taxonomy (NCBI): domain Eukaryota; kingdom Metazoa; phylum Chordata; class Mammalia; order Primates; family Hominidae; genus Homo; species Homo sapiens. The sequence goes on along the minus strand of NC_000017.11, from coordinate 20,870,113 downwards.
GAGATCGTGCCACTGCACTCCAACCTGGGCGACAGACCGAGACTCCGTCTAAAAAAAATTAAATTGAATTAAAATTTAATAAAAATGAAAGAACCCAGATAATGGAAGCAAGTATTTGCAAACCATGCATCAGGCAAGGGGTTCATACAAAAAATGCATAAAGAACTCAAACTACTGAAAAGCAAACATACAAATGATCTTATTAAAAAAATCTACCCCAAACCTTTGTCCCCCACCATTATTTCCCTACCTTCTTTTCCAAACGGCCTTTGGCCCCCTCCCTCTCACCACCCTTTTTCTTTCACCATCTGCCCCCAAACTTCATCATTTTTTGCCCACCCTCATTTCACAAAGCCGCCTCTACTCTCCTGCTCAACACCCTTTTCCCCATCCATCTACCCAAACCCTTTCCCCAGTTTCTTCCCACCCTCTTTTCCCCTTATCCCTGGCCACCCTCTTTTTCCCCGTCCCGCTCTCATCACCCTCTTTTGCCCCTTTATCTAAGCAAAAACATTTTCCCCCGTCTTTTCCCAAAACCTTCTCTCCACTCCTGCTGCTCACTACCCTCTTTCCCTGCTTCATCCAACCAAAAACTGTTTTCTTCATCGTCTTTCCCCGTTCCTCCTTGCCATTCTCTTTCGCTTCTCCATCTACCCAAAAACATTTCCCTCCGTCTTTTCACAAAGCCTTCTCCCCACGGCTATTCACCTCCCTCTTTCCCCCTCCATCTACACCCCAAAACTTTCCCCACCATCTTTTCAAAGTCTCCCCCCTTTACCACTAGTGCTCTTTTTTCCCCTATCCTGCTTGCCACCCTTTTTCCCCTCCCTCTGCCCCAAACTATTTTTCCGTTGTTTTCCCAACCCCCATCCCTGCTACCTGTCGCCACCCTCTTTCCTCCTCATTATCCTCTTCCCCCCTCCATCTATCAAAACACTTTTCACCCCCCGTCTTTTCTTTCTTCACCATCTTTCTTTTCTGCCACTGTCTTTTCACAAAACTTTGTCTTCCTCCTGCTGGCTACCCTCTTTTTCCTTCTGCCACTTGCTACCCTCTTTTGTTCAACCCAAAAACTTTTCCCCCTCACTATATTTTCTCCCCACTGTCTTTTCACAAAACCTTCTCTCCCTTCCCCCCCCTTTTCCCCCATCACCTCCCTCTCTTTCCTCCGCCCACCTGCCACCCTCTTTTCCCCCTCCATCTACCCTTAAACTTTTTACCCACCGTCTTTCTGCAAAACCTTCCTTCCCTCCCGCTCCCCACCCTGTTTTTACACCTCCATCTACCCAAAAACTTTTTTCCCCACCATCTTTTCGCTGCCATCTTTTTGCAATGCCTTCTCCGGCTAAGCTATCCTTTTTTCCCTTTGGCCCTAACTACCCTCGTTACTCCCCTCTATCTGTCCCAAAACTGTTTTCCTTCTCCTACCTGCTCCAGCCGCGCTGCTCTCTCTCCGTCACTGCCAACAACCGCAGCGAGGCGAGCCGCGCTCCCGCGGCTCCAGCCTCCAGCATACGGCCACCGACTCCTGATTCCTAGTCCTCTACGTTGGGCAGTGAGCAACTCCACATAAAAATACAGGAACTTGAAAAAACGTGTTTCCGCTTCAGCATCATTTATATACTGCGGTAATGCCCACGGAGGTTCCTGGACTGCATGTCTTGATTGGATGAGAAAAAAACCTCCAGGCTTACTCTGATTGGACTTTATGATCATGTTCTGATTGGATGAGAGCAAGTCTTAACACAACCAATCACAGCATGAAAATAAAGTCCAATCAGAGTAGGCCTAGAGGTTTTTTTTCTCATCCAATCAGAACATGTAGTCCAGGAACTGCATTTGCATAACCTCATATATAAAGCATGCTGAGGTGGCGTCAGGTCATTTCAGGCTCTTCTGTGTCCAGCGGAGGAGCAACTCTGTGTCCAGCTTAGAGAACTGGAAGAAGCCGCAACCTTCCACCTGCTGGAGGGTGGAGGATGGATGGAGCCTGGAGCCTGGGTCACTACCTCGCTGCGGTTGGTAGTGGCGATAGAGCAGTAGGAGAGCGGTCAGCAGCAGGAGCTTCTCCTGCCAGGCTGGAGGACTAGAAGGAAGAGGCACTGCCACATGCTGGAGGCTGGAACCTGTGCCACCATGGCTTGCCTCGCTGTGGTTGGTGGTGACGTCGGAGACTGCAGCTTAGCCACAGTGGTAGAAACGTGATGGGGTAGGTGAGTTTTCCTGGCCTGCCCTGTGTGCCTCTGGGGGCAAGTGTTGGGTGTCCTATTGGGGTTCACTGCTAGAGGCTACCCTGCCTGTGGCAGTGGTCTGGTTGGGGGCACTCTCCGGGGTTGCATTGCTGGTGGTGGGGCAGGTTGCTTGGCTATCTGGGGCTATACTGCCCGTGGTGGCAGGGGTGGTGAGGGGAGGCAGATTGTGTACACTAGCTTGTATTGCTGGTGGCTGGGGAAGGATTAGGGGCGTTATCTTCTGCTGCACTGCCAGCAGCAGGGAGTGGGTTGGGTGGAGTTAACTGGGGCTACAATGCTGGCAGTGGGGGTGGTTTAGGGGCGTTGTTGGGTGCTGCACTGTCTGTGACTGGGGGGTGCACCATTAGGAGCTGAACTGCCCGTGGCTGGGTCAGATTGTGGGCACTATTGGGTGGTATGCTCCCTGAGGTGTGGGGGGAGTGCTTTTGTGGGGGGATATTGGGGTTACATTGCCTGAAACTGTAGGATGTATTGGATGTGCTATCTGGGGGCTACACTGCTAGTGGCAGGGGGCAGATTAGGGGTGCCATGGGGGCTACACTGCCAGCGGCATTGACGAGCTGAGGAGGTGGCAGTGGCAGTGACAGCAGTGGCCTCCTTCTTCTCATAGCTTCCAAGTAAGGGATGGTTTTCCTCTTCTCGGACTCCAGACTCTAGAAGGCGATTTTCTCCACTCGAGCTGGATTGCATGGTAGGGCCTCCACACCCACTGTGGTTTCCCGGCCTGCCCTCATGCTTTGTGTTGCGAAGACCACCTGGGACTACCAGGCAGGGAGTAGTATGCACCATGGGGGAAGTGGGAGACAGGGCACTGTGGGTGGAGGTGTCAGGAATGGGAACCAGCCCTTGGGTGGGGAGCGCTGGCTGGGTCTGAGTTTCTCCTACTCAGGCTCCCGGAGGAGGGCAGCCTTGGTGGGCCCAGCAATTCCTGGCCAGCTGGACTTGGCCAGGGGCCGGTTTCAGTGAAGGCACTCACTCCCACCCCAGGCCCCAGTTCCTGGCCAGCTTTTGCCAGGAGGGGTTGGACTTTGGAAGGTGGGTGTGAGTGCCTTCAATGAAACTGATCCCTGACACCCAGTCACCAGCATAACGAGGTGAGGCTCTAATGGTTCCAATCCCTGAGTCCTGTTTTCGGCTTTTCTGGCTTTGCCTGCCCAGCTGCTCCAAGCCAGGCTGAAGGAGGAGAAGGAGGAGTCGCCTGTGGTACGGTGGAGCAGATGACGTGGCTCTGCAGCTTGCCTCATGCAGTTGGTGGTGGAGATGGAGACCACAGCTCGACTGGAGCGGTAGGAGGGCACCCACGGGGGCCTGGAGGTAGGAGCCTGGTAGGGTGGGCTGGTACGTTGAGGGTGACTGGTTGTATTGGCATTGGCGCTAGTGGTGGTAGCAGTAGGAAGTCTGGGGGCTGGGAAGGGGGAGTAGGAGCACTGCAGGGCCCATCCCGTTCTGGGGTGGGGAGGAACCTGTGGGTGCTGTAACGAAGGCCTCGGTGGCAGTGGTGGTGGTACACCTAGGACAAAGAGGAGTCCTCCCCCTTCTGCAATCTCTGGAGAGTGCCCTCCTCCTGCTGGTGCCTGAGCTAGGCGTGAGTGGCAGCATTATCTCATTCTTAACAAAATTTAGGGGGTGACTATTTATGTATCCTTTTGCTTGTTTTTTGTTGTGATACTCTTGGAGTTACTCAAATTTTATGAATCGAGCAGGGGATAAAAAGTGTCATATGATAGGCCTTCTAATTCCCACACCTGTTCTTTTTCCTTTCTTCCATTGTGTATTTTCTTCTCATTTTCTTGTTCCTCTTCATTTTCTTTTGCTACTGCTTCTATTTCATGTTTGTATTCTTGTTTCTCCTCCTGTTTTTGTATTTTTATGCCAAGCAATGGCCTTAACAAACCAAAACTGAGTTAAAAATAAAATACTTGTCACTGTTGTGTTTTTTAAATAACTGATCCTTTACTATGTTTTAGAGATGAGGAAAAAAAATCAGTTGTATAATTAGTTACTTGAATAGCCATGTTTTCATAATTGTGTCAACCCACTTATGCCTAGTGTTCCATGCTAAGCATGTGGAAATTACTTATATCTTACTGTTAAATGTCATCGGCAAGGTCTGATTTTTCACTTATGCAAAAATTCAAAAAATTGCAACCTCTGGCATAAATGGACTAATGTGTTATTCAAGGAATCAAAAAATGAAGCATCACAAAATATTGGTAGCAAACAGCCATTTCATCTCTCTCACATATTTTTTTCTGGAGCTATGCAAGAGTCACAGGGGTAATAAGTTCTAATTTATGAGATGATTAATTGAACCATATTCCCTTCATTTTTTTTTCTGCCACCATTTTCAAGAGTATTGTCATCTGCATGAGCAAAGGGTTCATCACCACATCTTTGCAAGAGGAAAAAGAAAGGGGAAGAATCATGTGTCTAATGTTGTAAGGTAAACATTCACAACCAAAAACAAGGTTTTATTAACTTTTGCCTTTAAGAACCTGCAGTGTTTAGCCCTCTTTGATTCCTAGTATTATTACCTTTGGTATGAACTCTTTTATTAAACTGATCACTCTAGAGGTTTATGCATTTTGTATCATTTTTCAAGCCAACAGAAATGTGTAATGCCTATAATTCTGACACTTTAGTTATTTTTAAGGCTATGAGCATGTAAGATACTGTTGGAAGAATATGTATAAATACCACTAGGTAGCTTATTTTGAAGAGATAGTATCTAAATTTTTGTCCAGAGTAGATTGGTTGCAGTTTCTTAGGTGTGTTTCTTAATACGTTGCCTCAATGTTTTAAAGCATGTAGAAATTTGAATACAGTTTAACTTCATATAGTCCTTTGTTTATAGATTTAATATTTCTAAAGACTAAAGACATCACAGCTCCCTTTAAGATTCAGTAATATTAATAAAATTTTAGAAATATAGGGTTAGAATCCAACAAATTCAGAGGAAAATTGTTAAATTCTATAGCTGTAGAGCAGAAATGAAACCCAGGTTCTAAGCTCTAAGGGGGCCATGAGGTACCATACAGGTGCATCAGTGACTGGGCATAGATTCAGCAAAATTACAGGATGGTTAAGAGAGTGAGCTGTGGAGCCAAACTCTATGTAACATGAATTTTTAAACTGCCTGGTGCCTCAGTTTATCCATCTTTACAGTGGGGACTGTAGTAAGTTTTTCTTTTTCTGCTCAGTTGTCTGTCTTGTTGCCACTGTTCCCTAGTCTGTCTTGTTGCCACTCAGTGCCCACATGAGAGGATCTACGGTAATTTCTGACAGCCTGGGACTCCTTAAAGAAAAACAGAAGGTGCTACAAAACCCATTTTAGGAGAAACCTCTGTTGTCCTCATGGAACCCCAAGAACTTCAGGCAGACAGGTCTCTCTCAAAATCTAAGGCTCTCCTCTGTTTTGTTTTGCGTTATCTGACCTTTTAGGTTTGGTTGGGCATCAGAAATCAGTCGGGGAGAGAGATCTAAAGAAAGTTGTGGATATGAAGATGTATTTATGGTAAAAAAGTTATGAAGGAAAGAAATGTTATATGAGAGAGGATCTTGTATGGCAAATTCTTGTCCTAAAGTAGAATGACTAATTATGAAAGAGGGAAATACAGGAAAAGTCAGAAAGTTCATGTCATAGATGGTCTGTGGAAGTTGTGCTAGGGTTCATAAAATGAGAAAGAAAAACTTACAACTGCTAGATCTTCTCCTGTCTAGAAGTGTTGTGTATGTGTTGGATATGTAAAGGAGCCCTAATTACTTGGCTTAGAAGAAAAGGACGGCTCTTAAATATTTTGTCAGAAAAATAGAATCTCCAATGCCTTTTATTTCACATGACTTCAGTAATCTTTGGGAAATAAAGACAGTGTTAAAATCATTGGTAAAAAAAATCATCAAAATTTATCCATTTTGTCTAATTTAAGTCAGAGGTTAAATTTTAGAAGTGCTTTAACGTCATAAATTGATTGACTTTGGAAAATTGTTCTGTTTACCTGGTTTGGAGCTGCTCAACTTCTAGGTAAGGCCTGGGGGACAGGTGGAGTTAGCCATGTCTCCTAGCTATGCTGGAAAGAGTCAGACTTTACCTGCAGTTCTGTCTTGTATCCTATACACTGCACCTGGTACGTTATTAAAACTTCCTGCTGCTTCTAATCTCTGAGTTCCACTTTAAATTTTTCCATCACTTGAATACTATCCTCTGTACTAAATTTTTCCGCAATTAAATACTTAGAATCATTTTTGCCCACTTGACCCAAGCATTAGTGATATATCTTTAAAATACTTATAATGTGTCACAATATATTTAGCAAATGTAGCGAATGGCATTTTTACTTTTGTCAGCATTTACATAGCATTTAGCAATGCTATCTCAAGTATTTTTAGTCATTTGAATGTTACATAATATGCTTTTCCTTTGTTTCTATGTAAATAAATAGGAGATATTCAATAAATAGTATCAATTAATGTTTCACTTCTAGAATATACTTATTAGGATTATTTTTAAACACTACATTGTATTTACTTGTTGGCTTTATAATTTAGAAATAATATTTTGGATTAACTGTGTGACTCATGAGAGGGAGTTTGTGCAATTACAATCTTTACAAATTTTTACTTGATTTTCAAGACTTACACTACAACTGTTAGAACAAGGTAATAAATAAGCATATCTATTAATATCAACTCTTGGCTCAACCCAATGATAGTGTAGGAATTAACATAATTTTTCCTACTAAAGGTATTGGATTTGTTTTGAGAGACCGCAGTTTAAAATCATTGACATAGAAAGTTTAAAAATTGTTAAATTTTTAAAATGCCTTTGAAATTGTATTATAGAAAAATAAATATCCTAGTTTAGATTGGTAGGTTTTTTTTTTAAATAAGGACTAGGCCAAGAGAAAGGGAGAGTAGTGATAAATGTCCAGGTTTTTAAGTTGAAAAGTGAAAATCAGTGTATTACAATGGATGGATTTGATGTCAAATTACAGATGCTGAAAACATTGTATGTAATCTACTAGCCAGGGTAATTATACAAGGCAAAGAAATGAAAGGCATCCAAATAGGAAAGGAAGGGGTGAGATTGTCTCTGTTTTCTGAAAATGTAATCCTAATGTAAAGAAAATCTTAGACTCCACCGAAAAAACCTGTTAAAGCTGATAAACACATTCAATAAAGTTGAGAGTTACAAAATTAACATACAAATAGTATTCTTGTTTCTAAACACCCATGACAAACTATCCGAAAAATAAATTAATAAAGTAATTACATTTATAGTAGCAACAAAACAAATATATAAGTAAATAAAATACTAAGGAGTAATTTTAATGAAGGGTGTGAAAGATGTGTATACTGAAAATTATAGCACATTGATGAAAGAATTTGGAAGTGACAAATAGAAAAATATCCTATATTTATGAATTCAAAAAATAATATTGTCAAAATCTCAATGCTACCCCAAACAATCTACAGATCTGATATTTGATAAAGCAAACAAAACATAAAGTGGGGAAAGGACACTCTTCAATATATGGTGCTGAGATAATTGGCAGGCAACATGCAGAAAAATGAAACAGTTCTTCAAAAGGTTAAGTATAGAATTACCACGTGACTCAGTAATTCACTCCTATGTGTACACTAAAAAAATTAAAACAAACGTCTACACAAAAAGTAGCATACAAGTATTTATAGCAACAAAAAGTAGGAAACAACAGAAATGTTCATCAATTGAGGAGTAGAGTAATAAAATGTGGCCTGTCCATAAAATATAATATTACTTGGCAATGAAAAAGAAAAAGGTATTAATACATGCTCCAAAAAGGATAAACATTGAAAACATGGTAAGTGAAAGTAGTGAGTCGCACGTAACTATATATTATTATGATTCCGCTTACATGAAATGTCCAGGATGGGCAAATCCTTCCAGAATAGGCAAATCCTTAGGAAGTAGATGGATGGTTGCCTAAGGCTGGGAGAGGTTTAAAGAAAGAGTGGGGAAAATGAGGAAAGATTGCTAATGGGTGCAAGGTTTCTTTTAAGGAGCATAAAAATGTTCTAAAATTATATTGTGGTGATTGCATATTCACCCAGTTAATGCACTAAAAAATTGAATTTTATACTTTATATGAGTGAATTAAATAATATATAAATTATATCTCAATGAACCTGTGAAAAAAGTTAAAAAATATGTGGTATGCATACACAAAATTTCTTCATTTTATTTTATTTCCATAGGTTTTTAGGGAACAGGTGGTGTTTGATTATAAGAGTAAGTCCTTTAGAGGTGATTAGTGAGATTTTGATGCACCCAACACCTGTGCAGTATACACTATCCAATTTGTAGTCTTTTATTCCTCACGCCCCACACCCTTTCTCCCAAGTCCCCAAAGTCCATTATAGTAGTCTAATGCCTTTGCATCCTCATAGCTTAGTTCCCGCATACGAGCGAGGGCATACGATGTTTGGTTTTCCATTCTGACGTTACTTCACTTAGAATAATAGTCTCTGATTCCATCCAGGTTGCTGTGAATCCCATTATTTTTTTCGTTTTATGGCTGACTAGTATTCCCATATATTTATGTATTTATTTATTTATATCACAATTTCTTAATCTACTTATTGATGGACATGTGGGCTCATTACATGTTTTTGCAATTGTGAATTGTGCTGATATAAAATAAGACATGGACAGGATGCTGAGGAGGGCATCAACAAATTTCTACATACAAATATTTTATTTTATTTTAAAACTTTATTTTATTTTTTATTATTATCGTACTTTAAGTTTTAGGGTACATGTGCACAATGTGCAGGTTAGTTACATATGTATACATGTGCCATGCTGGTGTGCTGCACCCATTAACTTGTCATTTAGCATTAGGTATATCTCCTAATGCTATCCCTCCCCACTTCCCCCACCCCACAACAGTCCCCAGAGTGTGATGTTCCCCTTCCTGTGTCCATGTGTTCTCATTGTTCAATTCCCATCTATGAGTGAGAACATGTGGTGTTTCTTTTTTTGTCCTTGCGATAGTTTACTGAGAATGATGATTTCCAATTTCATCCATGTCCCTACAAAGGACATGAACTCATCATTTTGTATGGCTGCATAGTATTCCATGGTGTATAAGTGCCACATTTTCTTAATCCAGTCTATCATTGTTGGACATTTGGGTTGGTTCCAAGTCTTTGCTATTGTGAATAGTGCCGCAATAAACATACGTGTGCATGTGTCTTTATAGCAGCATGATTTATAGTCCTTTGGGTAAATACCCAGTAATGGGGTTGCTGGGTCAAACAGTATTTCTAGTTCTAGATCCCTGAGGAATCGCCACACTGACTTCCACAATGGTCGAACTAGTTTACAGTCCCACCAACAGTGTAAAAGTGTTCCTATTTCTCCACATCCTCTCCAGCACCTGTTGTTTCCTGACTTTTTAATGATTGCCATTCTAACTGGTGTGAGATGGTATCTCATTGTGGTTTTGATTTGCATTTCTCTGATGGCCAGTGATGATGAGCATTTTTTCATGTGTCTTTTGGCTGCATAAATGTCCTCTTTTGAGAAGTGTCTGTTCATATCCTTTGCCCACTTTTTGATGGGGTTGTTTGTTTTTTTCCTCGTAAATTTGTTTGAGTTCATTGTAGATTGTGGATATTAGCCCTTTGTCAGATGAGTAGGTTGCGAAAACTTTCTCCCATTTTGTAGGTTGCCTGTTCACTCTGATGGTAGTTTCTTTTGCTGTGCAGAAGCTCTTTAGTTTAATTAGATCCCATTTGTCAATTTTGGCTTTTGTTGCCATTGCTTTTGGTGTTTTAGACATGAAGTCCTTGCCCATGCCTATAGTATTTTATAGCATTGCTTTGAAATATTTGATTCTCATATTTATTTTAATGGATGCAAAATTGTTGAGCAGAGCAGTGTTCAAAAATAGCTACTATAAAAAATAATTTTTGTCTTATATTACAAGTTTTTCCTTTCTCATGTAATGATAAACAAGACAGAGACCTTCATCAAATTTTGTACTTTTTATCTCTACCGACTTCTGATAATATATATTTTATTTATTTACTTTATCATATTTTTTCTTCAAGGTAGGTTGAGCTGATGACACACAAAGACATACACTCATTCGTATGCACACACATCCCAAACACTGAAAAGAGATCCAATTAACCTATTGCCCAAATATTTTCAAATCTAAAATAAGTGTATGATTTTGTTTTGTATAAAATATAGTCAGTTCATTCACAGTCTTTATTATTTTCGTGTGAGTTACAGCTTGGAAGCATGTTTGGCTTATATAATCATATATATAATCTTGACAAGGTAAAGCAAGAACTGGCATAATTCACTGAAATGAAAGTGCTAATGGTTTGTATGAACACATCACAACTGGGAATAAAAAGGTTATTCACTTTTTATGGCAAACCTTTTCTTTTTCTCTATGGTTCATGGTCTAAGGCTTTGTTTTTTAGACACTTTGATATTTCTTCAATAATATTTGGAAAAACCTTTATTATTGATAAAGTATTGAGAATCAGCCCGCTTGTTTCATATAATTGAGTAGATATATTCTAGAGAGTTAAATCACATATTTTAGATTTAGATTTAACTTTTATGTTTTAGATCTTAAACTCAACCATACATACTATTAATTTCCATATTTCAAGTAATATCACTGCTGATTCTCTGCCCCAGATGGATGGTTCTTCTATTTTTGGTATTATCCAGGCCCTTTCTCTATAATCTCTTTTCACAATAATTATAAAATTTGATCCTTTGTCCTTCATTGTCACTGAAAATAGAGAATTTTAAATTGAAATAGAGACTTACTATGATACCTTTCTAAATATAATGCGTTGATTAGTGGTAAAGTCTGGAAAGGCCTCTGGATTTGGACTGAGCCATGCTAACAAGTTTCTTGGTTCTCCAGCTTGCACGTGGCCTATTATGAGACTTCTTAGCCTCTGAAATCAGATAAGCCAATTCTCCTAATAAATGTCTTCTCTTCACTTCTTCTCTCGCTCTCTGTCTATACACACACACACACACACACACACACACACACATCTTCTATCAGTTCTGTTTCTCTGGAGAACCCTACCTAAATCAGAGTTCTTAACAGTTTTATTTCCTCTGGAGAATAATATATGTACATCTTATATGTGTAATTTAAATGACTACACATGCTACTTTTAATGTTATATTTATCAAAAAGCATGTAAAGTCTAAGATTATATGGGCCAGCATTTAATGTTTTCCAAAAGGGAATTTTGAATAAAGTGAAATTGATTTTTTAAGAATAAGCTGAAAAATTAAGGACACTTACAAAACTCTAAAAACACAATTAAAATGCTACATTTTGATTAGCAATGATTTTTTAAAAATTTAAATGATATCTTATTTGTATCTTTTTCTGTATTGAATTCGTAGACTGAGTAAAGTAGACTTCCCCAATGATGTGGGTGGGTCCCATCAATCAGTGGAAGTCTTGAATAGAATAAGAAGGCTGAGTTTCCTAGGAGTAAGAAGGAACTTCCTCCTACCTGAAAGCATTGAGATGGGACATTGGTTTCTTCCCACCTTTGGACTCAAACTGAAACTTTGGCTTTCATTGAGTGTCAAACCTGCCTGCCAGCTTTCACACTGGAGCTATGCCACCATCTCTCCTGAGTCTCCAGATTGCTGACTGCAGATCTTGGGATGTCTTTTCCCCCATAATCATGCTAAACAATGCCTTATTTCATCTCCCTGTCTCTTTCTCCTATTGGTTCTGTCTCTCTGGAAAACACTGACTAATATGATCACCATAACTGAACTCCAGATTAAAATTATGAGAGAAGTATGTAAAATGTATTTACTTTTAGTAAAACAGTAACATTTCTACTTAAATTTTTTTTTGGAAGAAAGTAGCTAAGTCTTGTTTTCCTGTAAAAGAATGTAAATAGACATTTTGACTCATTGCTGGTTTTTTCTTGTCTCAACCTTATTACTTAGAAAATATTGTATTTGTTTTACTTCTGAAAACATAAATGTCTTGCTTTACTTCTGAAAACAAATGGGCAAATAATGTTCTACCTTCTCTTACTAGCAAATACAATTATTTTTATTTTTTTCCAAAAGAAACTTAAGTAAATTCAATCAAGGGATGTACTTCAGAGCATATTTTTGGTTAATGCTAATTTGTAATTTTATGTTTGCCTTTTTATATAGGGCTATTTAGATGCCTATATTATTCTGTTTTTACATATATTTATTGCACATTTTTAATTTAAAATTTTTCCTGACTACAACTGCATGTTATAAACTCCTTGGTACATAACATTTTTGCAAACAATATGACTTCTTAGAGAAAAGCTAAAAATGAAATTATTAGGTCAAAAATATTTTACTAATTTCATATGTGAAGGCTCCATTTTGATATATTAGGCAATAACGTATATTGTTAAAGCTTTCTTTTTTGGTATATTCCTATATTAGACTTTTTAAATTACAGAGTTAATTATCATAGAATTATAATATGCTTTGATATTTAATATTTGGATTTGTTTCTATTACTCCTGGACAAATTACCAAAAATGTAGTATACTATTTTAGTACATTATACCAGTATATTAGTATTAGTAAATCATTAAAATTAATATAGTATTATTTTCTGTTACTTTATTGTCCTGCCTCAGTGCCTCATAAGAACTTTGAGCCCAGAATTATTATCTCAGGATTCTTTGGCAAACTACTGTAATCAGCAGATTAATGTAGTTTCTAATGGTCTCCATCTCCTGGGATTCCAACCCTTGTCTAATACCCTCCCCATGGGTGTCAGCTGGATCCATAGGCTTGCTGCTGTTGCACAGAATACAGCAAACATGATGAGAGGTTGATTCTGTGATTAGTTGACAAAAGATGTGACTTCTGTCTTGGACTCTTTTCAATGGCTTTTTTTTTTGGCTTCGCACATTTTGATGAAGAAACCTTCCCATACTGAAGAGGCTCACATTATATGGAATTCTGGACAACAGCTGTCAAAGTACTGAATATACCATCAAGCATGTGAGTGAGATTGATTATAACTTGTGAGAGTCTCTGAATAGAAGACCCAGTTAAGCCATGCCCAGATTCCTGCACCACAGAAACTTCGAGATAATAAAGGTTTTTTTTTTTTTTGTGGTGAAGAATATGTTTCTCATCTTTTTTTAAAATTTCATTATTATACTTTATTTTGGGATAATTTGTTATGGAGGAATTGACAAATAATATAAATACTTTTGAAATGTAACTTTTTTATCTTAATAAACATTTAACAAATCATTTGAAGATGGATAATCACAGATACAATTTTTACCAACATAACCAGGACTTTTCTTGTAACTTTGACTAATAGATGATCGTTTGAACATTACCACTTTGTAACTGCATTTCAGACTATGATTTAGTTGAATCACCCAAAGTGTGTAATGTCTTTTAATGTGCACTATCAATTCTGTTCTGCCATAATGACCTCATTTTGGCTTCTTAACTATATTCATCTGAGTCTTGTGGGGTGACTCTCTGAAGAAGAATGACTGTTAATACCAAGAACTTCTGTTGTTTCGATAAATAACAGCCAGATTACAGCCAGAACCTCAAGGTTGAGCACAGCTGCTGATGTTTGGAATCCCAGCCCTTTGGGATTAATAGGCCTAGACAGGAGGATCACTTGAGGACAGGAGTTTGAGACCAGATTGGGCTTTAATGCAAGATTTTGTCTCTGAAAAAAATAAAATAAAATAAGCTGGGCATGGTGTCACATGCCTTTAATCTTAGCTACTCAGAGGCTGAGCCTGGAGGATTGCTTGAGCCCAGTAGTTGAAGGTTACAGTAAGCTACGATAACACCACCACATCCCAGTCTGGGTGACAGAATGAGACCCTGCCAAAAAAAAAAAAAAAAAAAACCAGACTTCAGGATTTCCATACATTTTGCAAAATTCCATACAAACTGCATGCAAATTTTGGGCATATACAAGTTTTAAAAAAATAAAATTCATGGGTCCTGTCAGACATTCTCAAATGTTAAGGACCAGAGCTTAAGAAGACTAAGATCAGAGCAAGGGGCCAGGCACGGTGACTCACACCTGCAATCCCAGCACTTTGAGAGGCCAAGGCAGGCGGATTACGAGGCCAGGAGTTTGAGACCAGCCTGGCCAACATGGTGAAACCCCATCTCTACTAAAAATATAAAAATTAGCTGGTGTGATGGCATGTGCCTGTAATCTCAGCTACTCGGGAGGCTGAGGCAGGAGAATTGCTTGAACACAGGAGACGGAGGTTGCAGTGAGCCAAGATTGTGACACTGCACTCCAGCCTGGGCGACAGAGGGACTCTGTCTCAAAATAAATAAATAAATAAAAATAAATAAGAAATCAGAGCAATGTATATTTCATAAAGTCAGTGAGACCTTTCATACATTTTAGGGAAGCTTTTTATAAGATAGAAACCAAAGGTCCATGTTTTAAAAGTTATTGATTTATTTATAGATATACTCAATACATATATACTTGTTGACTAGTATGTATGCTATGCTAGCAAATCAAGATACAGCTAGTATTGTAACCCAAACCCTAACTCTACCCACTTTAGTCTTTTTATCCTAACTCTCCCCTAACAGTTCTTACTGTGTAACAGGTTAGCTATGTTAGTAAGTGTGGCAACACATCGTAGTGGAGGAAGTGCTATAAGAGGATATCAACGCCCAATGGGAATATCTAGGAAGTGCAGCCAATGTAGATTTCCACAAGAAAGCTAAACCTTAGATGATCCAAGAAAGATAAAAAGATGCTAAGCCATAAAATGGAAGAAGGCAAATTATATGAACAGAAAATTGCAACTGCAAAGATGATGGAGTGTGTTACAATAAAAGCACAGAAGGCAAAGATTTAGTATGATTTCAACATATTTTGTATGAAGGGAGAAATTAGAAGTGACATGGAATGAGTAGGCAGAATACATTATGAAGGGTCCGTCATGTTTTTGAATTTAAATTTATTTTGTTTTACATTTCTAATAGAATCGGGAAAAGCTGAAAATCCGTAGTTTCTAATTGAATGTTTTAAGAATCCTGTTATTTCTTTTAATTAAAAAACAGTCATTCAAATGAAAATATATACATTCTACCTTTTATGCATTTTGCTTTTAAGATATTTGAATGATTTATTATAATTTTACAGGCACTTCTCTTTTTATTGACAATTATAATATGCCTTGTATTTGTTGTAATAACAGTTTTAAAATTATGAGTTAATATTTTGTCCACTTTTATTTCATATAAAAAATAAACATAATTGTTCCTGAAAATATAATCTCATACAATTTAAGTGTTGAATAAATGAAAAATGTTCTCAAACTGGAAAGTTATAATAATTCAAACTGAAGCCCTGAGAGATTCAAGGCTTGAAATGGCTCTTCGAGAATGGTAAGAGAGGCTTCAATCTTAAAAATATAACTTTATTTACAAATCATAAAACATTAATTGCTGTTTACTATATTTGTTTTTAAATTTCTTTCCCAACATAGAAAAATAAATTACCAGCTACCTCAGTTTTACCATGGACCAATCTAATTACCACATAAGATTTACAGTCTCTCTTTGCTTTGTTAATTACATGCAAAACCTGTATTTTGATGTTTTGGAGAGTTTAATTTGCACTTAAATCACAACACTTCAATTTATCTTATTCATTTTGAGTTGCAGCTCTTTAAATATTGAATCTGTTATAATATTGCAGAATAGCTCACCACACTAAGAAAATTGCATTCCCAGTCTCTTCCCCATTCAAAGCACTTGTATCTGCACAAGTTGTCAAGAAGGGGCCAACTCCTTGTTTCACCATATGCTTTCCTCTGTTGCAACAAAACTGAGATATGTATGAGGACAGGGATACAGAAGATGTCAATACATATTTTCAAAGAGTACATGAATAAGTGAATGAATAAATTAGGATCATTTGATGAGGATAGCCATCAAATATGTTGAACACTGATACTCAGAATTATAAAAATAACAGTCATCAAAGTAAAACCCTAAGCCTGTAGGTCGTAGATCTCATGTTAATTAGTTTACCACACAGCAGGATCTGACCTTCCTTTTGGAAGCTACCAATGCTGCTTTTGTCAAATTTTGAGTGGCTGAATCATGCTTAAAACACACATAAAATGCAGTCTTATAGTATGATAAATAAATAAAATATAGAGAATAGTAATTGGTTGAAATCAGTAAATTGTCTCCCTCTGATTACTCTATATGAGAAATCAAATTATAATCAGAAACAGGTTGAAAGTATAAAGGGGGAAGGTCAAGCTACTAAAGACAAGGAGCCAGCGTTCCCTGATGGAAACTAGAACCATTTAGAGGACAGGTAATGGTGTAGATGTCACCCATAGCAGAGGCAAAGGAGGAGGAACAACCTAGCTGTTACCCTTTGGGCACCGGCCGATTTCCTACACACCAGCTTTCATTGACTGAACCTGATCTGAAGCCAGCTGGCAAACGAACTTGAAAAAATATAATTTGCAGTTACTAAAGGGCGTCAAAGTATGCAAATCGTCTTAGAATGCAGGGTAATGGTCATTTGAAGACACTTGAATACTTTCATCCATTGTGACTCTGAGTTAGGAAGTAGACAGTGGGGCTTAAGGAAAGATTAAGTATTATCTTGATTGGAATTTCAAGAACGGGAAAGTCTAATCCCTTTCTTGTAAAAGACATCTTGATGGATTTCAACTAACTGAGAAACGAATCAGAATACTGACTCAAACCAGAGCTAAAGAGAAAAGTGTTTCTTTCTAAAAACCAGGTGTTGAGTTCCTTGGTAAGCCAATATTGGGTGTGCGCGCACAGAGTGGCCAGACCTCTCTCCACGCAGCTCTGGCTCTGTTCAATTCGGCAAGTGCACTCACAGCAGAACTGCCACCAATATAACGTCTTGACGATGGGCTCCAGGGTTTGACACTCAGCAGCGCCACCAGCTCTGTTTTCTCCCCAAGTAAGCCACTTTCTACCTCGCGAGCAGCAGATCGCCCTGTGCGCGCTATCCTTGGGGCGGGGAGGCCTGGCGCTCACCCAGCGAGCTCTACTGGTGCTGACGTCCGTTCAGGCCTTTAAATGTCTCTGTCCCTGCGCAGGAGGGAACAGACTTTGTAGCAGTCACTTTGCCCGAAGGGAGACGCGTCTCTGCTTTTGCAGACGGCAGCACCCCTGGCTCTTCCCAGCGTTGCGTTTGCCTCTGTCTTTGTCTCGAGTTTCCTGCAGGCTTTCCAGCGGGAGTTGCTTTTGGTATTCGCACCCGGGGCGTGAACCAACAGGACTCCCCATGCCTTGTGCTTTTTCAGTGGGTTCGAAGATCAGAGATTGCGAGGTGCGCTCGGTGATCGCTCAAGGAACAGGAAGCTTCCTCCCCCTGATTTGGTAGGGGGTGAATTTTTTTTTTTTTTTTTTTGAGCTGGCGAAAGCGTCCTCCCCGCTCCTGAAGCTACAACTTGTTTTGGTTTCTTCTCAGTTCTGTGTGTGGGTACAACATCAAAGTTTTTCTCCCTTACCCTTCCAAAAATCTATCCTTTTAATCCACCCTCCTCCCCCTGCGCTGTCTCCGCCAGGCCTTCTCGGTGTGCGGTGAGTGGATAGCGGGCGCGCAGTGTGGCAGTGGCGGCGAAGATTGGTGCTATAAAAGGGAAGGATCTGCTGCTGGGGGCTCCCTGGGTGACCCTTTGCCAGGCGAAAAGAGCTGGGTAAGGGCGTAGAAGAGGAGCTGGAACCTTCTGGGAACCTGGTGCCTGACACTGGATTTTGATCACCATCCTTATGTGTCTCTGATCCTTTTTTTCTCAATTGATAACTAGTCGAGAGAGAAGCGCTTGGCAGGAGCTCTCGGCGGGACCTAAGCTCTCTGGCTACTCGGGATCCCTATGTCTGCTGCTGCGGAAGGAGCAGAGGGGAGGACGCCAGAGGTTGCTTACTGGAGCCTGGCGGTAGGCAAGGGGGTGGGATCCTGATTCTCAGCCTAGATTCCAAAAGGGTGTCTGGTTTCATGGAAACATTCTTCTCACCCTCATTTGTCATCGCACACCCCACCCCCGCTTTTTGGATTCAGGTTCAGGAATAACCAAATCCTTGGCACCCACACAATGTGGAAGTACCTTTCACAGCTCATCGCCTGAATGTCTTGCTCCTTACATATATGTGTGTGTTTTGGGGGAATGTGAGCTTCTCAGGGAACTTGATGCCTTGCAGATTATGAGAATGTCAAACTTGATTTTATTCAGTTTCTTATAGGATGTGTTTCCTGTGGGCAAGAATTATAGGAAATAAATGTCAGTGTCATATACAACTGCAGTAGCAGCTCGGAAATCACCTTCATTTCCCCCCAAAAGTTTTCCCCATGCAAGTTTTCTTACTGTCCACATGTAGTAAATGGAGACTTGGCTTGTTCCATTATATGTAAACGGGGGGGGGTCACATCCTTCTCTTTTAAATTGGGGGATATCAAAGACATTAGAGTTTATCTCTTTTATCTCTCTCATCGTTATCTCTAGCTCTAGCCCTCTTTCTGTCTCTCACTTTCCTACCATCCTGACTTCTTTCCTTCTTTATCTTTTCTTCTCTTCCTTCTCTCCTTCCTTCCTTCTTTCCTTCCTTCCTTCCTTCTCTTTCTCTTTCTCTCATTTTCTTTCTTTCCATGTGCTGCTCATTAATAAATATAATGTGAATTTCGAGAGAATGGAACACTTTTGCAATATACAGGGATGATAAAAGACTTCTTTCCTACCTTGCCTGAAGTTTTTATTTAAGTATCTGATCCTTTTTAGTTGTGAGGTAATTTGAAGGATGACTGAACTAATATCTTGGGTGCAATTCAGCATGGTAAGATTTTGTATACAGTATGTTTAATTGTTCCCTACTCTTACACATTAGCTAATAACAGGAATTACATGAATTGTTAGAAAAGGCCCTTGATTTTTTGCAAACAATATTTTTGAACTGTGGGGAAATGTTAAAAATCAATATTACAATTTTCGTGGCAAGCATATGGATTCATAGGTGAAAAGAGAGAGCCAAGTTAACCTTAAGAGAGTGGTTTAATGAAAAATCAGTGCCTGGAATTTCATATCTGCATACAGTAATCAGTGAAATAAATGAACCCGTTAGTATTCAGATCTTGTTTAGTGCCTGAAGATGCTTAACAGTTGAGATTTACAACTCCTAACACACAAGATACTGGTTCAAGAGGTTCCAATTAATTGCATTCTAACAGGATGAGTGATTCCAGTTCTCCTAGTTCAAGAAGTATTCTATGAAATTTACAGGCTTAGTGTTAATGAAGATTTTTGTGAGGGAGGGTATCATACTTGCATGTTAATCTAAAAACTTTCCCTAGTATTTATCTTCTTGAAATTTTCTTGTTTTCTTCTATCAATGCCATTATTATTGTCATGGCTGTCCTATTAGAAGATGGGTATTCTTAAATACCAAAATTTTATCATTTGTATATTTGCAGCCTTGGATGGTGGCCCTTTGAGATTTAAACAAGGAAGCACTAATACTGAGGTGACGGAAATGCTTCAGCATTATTAAAATCTCAAGTTAAAAAATCAGTGTACTGATGGATTTGGTTAGATGATAGCTTTAACTAAACATTATGATTATCACTTTCTCACTGGAGAGATAAAAACTTTTTAAATTTATTCTCACCTTTTAATTTCATATATTTATCTTTTTCCCTACTGATGCTGCAAAGCAGTTCAGGTCACTCATGAAATTATACAAAGAGAAAGTAAATTTAACAGTGCCTACAATCATGTTTTTCTAGTAAATTTCTTCATTTCCATTAATAAAACTCCACAAAGGTAACATAAAAGTGAAAGAGATGATTGGTTACATTCTGAACCCAATGGTGAGTTTGGTGATTTTATTGAGTTTATTTTTGAAAATAACATCTCCATGAAATTCTTAATTTTTCCCACTCTTTCCAGCCTAAAGATGTTGGTCATTCATTACTGTGATCTTCAATCTGTGTGATGTTCATTGACACTGTGGTTTCAGAGTTCTAATTTCCCCCTTTTGTCCTATTTTCATATACAGTGCTATTTTACAGAACGTGTTTTTGTCATCATAAGCATTAGAGTTTTCTATTAATTAAAAAGTTTGCCCAATAACAGTACAGCATCACATATCAATAGACAAAAAGAATATTGTGTTTGCTTATTTTCTTCAAATAACCACTTTAGTCAACTGACATTTCCCAGTTGTCTTATGCTATATCAAAGTGTTGGCTGGCTTCTAGTTTAAACTATCTACATGTCGAAATTTAAAAAAAATGCAGCTTGCATGCTTTAATGAAATGTCCTCTCTAATAATGCATGTAATGGAATAATGTGAATTATAAACTTATTCTTTAATTTTATTTATTTTATTGAAACTCTAATAATCTCTTTTGATATTTGGTTGGTGTTACACTAAGAATTTGGAAACCTGGGGAAAAAAATTAGGAAACTAGTTTAAATCTCGGAAAATATACTTAACCTAAGAGAAGTTTGTTTTTGCTTCATATTAACCCCAAATCACACGCGTTATGATTGATATATTGAGATTGACACATAGTGACAGAGCATCCAGAATTTCTGCCATAGTTCAAGGGCTTCTTTGTAAAATAATTACATCACTGATAGCAAACACAATCAATTTCTATGTAAAAAAAATAAAGAATTTTGTTTTGCTGCTCTAGAAATTCATTTTCCTTTCACATAGCCTCTTTCCCCATAGGGTGAGAGAGAGAGTAGTCCACAGGGTGGCACTATTGTGATGCATAGTATTTTGAATAATTTTACCCTTGAGCCATCTTTAGCCACATTAATACTAATGGAAACATTGACTTTTCTCCAATGATAAATTTTTTGACACTTTTTTTTCTGCAAGCCAATGGATATCTATTGGAAGGTGTTAGTGCCCATTTATTGGCAAAAAACTGCCTTTTTAAAAATAATCCCCCAAGAGGATCTAGTAGCCACCACTCCTATCTTTTCTCTTCTCTCTTCATCCTCTGTGCTCTGATGAAAATCATATATCTATAGAATATATATATGTAATCTCTTAAATTGATTTCACATAAATCAGAAATATATATTTTTCATTAACTATAGGTTATATATATTCTCATCCCTGTCCTATGTTCATAGAATGAGAATGGCTCTTCTTCCACATACTACATTTGCATTTACATTGAATTCATCCATGCTACCTAAAAAAGTCCATTCGCACTAATAGTAATTTAATGGATTCCTTAACAGGATTGATTTGTGTTTTAAAAGAAGATCACTAGAAGACAAATCTTAACACACGTCTCCCCTGAAGGTTTTCAAGTCCTTAGACAAAATGAAAAAACAGAACAACAACAACAAAAAAACCACTACAACCTAGTCTCACAAGCCACAGCCACTTGTATGTAAGTCCAGTCCTATGACCTACTTAAGGCCTGCATCTGTTTGATATCCCATGTCTGGGAGTGCCAGAGCCTATTCAAAGTCTTCAGGTACAAATAAGAAACAACTTGGGTAGAAACTCACATTTTAACAATGAAACTGGACATTAACATTACAAAATATATAGAATAGGAGGTGGAATCCAGGGACTAGCGATACTTCGGAAAGGTCAAACCCATGTTCGAGAACATGTTTGAAAATACGGAGAACAGGAGGTGGAATCCAGGGACTTGAGATGCTTCAGAAAGGTCAAACACATGTTAGATCCTCTGTCTTGGTATGCCATTTCTTGGTATGCCATTTGCTCAGCTTTATGAGTGGGATTAGACTAGAAGACAGCTTTGTGGTACAGAGAGCAAATCCAAGAGGCAAGAGAGATCATGGTGCCTCGGTTCAGCCCGTATTTTCTTTAGGAGTGGGAGTGGGGAGAGGACATTTGCCTGCAGGTTTCTGGAGGTTTTTCTTTTGCCAGTGTGAGAAATTATTTTATGCTATGCCAACTAAAAGTTTGATTCTTGGTGAAAAGTGATTACTTTTTCTTTAATTCTTAAAAGTATTTCATGATTGTTTTGTAAGAATTGTACTTCTTTGGTTACTTTACAGTGGAATTCTTATGGTTGATCAGCCATTCAATTTAAATAAATTATCTTACATTTTATGAAAAAATACTCTTACACTAAGATGTTTCTGGACTGCATCCTACAGCTGAGTAAAGTTGGGTAAAGTAGAAATATTGGCCTATGTTTTAAAGATGAACAAATCATTGGAAATGATTTATATAACTATGTTTTTTCACTTTTCTAAAGTTCTTATTTGTGAATGACTCAGTTAAGTCTCCACCTCTTTTTCAGTGTTGAATTCCTTTCAAGAATGAAGCGAGGAAGAGAAAGGAAGTAGAATGATCAGTTTTGACTTAAGATATTTAACTATGGGCCAGGCACAGTGGCTTATGCCCGTAATCCCAGCACTTTGGGAGGCCAAGACTGGATCACTTGAGCTAGAGTGAGCCTGAGCAACATAGTGAGACCCTGTCTATATAAAATGTATATATATAATATATATAAAATATGTATTATATATTATATATACATATATGAATATATAATTATATATAATATATACATATATAAATATATAATTATATATAATATATACATATATAAATATATGTTATATGAAATATATAATATATGTATATAAATATATAATATATACTTATATACATATATGTATATAATATATACTATATTATATATTATATGTATATAATAAATATATACCATATATTATATGTATATAATAAATATATACCATATATTATATATTATATATATTATATATACATATAGAGAGAGCGAGAGTATATTTAACTATGAATGATCCTTAAAAAGGTTTTCAATGTCATTTTCTCATTTTTTATACATTCTTCAAATCAGAAAATCATGTATATGTAAGTATATATGTCCACATATACATATGATGTTAGAGTTTTTTCCTATATTTATCGAACTTTTTTTTTTTTACAATTACCACATGTACCCTTTTTCACCTTAACACAGCATTCCCCAAACTTTTTGGCACCAGGGACCAGTTTTGTGGAAGAAAATTTTTCACAGACCAGGGATGGCTGGGTGAGTGGGTTGTGGGGATGGGGGTATGTGAAACTCTTCCACTTTACATCATCAGGCATTAGTTATTAGATTCTCATAAGGAGTGTGCAACATATATTCCTCACATGCGCAGTTAACAGTAGGGTTCCTGGTCCTATGAGAATCTAATGCCGCTCTGAGTTCTGACAGGAGGCGGAGCTCAGGTGGTAATGCCACCCAGCATTACCTGTCCCGCAGGTCACCACCTGCTGTGAGGCCCAGTTCCTAACAGGCCATGAGCAGGTAACTGGTCTGCAGCTCCTGGGGTGGGCGACCCCTGCTCTATGGTGTTTTCCACATTGCCAACAAGGACAGACTTTTTTGAATAACTAATAAGTTATTAAATAATCTGTGGGCTTCACTCAAAATGCTTCTATAAAGAAATTTTTAAAAAGACAACTAACAAACAAATAGGCATGTTAGAAACCCATAATATTCCAGTTTTTATTTCTTTGCTAAAACATATAAGTTAAATTCTATTCAAATTATTATCTCTACTGTATATTCTCATAGATTCCAATATGTTTAGGAGAGTAAAAATTGAGTTTAGCAATGTTGTGATTTAGTAATTTGATGAAACAATAGAATCTAATTGCTGTTTAAAAATAGTTTTCTAACATAAACATATGTATACAGAACAGTTTTTACTAATGCATTATGTATTAAATTAACATTTGTATGACATGTTATGTTCTTTAAAATGGGTTCATAAATATGACAAAATTTTAAATTATTTTTAATTTTAAAGGACTTTAGCTGCAAAGATGCATGCATGAATTTGAGCTGATATCATTTGAGTTGATTTTATATAGTATTATTTAAAAATTTTAGGAGCATTGAGTTCTTACAACTTAATATAATTGAAAAAATATATTAATTATTGTACCACTGATAGATTATATATTATTTATGGCTTTGCAATATACTTGAAAACCTAGTACTTCATGTTTTTAATTGTCTTCTTATTTCTCTAAGAAACATTCTACTAAATTATTGAAAACGGAATTGGAAATTTTTAGGGTGCAAATATTCAAATTTCACACTCAAAATTATTGTTTTCCTCCTAAAATTCTAAAAGTTATAATAAGTAAATGTAATAATGTAATAACTAAAATGTGACATTATAATCAATGGGTATTATGATTTGCTCTCTTTAAGGTTCTGAAACGTATTAACTAAAAAAAGTAAATACTTTAAACTTCTGTAGATGTGTATTCTTGCTATTTTGTACAGATGTGAGGGAATGTAATTTATTCTCTATTTTTATAACTAGAGCTATAAAACATATAACCTATGCAAATGCTTGTAACACACATGCAAAAAAAAATAATAGTTTTCCAAGAATGCCTACAATCCCCAGGCTTCTCACAGTTGTTCACTCAGTGAAATATGTTGTGTGTTCTTAGCTTTACGAATGTTTTTCAATTGGTATTTAGAATACATCTGGACCACGATATACTGATGACATTTGGCATGTATTAAGAAATAACAAACCCATTTTTAAACACCCTATTTCCAGAAATAACAGGTTAAATTTGGTGAAACAGTACAGTGAATCTGTATTTTTAACTGGGGGCATATGCTTAGGCAAGGGCATATTGGTTATTATAATGAAAATAGAGAAAGGGATGGGCAAGAAAGGAATAGTACTCCCACTCATCTCCAAATGGGAAAAGAAAGACTATAGATTTGGGAATTAAGTCTTAGAAAAGGAGATTAACTGTGCTAGGCAAAAATTTAATTAATAAATAAAAAGTTGGCCAGTGCAGACTTACTTTAATGAGCTCCAAAATAATTTAAAATGATATCATTCCAGTTTAATAAATATTATTTGTGACTTCTACATTAGATACTATATTTTCATCTGGAAAACTATATTTTTCTACATGATAAGTAATCAAAAACACATATTAGAAATTTTAATTGTATATATTTATCTGTTCAAAATAACTATAAGCTAGAGAATTTAGATATTAAAAAATAATAATGAATTATGTTATAATTATTTTGTGCCAGTTATTACTTTACATTACATTTATTAACTCATTTGATTCTTGTAACTTTACAAACTCCTAGTATTTTCTAAAGTTATTGCTAGCTAGGCATTTTATGTTCAGGAAAGTTTAAAACTTTGTCCAAAATTTCCCAGTTAGAAAGACACTGATTGTGGATTCAAATCAAGGGTCCAGATATTGTGTTCTTGATTTCTTTTTTTTTTTTTAATTTTAAATCTTTAATTTCCGTTTTCACGTATTTTCTTCTTGCTTCCAAAAGGAAAGGAGTGCGTAGCTCTGTTGCCTGTACATCGTCCACAGCCCCTGGGTCGGGGCGGGGTCCCCCGGGCCGCCCGGGGGGTCCACATGCAGCCCCTGGGGGGCCGGCGCGGGGTGAGGTCCGGGGGCCGCCTTATTGCTGAGGTCCGGCCGGTTGGGGCCGCCGCTAGGCGCGCTGGCTGGGCAGCTCCTGGGAGATGAAGCGACGCAGGCGCTCCAGGTACTGGCTGTAGAGCTCGATGTCGTTGTGCCCGGCGCCCTCCACCCACAGCGGCTCCACCGCCTTGGGGCAGCGCTCGTAGAGCGCCAGCCCGTGCGAGAAGTCGATCACCTCGTCCTCCGTGCCGTGGATGATGAGCACGGGCGACGTGATCTAGGACACCTTCTCGATGCTGCGGGAGGGGCGTGGAGCGGGTGAGACTTAGCGCCCGGCCCGGGCCCCGCCCCGCCTCCGTCCCCGCCCCGCCTCCGTCCCCGCCCGGGCCGCTCACTTAGGGAAGGCGTCGAAGCAGTAGGTCGTCTTGGTGTCAGGGAAGGCGACGCGCATGCCCGAGGTGAGCGGCGAGTGCAGCACCACCGCGGCACACTCGTAGCGCGAGGCCAGGTCCACGGTGGGCACCGTGCCGATGCTCTGCCGGTACAGGATGATGCTGTCCGGGCTGATGCCGTACCTGGCAGCGCCGGAGCAGGGTCAGCCGCGGCCTCCGACGCGCGCACACCCTTCCCACCAGCGGGCGTCCCCGGGCCCAGCTCCGGATGCGACCCTCCAGTCTCCCCACTCAGCCAAGTCAGTGGGTCAGGCCCAGGCTCCACACCAGTCCCGAGGGCCACCCCCAGCCCCCAACACCGCGGCGGTGGGCGAAGCCAGCGGCCCCGCCCCGTTCCCTGCGCTGCCGTTCACTGGCGTTTCCTAGCTAGGATCTGCAGGGATCTCGCCTACGGAGTGCCCCTGGGGCGGGGGTAGGGGAGGCCCTGGCGCCTTTCCTCCTCCTGGTCACCCCTAGGTGCACACTGGGAACTGTGTGGCCCCCACATCCTGAATGCTTCACGCCTTCCTGCCCGGGTTAGAAAGCCGTTCCTGGTGCACTGGCCAGGACAGCGGACACTTCCTCCCTGCAGCCCTTGCCCACCCCCTTGGCCATGAGGAATTCAGGCAGCTGTGTCCCCAAATGTCTCCACCCAATTTTGGACTCTCGGAGTCCCCACGCCCAATGAGATGCCAGTGCAACCCAGGTCAGCATCGAGGGTGGTGGCTGCGGAGGTGGTCCTCCCACCAGCACCTTCCCTTGGGAGTGGACAGGTCCTCAGCCACCTCAGCACTACCAGCTCCCACCCAGGGCCACCCCCATCCCCAGGTCATTGGTGTGTGGCCCCTGACCCAGCTGATCCAGCACCAGTTACAAGGCCTCCTCGTGCCCAGTCCCAACCACGCGGGACCCACCTGCCACCCTGCCCATGCCGGGACCCCACAACTCTCCTCCCACAGGCTCTAGGCTCTGATCCCAGGCAGATGCCCTCTTGCAAGGCAGGAGCATGGGCAGGTGTGCATCCCCTCTGCCTGGCATTTGGACTCCACCAGCAGGGCTGTCCCCGTCCCTGGCCTGGAATCCCAGCCTCCTGGCAGCACTCCACAGCTCGCCACTCACCCATGCCCCAAAGGATGCTGCCTGGCTTGTGCCTGTGGTTCCAGCTCTGCCTCAGCCTCCCTGGCCTGCTCCCTGGCAGCCATGGTCAGTAGTGTGCTGAGCCAGCCCAGCCCTGTCACCTGCTACAGGCAGGAGCCCCCAGCTGCCACCTGGATGTCACCACTCAAACGAACAGGACACATCCCCAGTGGAGGCCCTGGGCACGCTCTGGCCTCCCCCTCACAGCTCTGGGCCTAGGTTCCTGCAGGACAAAGTGGCAGCAGGACAGATGGCCGAGCAGACAGAGCTCAGAGGTGGCCATGGCAGGTGTGACTCTGCCAGTGGCCCAGGCAGTAGAGACAGGAGGGGCCAAGGAAGTCGCATGAAGTGGTGATTGGTGTCAGCGTCCCACACTGCTGGGAGGCCCCCAGAGCCAGGGTGGTGCCAGGGGACCAGCTCCCAGGCCCACAGCAGGGACTGCCTGCATATCACCAAGGCAACGATGACCCCACCTCCCTAGGGCCTCTGACTTCTCAGAGCTGTGCCTGGTCCCTGCGGGAGCAGGTCAGACCAGTGGGCTGGGCTGGGCCAGGACGAGACAGCCCCAGTGGATGGCGAGCAGGAAAAGCCACCAGAGGCCCACCTGGGTCTCCTCGTCCAAAGCAGCACTGGCCCGGGCGGTGCTCAAACACCGGTGAAGGGCCCAGGCAAGCGCAGGGCTGGGGACGTGGATGACTAGGAGGGCTGGATCTGGAATCGAGGCTGGCCCAGACCTCGGATGTGTGCTGCGAGTCTGCACCTTACCCTGTAGGCCCTGCCCCAGGATGGCCAAGCTCCGTAGCCACAGGGCCTCATGGGCCAGGCCTCCGGACCTGGATGCAGCAGCCTCGCCTCACTTGGCCCCAAGTGCTGCCTCGGCCGATGGGCTCCCAGCCACACGTGCACAGACCCCCAGACGACCACCCACTCCCTCCCGCCGGGTGGCATCCACGCCCCTGTGACAAGCTCAGCCCCTTCCCATCCTCAGGCCAGGGGTTCCCAGGGAGCCTGGCTCCACAGGCCAGGGTGTGGGAGGACCGCCTGGCCACACCTCAGCCATGTGGAGGAGGCACCTGCACACCCAAGCTCGCCTGTCCCGCTCTCTGGCCCTGTGTATCCACTGTGGCTCCCCTCCTGCAGGGCCGCCCACCTTCCTCCCAGGGAAGCCCGCCCCCCGGCCCCCGGCCTGGTCCCCTCTTGGGTGTGCCCAGGCTGAGCTGCCCCCAGGGTCGCCCTCACCTGGTGCGCAGGGCCTGCCAGGCGGCGTCGATGTCGGCATAGAGGTTCCTCTCGGAAGGCCTGCCCGAGCTGGCATCGTAGCCGGAGTAGTCGTAGGAGAAGATGTTGCAGTGGAGGCGGGAGCCCAGGCCAATGTAGAAGCTGGCACCAGGCACGCAGCGAACATACATGCAGGAGACGCGGTTGCCGCTGGCGCTCTTGGTGGGGAAGACCTCGATGGTGTCCAGCTCGCGCTGGCTGTACTGGAAGTCGGTATGCTCCGTCAGGTGCAGCTTCCTGCGCCCGGGTGCGGTGCGCCCGAGGAGGCCCGCAGGGTCCCCAAGGGGGCGGTCCCGGCCCCACCAGGCCCCGGCTTGGGCTCAGGCACCAGGGTGTAGGTGGCCTCCGGCGGCAGGAAGGCGAGCTTGGCAGCGATGCGGCCGGGGCAGGGCGGGCAGCAGAAGAGGCAGCAGAGCTCACTCAACGACAGCCCGTTCATGGCGGGCGCCGCCTGGGCCGGGCCTCCACCGGGGCCCCCGCCAACAACGCCGCCCGGCCTGGCCCGGCAGGGGAGGGGTGGGGGTGCTCCGAGTCGCGGGCAGAGGGGAGAGCGCCCCCGCAGCTACCGCCCCAGACAGCAGCCCCGTTAGGAGGCCAGGGCCCAGCCCCATCGCGGTCCAAGCCGAGCCCCAGGGAGCCTCGCAACCACAGGTCTCCATGTCGTGCCGTGGGAAGCCCACCCCGGCCCGCGCCCCCGGGCCCCAGGGCCGCGCTCCATGGCTCCCGGCCGCCCGCCCGTGCGTCCGTCGGTCCCTCCGCACCCCTGCCCGGCCTCCTGCACCGCCACCGCCGCAGCTCCTGTGTTCTTGATTTCTAAGAGCTCTTGAGAGTATTTTAAATGAATGCCACCTGTCATAATTTTAAGACTTTTGCTTGACGTTACTAAAGTTACCTCCAGCAGAATGTGATTGGTTATTGCCAGAACAAATTACGCTGTAGATTTTTTGTAAATTCTGATGCAGTTTTCACATGTATTATGTAAAAAAAAAAAAAAGAGCCTTAATTGGTGTTTCTATATTTTACATTCTAAGACATTAATTTTGTTACTCCTTGATGCCTGTGTTTTTTCTTCATTACAGGAAGGAATTCCTGTTTTTGGTATATAAGCCAAAAGAAAACACTGGGTTTAGTACATCAACATATGTGGTTGCATTTTTTTACAAGTTATACAAGGTTTAGCTAATCCTAAAAAGGAAGTTTCACCTTCATAGTACAGTGTTGACACAGTTTATTTATGATCACTCTTTTGTTATGTGCACATGAACATATTTAATTTTCAACTTGGTTCCAAAGTCCCTTGTGTTCTTTTCTGTTTTGTAAAGTGCATTCACAGTTCTTTCTTATTTTTTTGTCATCATGCTTAAGCATATTCTCTTTATGTGCCTTCATCCAGATTGGGATATTGTAGGACAAACAATTTTCTTTATGTCATGGATCTTAATGGGTTGATATCTCATAGGCCTTTTTAGGTCAGTTCACAGTACTGGGCAATGGTACAAGGTCAGTAACTGGGCTTCCATACTCTACTGTTCAGTTGCTCTAAAACCGGACATTTTACTTGAAGCTTCTGTGCTTCAGTTTCTTCACTGCTAATACCACATGAGTATCACAAGAGTTTAATGAGTTAATTCAGGTAACATGCTGATGTCAGTGCTTGACACACAGTTCAGACCCTTTAAAAGTAAACTTTTTGAACAAGTGTTTGGGGGAAGAGTAGTAGAAAAGCACAAAATCAGATATGACTTCTTGGTAGTCTGATGTATATACAAAGACCTTCTTATATAATCAAAGTGTTTGTTGTGATCCTGAAAGGTAAACTATATGAATATTTATTTAAGTAAAAATACAGCTGAAATTGTTAATTTTTCTTTCTTATTAGGACACTCCTAGGAATGTTCAGTTTCTTAGCATTAATAGATTCATAGACAAAAGACTACAACAAATAACACTTGCGTTAAATGCTATGAAAGGATAATCAAAAAAGTTTACCTGAGTAAATTTTTTCTGGTGAATGACTAGTTGAATTAAAAATGAAACAAGAAAACAAAACATATTAACAAAAGAAGGGCAGTTTTACTGGTGTTCAATTTTTCAAAGCCTTCAAGTAGCTATAATTTAATAAAAAGCAATGCAATAGAAAAAAAATCCTGGATTCTTCTGGAATTGTATTTATTCTACGTCACTAACTTGTTGAAAATTATTTGAAATGAAAGTACAGTTATTAGAAATAATTGTATTTCATTTTATAAACACTATATTGTATCTTGATTTCATTAGAATTACATTTACAGGATTTACATTCCTTTCTTTCTTCATTTTTCAAAACAAAGCAGTGTCCTTCAGGCTCCTTTGCTGCTCAGTAACATCAATTAAAAGTTAGAGTCAAATTAACTGAAAAGTTTAGATGGAAAATGAAGCCTTAGAATGTTCTGAAAGCTGATGACTATGAAAGAGTGATTTGTCTGCAGCCAAAATGTCTTTACCCAATGCTACTCTGAACTGAAGGATGTAAGGTAATCAGAGTTTTCCCAATTTAAAAGATCATTTTCAGACGGATAATTAGGATAAAAATTAAAAGAAAGACTACTGAAGAAGTTATTAGGTGATTTCACTCTAAGATAATGTAGAATCAATATAGATTATCTGGATATGCTTGCACTAATTGTTAGAAAGAGAATGTAAATGCAGTTTATTGCCCTGCCATGGAATTATCTGGTTATGTCAGATCTTACATTCAAGCTCAGTGGAATGTTTGATGGTATAATTCTACTGATACTAATTGATCTACTGTTCTAGTCATTTGCTTTTGTGTAGTTTTTCAACAGCAAAAATATAAGCATGTTATTGACCTTTCACAAACACACTGCATATTATTTTACAGTATTGTTTGCAGCAATTACAGTGAAGAGTATATCTTTTTATAAGACAAGTATTACTAATATGAGTATTCTGTAGTGTTAAGTCTTAACCTGGGATCTGGTTATGCTCTCTTGATCTAAAACTTGTAAGTTAAATCTCTCTGCTCTCCCACACACAGTGTGTAATGTGATACAGGAACAGGAAAACTATAGTAAACACTCCTATTTGGAAAGAAAAAGAAAGTTCTGTTTTTCTTTCATATAGGCATTTACAAAAAATACCTGAAGTTTTGTTTATGTTTGCAAAGCAAGCAAGGTTGAGAGGTTGCTTATGAGGTCTAACTGGCTTTGCTCAGGGATTCATCAAGCTTAGTTACCATTTTAATGTATTAAGTAATACTATACTAAGTGCTGTATTAACGTAATAATGTCTTTAATATATTATAATGTGTTACATTATAATACATGTAACATAATGTATTTAATGTATATTCTACAATACTATATTAAATAATACTTTAATAGGTTTTGCTAGCTACCTAGGCAACCCTTAGTCCATTCAAGTTGACATCTAAAATTAACCACCATACTCACTATTGTAGAGACCAAATATCAACCAGTGCTAATACTCAGTGTTCTTACCTACGTTTGATGACACTGGAAATCATTAGGTACACAAATACTTCTGAAGTCAGCTCAGTGCACAGTGTTAACAATATGTCACTGCCACATATCACAGGTTCCCATTCTCCCCGACTGTGATAAAAATTTTCTTGTTACCTTCAAACTGACTCATAGGTGGGTTTGTTAGGGACACACCTTACTTCTCATTACAAATTTCTGTATCAGTCAGATAGTTACTCTTTTTTTTTTTTTTTTGCTAATTTCAGCATAATACATCACAATAATGAAAACTCAAAAAATAAAGAAAAATATATCGTTAATTCTAAAATTGAAAGGTATAAACTATTAATTTGTAGTTGTCTGCAATTCATTTAGCTCCTTTTTATTTAAATAAAACATTACTTTTTCCATTTGTGAACTTGCTATGAACATTTTTATGCCAGTATTTTTCTACCATACAATTGCTTTACCAATATTATGCAGTTTCATTATATCTATTGGTACAGCCTGGTATCAGGCTGAATTAGATTTACTGTTATAGTGTGTTGTTACTGTTTACAATTATTTAAAAGTGATTTTTCCGTCAATACTTGTAACTTGATTTTTGTCTTAGAAACTGGATTTTCTGCTTTTCTTTCAGAATGTGGAAAATTCAGAAGTAATAGAGCAACTTTGCTGCATGGTAGTGGTAGGCTGCAGCAGAGAAACTGTTGTCACACTTAGATACAGCATTCTGACTCCAGATTTTAATTGTCATTGGTGACTCTACCTTAATCTTGGTACCCTGTCTCAATGTGGCATTGATTTTGCAGTATTACAAATGCAGCTTTCAGAAATATATTTATATATTTTTGTGCGCATTCTGAATTATTTTCTTTTTTGTGTGTGACAGGGTCTTGCTCTGTCACCCAGGCTGCAGCGATGGAATGATCATAGCTCACTGCAGACTTGACCTCCTGTGCTCAAATGATACTCCTGCTCAAATCAGCCTAGGTTCATATGAGTCTCCCAAGCAGCAAGGATTCAGGTACCAGCCACTATGACTAGCATTTTTTTTTTTTTTTTGGTAGAGACAGAATCCCGCTATGTTGCCCAGGCTGATCTGGAACTCCTAGGCTCAACTGACATTATTGCCTCAGCCTACCAGAGTGCTGGTATTATAGGTGTAAGCCACCATTATTTTCTTATGATAAATTTCCAGTGGTAGAAAGCTATTGGGTTAAACTATACATTGAAGAGAGGGTGCTAGTACACAATATATATATTTGCATTTTATTGCAGTAATATAAATTATCCCATTTATTGCTGTTTTACACTGCTTCTTAAAGGTGAGGTGAGACTGAATTGAAAACTATGATTATTTTTCATTAATGTACCTTCATTTCTGAAATGATTTCATGACATTTTGCAGTGTTTCCAATGAGTAAGTGATTTTTATTGTTTACTACTGTTTTTCACAATTTGACAGCTTCAAGTTTTGATGGCTTATTTTCGTATATGTAAGTTATATTCTTTAAATGTTGATGTCAAATCTATTAAACTTTTTTATTATAGTCACTGTTCTTAATTATTTGCATACAGTTGTTACACTGTACAATCATTTGAATATTCACGTTATGATTTGTGTTTCCTTTTTTTTTTTTTTTTTTGAGACGGAGTCTCGCTCTGTCGCCCCAGGCTGGAGTGCAGTGGCGTGATCTTGGTTCACTGCAAGTTCCGCCTCCCGGGTTCATGCCATTCTCTGGCCTCAGCCTCCCAAGTAGCTGGGACTACAGGCACCTGCTACTGCTCCCGGCTAAGTTTTTTTGTATTTTTAGTAGAGACGGGGATTCACCGTGGTCTCGATCTCCTGACCTCGTGATCCGCCTGCCTCAGCCTCCCAAAATGCTGGGATTACAGGCGTAAGCCACCACGCCCGGCCATTATGATTTGTATTTTTAAGTCTTGTTTAACTATTTCCAGCTGAGTTCATTATTTTAAAGGACATTGTCAGAAGTTTGATTTTTTGCAATTTTCCAAATAACCCAATATCTAATGACCATTTATTGAATTATTACATTATAAAATTAAAATGTGACTCCAGATTAATGTTGAGAGCTTCCTATAAAAGGAAAATTATGTTCTTAGAAATAAACAATTTGTTGTTATTTGTGTAGAACATCTTGTGTATTTTAATCAGGTGGTATTAAAGGGTAAACTGTCACCCTCCTACCAAGTAAACCTTGGTTGGCCAGTTATGACTATATGTGAATGACTGGTATACTAGTTATTAATCAAACTAGACAAAAAGCTATAGAAATAAACCAAAGACTTTGGTTCATTTAAACACCTATGGTTTGAAGTCGATCATACCCAAATAGTGACCAAACCACTTTAACAAACTGTATATTATCAAACTTTTAACATCAATAGAAAATTTTATTTAAATTTAGATCATAGTAATGTTACAATTTTATGTGGAAATAACCTTCAGAAGTAAGGGTATTTTGAATTATTTTACTGTAGGTCATTTCTGTTATAATAGAAAATACTATTAAAATGAAATGGTCTAATAAAAATATTTCTAAGTCTTGCTTTATCCCTCATGCGCTTAAAACAGTAGAACAAATTCCTTCTCATCAACTACTTAGATAGCTACTTGGTTTTCTTTCCAATAAGATAGAACTTTTTATGTTTCACTGTGAAACCAAAATAACTGCTATAAAGTTAATGAATAGGTTTGAATTCATTACAGTCTCGGAAAAAGAAGCACTTTCTCTGTCTACCTCTGTTTTAGAGATGAGTATGAGAAAACGAACATCTCTGTTTTAGGTAACGTCAGTTCAGAGACTGAGTTTACTACACGCTTCCTGACTGTTAAGTGATATATATCTCACTTTTCAAACCTAAAATAAAATTTAAATCATAAAAAGGAGTAAAAGAGTTTTGTTACTTTTTTTTTTTTTTTTTTTTGAGATGGAGTTTCGCTCTGTTGCCCAGGCTAGAGTGCAGTGACGCGATCTCGGCTCACTGCAAGCTCGGCCTCTCAGGTTCAAGCCATTCTCCTGCCTCAGCCTCCTGAGTAGTTGGGACTACAGGCGCCTGCCGCCACGCCCGGCTAATTTTTTGTATTTTTTTAGTAGAGATGGGGTTTCACCGTGTTAGCCAGGATGGTCTTGATCTCCTGACCTTGTGTTCCGCCTGCCTCAGCATCTCAAAGTGCTGGGATTACAGACGTTACTTTTCTTTTAGTTTTAAATGGCTAAAAATATATTTAGTAATTGAAAGTTGCCTTAACACTTGTCCTATGAATGATTTGGATCTTTTCTATTTTGCTTTGAGCTACGTGGCTAGGACTTTCTAGAGAGTTAAGAAATAATAATACTAGGGACTTAGATGAACTTTCACAGACTCATTTAATACACTTTGTAGGACATTTGCAAATTCATAAGAGCAGGAAAAGAAATAGCATTCATTGTCACCATTATCACAAATAATTATCCTTATGTGTGAACTTTGCATTGCATCTTTTTGTTTTCTCGATGTCCCTTCAGTGAAAGGGAAGGAGGATGTTGGTGTTTAATACAGAGCATACCTGTTTGAAAGTTGAATGTCTAGAAGTGAATAATCAGTTCACACATTATAAGGTGAGGCATGTATTCAAAAGTCTAAAAGTGGTGTATATCCCAATTGTGTTTTTTGTTGGTGCTGCCTCTATGGAGTGCAGGTAACCTGATGTGAATATTCACAGATAACTAGGAAGCCTGGATCACAAGGTGGCACATAAAGAAAGGCTATAGTGTCACCAGTTACCTTCAAAGGATTTGGAGAATTGAGCCAAGAATAGTAACTTTTATTTGGGGCTTAAATAGAAGGTAAAGAGAAGGTGGTTAGGGCACATGAGGCAAAACTAATAATGGATTACTGACTGGACATGGTCGGGAGATTCCACAGTTAAGATCTGGGGAGTGCTTGCAGTGAGCCAAGATGGTGCCACTGCACTCCAGCCTGGGTGACAGAGAGAGACTCCATCTCAAAAAAAAGAAAAAGAAAAAGAAAAGATCTGGGGAGTAAATATGTATCGGAGATATTTTCTGACAGGAAGATAGTATCCTTATAGGGTAGATGGAGAATATCATCCGATAGCTTATTTAATAATAAAGTTTGTATATTGTTTCAATTATAAAGTGTGAATATTTGAAGTTTATAAAATGTTATGGGAACCATGCAGATACATTAAACGCAGTGTTCAGAACTTGTAGGAATTACACTAGGTTGCTAAGACATAGATTAGTAGAGCTGGGATGAGACCTCAATAATTTTTATGTCTTTTGAAAGATTTTTTGCCATTGGCACCATTCTGCTATTCTGCATAGTACAGTCTAAAACATATACTTATGTTTTGCTACTTTGAGAGATTTTGCTTTAATAATCTCAATAAAAACTGCGTATATATGATTCACTTTTTAAAAAACTCTGTATTTTGAAGTTTTTAGGTTTGCCATAAAATTTCAGTGTTACAGGAGTTATAAGAATTTTCTTAAAATATCTGATTTTCTTCTCCTAATAATATCTTACACAACTGACTAAAAATATGAGATTATATGCAGCAATCCCCCCATTCCTGTCTTCTTATGACATATTCTTTTGGACATGCCATATTCAATTTTAATTTTCAGAAAACACTTTGGCATAATAGAAAATGAAAAATCTAAATTCAGAGTCTTGGATTCTTGGCTCAGCTCCATCTTAACTTTTTATTTGATAATTAAGTGTTGTGTGTATTTATGGCATACAATATGATGTTTAGATACATGTATACATTGTGGAACATTTATATCAGGTGAATTAACATATCTTTCAACTCACATATTTATCACTACTTTATGGTGAGAGTGTTTAAAATATACTCCACAATTTTGAAATATATAATATATTATTATTAACTATAATTACCCTATTGCTCAATAGATCACTAGGACTTATTTCTCCTATCTAGCTGAACCTCGTACCATTTAACAAATTAATCTTCTTTTTTCTGTCTATCCTGCCTCCTCCAGCCTCTGGTAACCATCATTCTACTCTTTACTTCTATGAGTCTGACATTTTTTACTTTTCACATGTAAGTGAGATCATGATGTATTTGTCTTTCTGTACCTGACTTATTTCACTTTACATAATATCCTCTAGATTTTTCTTTGTTTTCACAAATGACAGAATTTTATCCTTTTAAAGGCTGAATAGTATTCCATTGTGTGTATACACTATAAATATGTATATATAATTTTCTTTATCCATTCATCCCTTGATATGCACTTAGATTGTTTCCATATCTTGGCTATTGTGAATAATGCTGCAGTGAACATGGAAGTGTTGATATCTAGTCAACATACTGATTTTAACTCGTTTGAGTATACACCCAGAAGTAGAATTTCTGGGCCATATAGTAATTATATATTTTTATTTTTGAGAAACCTCCCTTCTGTTTTCCATAATGGCTGCACTAATTTACATTCCCACCAACATTTTACAAGTGTTCTCTTTTCTTCAAATCCTCACCAACACTTGTCTTTCATTTTTTTTGTAATAGCCATTCTAAAATGAGTAAGGTGAAATCTCATTTTAATTTGCATTTTCCTAATCAATGGTGATATTGAACACCTTTTAATATCTCTTCTGGCCATTTGTATGTCTTCTTTGGAGAAATATCTGTCCAGGTCTTTTGCCCATTTTTTAACAGGGTTATTTGTTTTATTGTTACTGAGTTGAATTTGTTGTATATTTTGTGTATTAGCTCTTTATCAGACATATGATTTGCAAATATTTTTTCTCAGTCCGTGAGTTGTCACTCTTCACTCTGTTAATTGTTTTCTTTGCTGTATAGAAGCTCTTTAGTTTGATGTAATCTCATTTGTTGTATGTGCGTTTTTGGTCATATCTAAGAAATCATTGCCCAAACCAATATCATGGATCGGCTTTGTCTTTTTATTAGCTGTTTAATCTCAGCTTCAGTTTCAAATTTAAGAAATGAAAAGCCTAACTGAAATGATCTCAAATATTTCTTACAACACTGAGATTCTTTGATTCAACAAATGTACTTTTTTATTAAAGAATATCTTCTCTTTTGGTAACTTGCATGAAGTGCTTAGGTATAAGTTCACTCTTTTTAGCTGAAATGTCATATTGAGTTTAGGTGTCTTAGACAACCACCCAATTGTTCCGTTTAGATGTTATAGGAGAGATTTCTGGCAAACTGTTTAGTATGGGGTTTGTTATTACCCCGTGAACACTCAGATTGTTAGACATTTTGATGACAGGCAAGTTTGACTCTGGGGGTATAATTGAATTTTCAGTGAGCACTGTCAAAATAAATGTCTAACCACACCCTACAATAGATTAACTGTTAAATTTTCAACAGTATCTTTTAAGCTTTTAAGTAAATAAAACAGAAGTCTTAGTCCTTTATTTAAATAGCTTTAAGATTTCAAATAGCTTGCTTTATTTAATGAAAGCTTCAACAACTTGAAATGACTCGTAATTATCCTTTACCATCTACCAAAATGTTATTTCTTCCAGCTTTAACACTCTCTGTAACCGAGATTGGAAGTTAAATTGAGATAAAAACCAGTGAGCCAAAGCGAAGCTAAGTCTTTAGAATAGCTTTTTCTCCTTTCTGTCAGCTGAACATGTGAATAATCACATGGAAACTAAGGGTATATAACCTGTATCACAGTGAATAATGAATGGTTTAGTTCCAATTAAGAAGTTTCCTTTTAAAAAAGAACAAATTTAATGGCCCTTATGCATAAATTAAAGTTAGTTTGAAAACATGGTGTGTTAAACAAATTTAAACTGCTTTTCCTTCACTTCTGAGGAGTTCCTGATATTGACTGGCCTTCCAGCTTTTAGAGCTTGCAGCTTCCTCTTGATGTAGTCAGCCATGAAATCTGCAACTGATGGATTCAAGATAGGATTTTGTTGTTGTTGTTGTGCTTGGTCTTATAATTACCTAAGATATATCTCTGGAAGTTTTCAGTATAAAATCCACAAGGTTTGAAGAACTCATTCTATTTTGCCTATTATTTAAAAATACCCTGGGTACCAAACATGCTCAAGTGACTGAATGGTGTCCAGGACAAAACCCAGCAGGTGTCCAGGCAATGGCCTCCCACCAGAGATCTTGTCAGCATGCCGTTCTGAGCACTGTGTGCCTTAGTGTCTTTCTGTCCTGGTTTCAATGAAGTCGCCTATTTCTGTAAGAGTGAATCCGTCATGTTTTATTTTTTTATTTTTTTGAGACAGGGTCTTGCTCTGTTGCCCAGGGTGGAGTGCAGTGGCACGATCTTGGCTCACCTGCCACCTCTGCCTCCTGGGATCAAGCGATCCTCTCAGCTCAGCCTCCCAAATAGCTGGGACTACAGACATGCATGATCATGCCCAGATAATTTTTTTGAGAGATGAGGCCTCACTATATTTCTGAGGCTGGTCTTGAACTCCTGGGCTCAAGCAATCCTCCTGCCTCAGCCTCCCAAAGTGCTGGGAGTGAGGCCAGGTGTGAGACACCACATCCAGCCAAATCCATTGTTTTTACCCTCAGGGCTCTGAGGCCTCAGGAGACATGAGTTATTCAGGCCAGACAGTGAGTGAGGCTAGAATTCATAGTGGATTTTCAATACTTCACTAAGAAGCTTGGATTTCATTCAAGAGGTTGTGAAGAACAACTGAAGAGAACTGTATTAATATTAATCTGAAGGTCTGCGCAAAGAAGTCAGAAAAGGAAAAGCTCCCAGAAAGAGAGACCAATTAAAAGATTATTACCATAGACTGTGGGAGAAAGCATAAGGAGCCAAAATAGGACAGTAGCATCGAGAATGGAAACGAACGGACAGATGTGAAGGAGACACTTGGTGACAGAACTATCCCAGGATATATAAAGCATCTGCTTGCTCAAATCTTCAATGTGTTCCAGTCCACATCCTAGAGCTTTAGAAACTATGCAAACTAGCACCTTACCATATGCAATCCAACAAGCTCGTAGACTTTTAGTTGTTGTTTGCATTTACTGTTTTAAACAATTACATGATTTTTCCCAACTAAAGTTCTAATTACTTTATTGAACACTACATTGAATAATGATTCTCTAGCACAAATATCTTAGTTGATTTTTTATTCCCAGATCATTTTACATTTGTAGATTTTAAACTATTTTACCACCTGCTGACCCATTATAAATCAAAAAAAATTTTTTTTTTTTGAGACAAAGTTCCACTCTTGTTGCCCAGGCTGGAGTGCAATGGAACAATCTGGGCTCACCGCAACCTCTGCCTCCTGGGTTCAAGCGATTCTCCCGCTTCAGCCTCCCGAGTAGCTGGGATTACAGGCATGCATCACCATGCCTGGCTAATTTTGTATTTTTAATAGAGACAAGGTTTCACTATGTTGGCCAGGCTGGTTTCCAACTCCTGACCTCAGGCAGTCCACCCGCCTCAGCCTCCCAAAGTGCTGGGATTACAGTCGTGTGCCACTGCGCCCAGCCTCAAATAAATAACTAATAAAGTAAATAATAAATGGCAAATATGATACTTAACAAAATGTCATGCTTTCTGTACTGTTGCTAACAATGTCCATTTCTCACATCAGTGCTTTATTTTCCTTTCATATTGGTTTAAAATTTTATTCTCACCAGGTGCAGTGGCTCACACCCGTAATCCCAGCACTTTGAGAGGCTGAAGTGGGAGGATTGCCTGACCTCAGGATTTCAAGACCAGCCTGGGAAACATAGAGAGACTTTGTACTAAAAATTTAAAAAAATTAGCCAAGCATGGTGGTGCTGTACCTGTAGTCTCTGCTACATGGGAGGCTGAGACAAGAGGATTGATTAAGTCTGGGAAGTTGAGGCTGCAGTGAGCCATGATCACGCCACTGGGCTCCAGCCTGGGCAACGGAGCAAGACCTTGTCTCAAAAAAGAAAAAATAAATAAAAAAGAGTATCCTCTATATGAAAAGAAGAAAAAGAAAAGAAAAAAAATCAGGAGAAAAAGAAATATGACAAATAAATCTATTAACAAATTACAACCAGATCACTAGGATTTAAGACAAATATACTAACATTAATGACTTGTTAATGCCATTATTTGCCACTATGTTCCTGATTTAAGAATTTGGGGCCTGGCGCAGTGACTCACGCCTGTAATCCCAGCACTTTGGGAGGCCGAGGCAGATGGATCACCTGAGGTCAGGAGTTCGACATCAGCCTGACCAACATGGAGAAACCCCATCTCTACTAAAAATACAAAATTAGCGAGACGTGGTGGTGCATGCCTGTAATCCCAGCTACTTAGGAGGCTGAGGCGGGAGAATCACTTCAACCCAGGAGGCGGAGGTTGCGGTGAGCCGAGATCACACTAATGCATTCCAGCCGGGGCAACAAGAGCGAAACTCCATCTCAAAAAAAAAAAAAAAAAAAAAAAAGAATTTGGATAGTAAATTGAGAACTAAGAATTAGGAACACTTAAAAATGGAGGTAGAAATGTGCAAACCTGGGTGATTTGTTCAGTTTTCCGGGAATGAAATTATTTAATACTATTATGTGATATCATGCTTGCTTTTTCCTCATTAATTAACTGAGGCTAATGACACCTACCTCCCAATGTTATTGTGAAGATTAAACCAAATAACTTTCTTTTTTTCTTTTTGAGATGGAGTTTTGCTCTTGTTGCCCAGGCTGGAGTACAATGGCGTAGTCTCGGCTCACTGCAACCTCCGCCTCCCAGGTTCAGGTGATTCTCCTGCCTCAGCCTCCTGAGTAGCTGGGATTACACGTGCCTGCCACAAAGCCCGGCTAATTTTTTGTATTTTTAGTAGAGACAGGGTTTCACCATGTTGGCCAGGCTGGTCTCGAACTCCTGGCCTCAGGTGATCCACCCACCTACGCCTCCCAAAGTGCTGGGATTACAGGCATGAGCCACTGTACCTGGCCAATTATCTCTTAGAGTCTTTCACATAACTGCAACATGATGGTGGTTGGAAAAAGAGTCATCCAAAGCTCAACTAGAACGCACGTCCGAGGTGGCTTCTTCATTCATGTTGTCTTGTGTCTTAGTAGATGGAATAGCTACAAACTAGCCAGGAAACAATCTCTGTCACTCTCCATGCAGCCTCTCTACAGGACTCACTTGGGCTTCCTCACACTATGATGCCTTCATGACACTTGGACCTCTGACACAGGGGGCTGCATTCCCCCAGAACACCCATTTCAAGAGCAAGTATTCCAAGAGGTTGGAAACAGAAGCTGTCAGTCCTTCTAAAGTCTGGAACTACCACAAGGTTACTTTTGCTGCATTCTATTGGGTAAGCAGACACTGGGCCACACAGATTCAAAGGGAGGGGAAATAAACTCTTTGGGGAGAATGATAAAGATTTTTGCAGCCATTTTAAATTCATTACAATGACTATGAAACATTTCCTAGGTATATTAAGTGGAAAAAAAAAAGGAGGTGAAAGAATGTATGTTTCGCTGAGCACGGTGGCTCATGCCTGTAATACTAGCACTTTAGGAGGCCAAGGCAGGTGGATCGCTTGAGGTCAGGAGTTCAAGACCAGCCTGGCCAATATGGTGAAGCCCCGTCTCTACTGAAGATACAAAAATTAGCCAGCAGTGGCTCACACCTCTAATCCCAGCACTTGGGGAGGCCGAAGTGGGTGGATCACCTGAGGTCAGAAGTTCGAGACCAGCCTGGCCAACATGGTGAAACCCTGTCTCAACTAAAAATACAAAAATTAGCCAGGCGTGGTGATAGGCGTCTGTAATTCCAGCTACTCGGGAGGCTGAGGCAGGAGAATCACTTGAATCCGGGAGGCAGAGGTTGCAGTGATCTAAGATTGCACCACTGCACTCCAGCCTGGGCAACAAGACCAAAACTCCATCTCAAAAAAAAAAAAAAAAAATTAGCTGGGCGTGATGGTGCACACTTATGATTCCAGCTACTGGGGAGGCTAAGGTGGGGGTATCGCTTGAACCCAGGAGGAGGAGGTTGCAGTGAGCTGAGACTGTACCACTGCACTCCAGCCTGGGCAACAGAGTGATACTCCATCTGAAAAAAAAAATTGTATTTAGTATGGTATATTTTCATTAAAAAAAAAGAGAGAGGTTTTTGTTTTTTTTTTTGTTTTGTTTTGTTTTTTTAAGATACAGAATCTCTCTTTGTTGCCCAGGCTGGAATGCAGTGGTGTGATCAGAGCTCACTGCAGCCTTGAACTCCTGGGCTCAAATAATCTTCCCACTTCAGTCCCTCCAATATCTGGGACTGCAGGCACAAGCCACCACACCCGTCTAATTTTTTAAAAATTTCTTGTAGAGGCAGGATCTCACTAGTTGCCTAGGCTGGTCTTGAACTCCTCGCCTCAAGGTCTTGAACTCCTCGCCTCAAGTGATCCTCCCGCCTCAGCCTCCCAAAGTGCTAGGATTACAAGCATGAACCACACACCAGGCCAAAGGAGACTATTTTATTTAATTAATTTATTTTATTATTATTATTATTTTTTTCTTGAGACAGAGTCTTGCTCTCTTGCCAGGTTGGAGTGCAGTGGCATGATCTTGGTTCACTGCAACCTCCGCCTCCCAGGTTCAAGCCATTCTTCTGCCTCAGCTTCCCGAGTAGTTGGGACTGCAGGTGCACGCCACCACGCCAAGCTAATTTTTTTGTGTTTTAGTAGAGACAGGGTTTTCATCATGTTGGCCAGGATGGTCTCTATCTCCTGACCTCGTGATCTGCCCGCCTCGGCCTCCCAAAGTGCTGGGATTACAGGCATGAGCCACCATGCCTGGCCGATACTATCTTAAAACGTGTTAGTATATGCTCAGATAATATCAGCAATGATACATGTGAAGCTGGCGTTTTTAGGAAGGGGAATTAGATGACTGGGTGACAAAGATGGGAGGTGGAAACTTTCTATTGTATACTCTTTTTTATATGTCTTTCACTTTATATCATGTGCATCTATTACCTGTTCAAATTCGACATCAATTTTTATAGAGACGTAACATTTGCCACAATTTATGTCACAAATGAAATAAAAATATTGCTTGTGGTGGATAATCTGACAATGCTTAACATGATCAATTAAAGAAATATCAGTTTGTTACCAGCTTTGTAGCTTCTTGATCTTCAGTGTGAAAAGCCTGTATAAAAGATCACTCTGTTAAAATGGAGCCAGTGGTCAGAGCGGCTACAATTGCATAATAGAACATAAAACACAAACAGACACCAGCTCTTCAAGGAGGAACCACAGGGCTAATTTCCACATTCTTTACATTTCTTCGTTAGCATAATAGACAAATATTTAAACAATTCTTGCTCTAACAGGCACATGATTTTTCATTAGAAATCGCTGCAAAATGGCTAGGCGCGGTGGCTTACGCCTGTAATCCCAGCACTTTGAGCGGCCGAGGCGGGCAGATCACAAACTCAGGAGTTGGAGACCAGCCTGGCCAATATGGTGAAACCCTGTCTCTACTAAAAATACAAAAATTAGCCGGACCTGGTGGC
This sequence comes from Homo sapiens, assembly GCF_000001405.40. Lineage (NCBI taxonomy): Eukaryota > Metazoa > Chordata > Mammalia > Primates > Hominidae > Homo > Homo sapiens. Next base: position 20,825,476 of record NC_000017.11, on the reverse strand, counting down.
AGGCACCTGTAGTCCCAGCTACTCGGGAGGCTGAGGCAGGAGAATCACTTGAACCCAGGGGGCAGAGGTTGCAGTGAGCCAAGATCGCACCCCTGCACTGCAGCCTGGGTGACAGAGCAAGACCCCGTCTCAAAAAAAAAAGAAAGAAAGAAAGAAAAAGGAAATGGTTGCAAAACTTCGTGTTTAACTATTAACTCAGATTTGATTAAGAGGAAAGAAAGGAAGAGAGAGGGAAGAAGAAAGTTTTGTTTCTATCTGTGAAGTATTTTAATGAAAATACTAGAGCTACAAACTAGATGTTTTACTTGGTGTGACTGTGAATGGTTTCTTAATTTTGAGCAACAGTAAGGCTTATTTGCAAATTATTGGCATCTCAGCTAGTATTACTAATTTTGGACACATTTAAAAAACAAGTATTAAGAGTCATTTTCCAGAAATTGTCAGATAACTACAACAGGAGAGTAATGAGACTGAACTGATTACAAAAAATGCTCATTTTCAACAACTGCACTTTGGGCCCGTCTGATAGTCTTCCTGTTAATGATGAATAGTTTAATTTCTTTTTCAAATAAATTGAGAGATCGAATTCTTTGTGACCTTTTTTTTTCTGAAATGCAATAAAAATGTCATGTTAAAATACAGGATTGCCAAGATTGATACTAGCTTTTGAAAGGATACCAGTAACATTTTAGTTGGTAAGATTTCTTTTTATATATAGAAAATACTCCTGCTATTCTTAAGAAGTATTTTAAAGATCCCAGGACAGAATTTTGATTGTAGCTTTTATACAATGTTGCCATTATTTTCCATGATTCTATTGCCAAAAAGGAAGGTATAGCATATGAGTACTATAAGCAGCCTGTGAATATCTTTGCTTGCAACAGAATTTAGAAGTAATGTGTGCCACTTAAAGGGTACTGTGAAAGAAAATTGCAATGTTTTAAGGCAAAATGGGTCCACTGAAATAAGAAAGCTTTAAGTTAAATGGGAAAATAAATAATGAAAGCCTCTCTTAATTTGCCATGATTCAGTATGGATAAGAAGTTAAATGTAGTAGACATATGTTGTGTTTTTCTGGCTGTCCAGCATTCTCCCCTTCCCCCTTCCTATCAGCAGCTCAATCTTCCCTTGGAAAGAATTTCCTGTTGTATGTTTTGTTAATGCATGGGCTATCCCTGGAACACAACTCCCAATGCTCATGCCCAATACAGAAGCAGAGGGCTAGGTCCTTCCTCCAGCTGACCTTTGGTGCCCCTAAGGAGGAGACACATGACCCAATTTGAGCAATAAACTGCTCCCTACCAGGATTTTGCATCTTGAGTGAGTGAACCAGACTGGGGCCACCTGGGAGTCAGATTGCTCCCAGCAGCAGGAGCGTGGTACTGAGGCTGGGCAGTCTCTGCTGCCTCATCTCCATGGCGCCCCTGTATCCAACTGTATTCAAAGCTCTCTAGCCTTCTGTCATTTTGGTTAGTCTCTGATGCCTACCTGTGTTATTGAGATACGGGTTCTGTTGCATGTAACAGAAACCAAAAATAATGGATACTTAAGGCACAAGTTTATTTCTCTTTCACATAAAAGTTTGAACATAGGCATTTTAGGATGCTGTGGTTGATCTGGAACCCAGAATACTCTGTCTGCTTTGCCATCCCCAAGGTATGGACTTCCTCATGGTCCAAGATGGAGCTGCAGCCATCACATAAGTAATGGGAAAAAGGAAGAAGTATATACCTTCACCCTTTAAGGATAAGTTTAGGCTGGGTGCAGTGGCTGTCGCCTATAATCTCAGCACTTTGGGAAGCCGAGGTAGGTGGATTACTTGAGCTCAGGAATTCAAGAGCAATCTGGGCAACATGGTGAAACCCCATCTCTACTAAAAATACAAAAATCATCCAGGTGTGGTGGCACACACCTGTAACCCAGCTACTTGGAAGGCTAAGGCAGGAGAATCACTTGAACCTGGGAGGCAGAGGTTGCAGTGAGACAAGATCACACCATGTCACTCCAGCCTGGGCGACAGAATGAGACTCTTATCTCAAAAAAAAAAAAAAAATAGCCAGGCATGGTGGCACGCACTTGTAGTCCCAGCTACTTAGGAGGCTGAGGTGTGAGGATCGCTTGAGCTACAGGGTGGGGCAGAGGTTGCAGTCAGCTGAGACTGTGCCTCTGCACTCCAGCCTGGATGATGGAGTGAGACCCTGTCTCAAAAACAAAAAAAAGGATAAGTGTGGGAAGTTGCACACATTACTTCTGTTTATATCCCACTGGCCAGAACTTAGTCACATGGCTAGACCTAGCTGCAAGGGAGGCTGGGGAAAGTGGTCTTATGTGCCAAGGGTTCTTACTGGAACATTTCTACTCTTTCCTGAGTAAAAAGGACAGAATAGAAATTAAATAACAGCTAGCACTCTCTCACAGACCTTTCATAAATACTTCTTAAGACAGCCAGAGATGGCTTCTGTTACTTCCAACCAAGAATCATGTCTGATTCAGTGAAAACACCCTAAATAGAATGACTCTTAGAGAGGCAGTATAATGGAGCAGTCTCTGGGATCACAATGCGCCCCAGAAACTGGGGCCGGGTGTGGTGGTTCACACCTGTAATCCCAACATTATTGGAGGCCAACGCAGGGGGATTCCCTTGAGCCCAGGAGCTCAAGGCTGCAGTGAACTATGATTGCCCCACTGCACTCACTCCAGCCTGGATAACAGAGCAAGACCTGGTCTCAAACAAAAAAAAAAAAGGAAAGAAAGAAAAGAAAAGAAACTGGAACTCATCCTTATCTTTTTTTTTCCTTGCATGTTCAATCAACGACCCAATCCTCTTTTTTTTTTTTTTTTTTTTGAGACGGAGTCTCTCTCTGTCTCCCAGGTTGGAGTGCAGTGGTGCAATCTTGGCTCACTGCAAGCTCCGCCTCCCGAGTTCACGCCATTCTCCTGCCTCAGCCTCCCAGGTAGCTGAGACCACAGGCGCCCGCCACCATGCTCGGCCAATTTTTTGTATTTTTAGTAGAGACGGGGTTTCACCATGTTAGCCAGGATGGTCTCGATCTCCTGACCTCATGATCCGCCCTCCCCAGCCTCCCAAAGTGCTGGGAAATCCTCTTTATTCTATCCTTTGATAATTCACATTTCCACCCCTTTCACTTCATTGTCTTAAATTAAGCCTTTGCCATTCATTCCTCCCCACCCCACCCCTCCCATTCTACTACTCGCCTGTAGAGAGCTAAAATCTAAATCCGCACAATGCTTTTTTAGTCTCCCTTCATAATGCTTCCATTAATTCTTAAGGATTCAATCCGAACTCTCTTGTGTGAAATTCAAGGCCCTTCACTACGTGGCCCTTTTAGTCTCATCTCTCGACATTCCCGTTGCCCATACTTGTGTGCCTATCACCTGGCATATTTCCCCATCTCTCTGACAGGCCTGCTGTGATAAGAACCCATCCTTGCTAACATGAAATATTCAGGTTTTCTGGCGCTACCAGTGGTTCAGTGTGGTAGGGAAGGAGAATGCAGGGTAGAATGATGTCCAGACAGATAAGAGACGAGACTGCCTCACTTTTAAGGCGTATTTTATTTATTTAATTTTTTAAATTTCTGTATGTTTTGAGACAGAGTGTCACTATCACCCAGGCTGGAGTGCAGTGATGCAATCTCAGCTCACTGCAACCTCCACCTTCCAGGTTCAAGCGGTTCTCCTGCCTCAGCCTCCCAAGTAGCTGGGATTACAGGCACCCACGACCACGCCCAGCTAATTTTTGTATTTTTAGTAGAGACAGGGTCTGGCCATGTTGGCCAGGCTGGTCTCGAACTCCTGGCCTCAAGTGATCTGCCCACCTCGGCCTCCCAAAGTGCTAGGATTACAGGCGTGAGCCATCGTGCCCGCCCTTTAAGGGGCATTTTATGAATGAGAGATGCACAGTGACCAGAGTATTATTCATGCTCATTTCTACACTGAGTACTAAATACTGTGCCAGATACCAACAACAATTAAACACCAGGAAAATGACAGGTCACTTGAAATCTTGGAGACAACCGTGCATTATCATGTGCTCTGGTCTACATACATTTCAACATTCTTTTCTTTTTTCAACTTTTATTTTGAATACCAGGGGAACATGTGCAGGTTTGTTACCTTGGTATATTGTGTGATGCTGAGGTTTGGGGTATGATTGATCCCATCACCCATATAATGAACATAGTATCCTATAGGTAGTTTTTCAGCTCCTGCCCTGCTCCCTCCCACCACCCAACAGTCTCCAGTGTCTATTGTTTCCATTTATTTATTTATTTATTTAATGTATTTATTTGAGACAGAGTCTCTTCACCCAGGCTAGAGTGCAGTGGTGCGATCTTGGCTCACTGCAACCTCCACCTCCCTGGTTCAAGCAATTCTCGTGCCTCAGCCACCCGAGTAGCTGGGGCTACAGGCACACATCACCACCCCTGGCTAATTTTTGTATTTTTTGTAGAGACGGTGTTTCACCATGTTGGCCAGGCTGGTCTTGAACTCCTGACCTCAGGTGATCTGACCACCTCGGCCTCCCAAAGTGTTGGGATTACAGGTGAGAGCCACTGCCTGGCCTATTGTTCACATCTTTCTGTCCGTGTGTATCCAATGTTCAGCTTCCACTTACAAGTGAGAGCATGTGGTATTTGGTTTTTTGTTCCTGCCTTGATTTGCTTAGGATGATGACCTCCAGCTGCATCCATGCTGCTGGAAAGGACATGATTTCATTCTTTTTTATGGCTGTGTAGTAGTGAATGTACGTACCACATGTTCTTTACCTAATCCGTCATAGATGGGCACCTAGGTTGATTCCATGTCTTTGATATCGTGAATAGTGCTGCAGTGAACATAGGAGCTTTGCCAGCATCTTTTTTTTTTTTTTGAGACTGAGTCTCACTCTGTCACCCAGGCTGAAGTGCAGTGGTGCAATCTCAGCTTACTGCAACCTCTGCCACCGCGGTTCAAGCAATTCTCCTGCCTCAGCCTCCCGAGTAGCTGGGACTACAGGTGCACGCCACCATGCCCGGCTAATGTTTGGTATTTTAGTAGAGACGGCATTTCACCATGTTGTCCAGGCTGGTCTCAAACTCCTGAACTCAGGCAATCTGCCTACCCCAGCCTCCCAAAGTGCTGGGATTACAGGTGTGAGCCACTGCGCCCTGCCTGCCAGCATTTATTATTTTTTGACTTTTTCGTAATAGCCATTCTGGGATAAGCATGGTGGCTCATGCCTGTAATCCCAGCACTTTGGGAGGCCGAGGTGGGTGGATGGCTTGAGCTCAGGGGTTCAAGACCAGCCTGGGCAACATGGCAAGATCCCATCTCTAAAAAATACAAAAATTAGCTGGGCATAGTGTCACATGCCTGTAAGTCCCAGCTACAAGCAGCTGACATGGGAGGATCGCTGGAGCCCAGGAGGTCGAGGTTGCAGTGAGCCATGTTCACACCACCGTACTCCAGCCTGGGTGACAAAGCCTGGGAGACCCTGTCTCAAAAAAAAATTAATAATAATAATAGCCCTTCTGACTGGTATGAGATGGTATCTCATTGTGCCTTTGATTTGCTTCTTTAATGATTAGTGATGTTGAACATTTTTTCATATGTTTGTTGGCTGCTACATTTCAACATTCTTTAATAATTTAACTCAACATAAGTCATCTATATGAGCTGAAATTACTATACCATCATATAGTCAGAGGTTATAGATAAATGCATGAAGATCATTTTTGCCTTGTCAAAATACTGTACCATATACAGTTATCAATAAAGTGAGCAATGTAATAGTAAATCATTATACTCTCATAACATAAAAGAAAGAAAATACAGTTAATATGTACAAATAATATTAATGCTGACTATGTAATGAAGCCATGTTTTCTTATCAGGATGATCATGAATAAAATGAAATGACGGTGCAAGGACATTTATTACATAATTTTCTACAGTAGAATAAATTCCTATATGTAACAGAAAGTCAGATGAAATTAAATTAAACTGAACGGAAAATACTTGAATTAGACCAAATAAAGAAGTTTCTGATGAAAAATTGTTATAGGAATGGTTTACTGAACTTGTTATAGACTCACTGGAATGGACAATTACCTGTCTAGCATAACTTAATTATGGTTCTGCCTAGAGGCATGAGGCTGAGTTGACAACTTCTGCACTAGGATTTTATAGTTTTATTGAAAAAAATATAAAACCTGCACCGTTTTTAATTTAACCTTTTGTTTTTCTTTTTTGAGATGGAGGTATGCTCTTGTTTCCCAGGCTGGAGTGCAATGTCACAATCTTGGCTCACTGCAACCTCTGCCTCCCAGGCTGAAGCAATTCTCCTGCCTCAACCTCCTGAGTAGCTGGTATTACAGGTGCCCACCACCACACTTGGCTAATTTTTGTATTTTTAGTAGAGACGGGGTTTCACCATGTTGACCAGGCTGGTCTTGAACTCCTGACCTCAGGTGATCCATCCACCTCGGCCTCCCAAAGTTCTGGGATTACAGGCATGAGCTACCTTACCCAGCCGATCTCAGTCTTTTTTTATGGCTGCATGGTATTCCAAGGTATATATGTACCACATATTCTTTATCCAGTCTATTACTGATGGGCATTTAGGTTGATTCCTTGTCTTTGCTATGGTGAATAGTGCTGCAATGAACATATGCATGCACGTGTCTTTATAATGGAATGATTTATATTTTTGGGGGGTATACACCTAATAATAGGATTGCTGAGTCAAATAGTATTTCTGTTTTTAGGTCTTTGAGGAATCATCACACTGTCTTCCAACAATGGTTTATCTAATTTACACTCCTACATTTATTATTATGATTTTTTAGACAGGTCTCACTCTGCCCAGGCTGAAGTACAGTGGCATGATCTTGGTTCACTGCAGCCAAAACCTCCTGGCTCAAGTGATCCTCCTGTCTCAGCCTCCCAAAGTGCTGGGATTACAGGTGTGAGCCACCATGCCTGGCACATATCTTTCTTTCTCTTTCTTTCTTTCTTTCTTCCTTTCTTTCTTTCTTTCTTTTTCCCTTTCTTTCTTTTCTTTCTTTCTTTCTTTCTTTCTTTCTTTCTTTCTTTCTTTCTTTCTTTCCTTTCCTTTCCTTTCCTTTCCTTTCTTTTTTCCTTTCTTTCTTTTTTTTCTTTCTCTCTCTCTCTCTCTCTTTTTTTGGAGATGGAGTCTCACTCTGTACCCTGTCTGGAGTGCAGTGGTGTGATCTCGGCTCACTGCAACCTCCACTTCCCAGGCTCAAGCAACACTCCTGCCTCAGCCTCTTGAGTAGCTAGGATTACAGGCGTGTGCCACCATGCCCGGCTAATTTTTGTAATTTTAGTAGAGGTGGCATTTCACCATATTGGCCAGGCTGGTCTCAAACTCCTGGTCTCAGGTGATCTGCCTGCCTCAACCTCCCAAAGTGCTGGGATTACAGGTGTGAGCCATGGTGCCCGGCTCCACATATTTGCTTTCTTGAGTGAGTGACAAAGGATTAGATCCAAAACACACTTTAGGATTATACCTATCCTAGGTACAAACTTACATAAAAATCATTCTTTATGTATATTGTAGCAGGAAAAAAAGAGTCGAAAACTACTGTTGCAGAGACAGGACATAGACCTGATAAATAAATAAGAGTGGGGATCATAAATATTGTCTGAAGCCTTTTGGGAACAACTAGATAAGCAAATGTAGCCAGTCAGAATAGTGGACATTTGTAATTTGCCTCTAAAGCATTTATTATTCCCTTTCTGAGTCACACCAAGGGTTACTGCATATAGCTGCACAGGTTGTGCACTGCACAACTCCAAGGGATGCCAATCACATTGCAGACTATGTGAATGGTGACCTTGGACTTGTGCAGTGCACAGTCTGTACTACATTCCCAGTGATCTGGTCACAGCCCTAATTTTCCTTTGGGATCCACTGCTCACTCTCTCACAGTCAACACAATCTGATAGGATACTACCACTGGCCCTTTATAACACATGACTAGGCCTAATGCATCCCATTCCTCTGGCCTCTGGGTTCGTGGTGGTCACATGAACTAAACCTAAACTAATCCACTCAGTTGAATCACAGAACTCTTAATGTGATTGTACAGCCTTATGACATAATATTCCAAATAAAGACTGATTTTTTTTTTTACACTAACAGTACCTAATGAA